>NC_000003.12:40313030-40616060 GCF_000001405.40 Homo sapiens | reverse complement strand
CAGTCCTGGCTTCAGGGATATAGTCTAGTTCTCAAGGTTGGTAAAATTTCTGTCGGGCACAGGCACCCAAGCGTGTTGACATAATTATTCAGGAAGACAGGCTTGGCCAGGATTAATACTGTGATTAATTATGGTGGGAGTTTCAACAACCAAGTGCGTGCTCCGGAGGGTCGGCAGGGACATGACAGCCCCTGGCCTGCTCCCCGGCAGTGCGGCCGGCCGGCCGAGGAGGGTGTTGAGCGGGGAGCCGCATGGGCCTGACGGTAATGAGAAATGAGAAAAGTGCTGAAAAATTGATGGCGCCTGCAGATTGCGCAGGCTGGCACACAGCGGGGGGCCCCCTGCAGCAGGCGCGCGGGGCGCAGTATGCTAATGCCGGCGCCTGGGCCCCGGGAAAGGGAGGAAGAAAAGCCTGCACAAAGAAGAGAAATGCAAATGACAGGCACAGAGATCAGTGCCGAGAATCCCGGATTAACTGCGTGGAGCTGGTGCTTGCCCGGGTTTAACCCTTTCTGGACTATGTCAGGGCTGCAGGCGGGGGTGCTGCTGGGAGCTTTGGTCTGCATCTGGGTCCAGGACTAAGTGAGGATGCAGGGAAAATGAAGCTGGGAAGAACCAAGAAGCTGAAGGAAAGGGTCTGGTTTTTGTCAGGGTAGTGACTTCTTCGAAAAAGGTGCTGGGGGAAGTGAGGAAGCGATGTCTGGGGATAGGAAAAGGAGCGGCCCAGCCGACAGTGGTGGCCTAACAAGCACCCCGGGAACTTCTACAACGTGGGCCAGTGGGAAAGGAGGCCAGGAAGAGGAAGCACCCTGCTGGAATGTCCAGTCCTTCGTCTGGGTGATGGTTACACAGATAGCTGAGGGTTTGGGCCATAATCCCAAACATAGAAATCTTGAAAGATCAAAATCCCTTAAGTCTAAAATTGACACCAGACAGCTACAATATTATTTACATGATGTTGTAAATAGAAGATGTGTGCACTTTACTGTATCTCAGTTATGCTTTAATCAAAAATGAAAAGCGGAAGGGGGAAAAAAAGGCCAGAGCAGAGGGCCGGTTATGAACTTCTCAGACTTACCTTCTTGGGGAGAGAACCATGAAGCGCATTTCATGAATAGTGAGCGTCCCCAAACAATCAGGGTCTTGGTGCTGTGCATGTTCTCTCTCTCTCTCTCTCTCTCTCTCTCTCTCTTTCTCTCTCTCTCTCTCTCTCTCTCTCTCAAAATGTCACCATGGTTTGTGCCCCTGGAGAGGAAAATATTTGCTAAAACATAGACATACGCATCCACAACTCTGCTTCCTGGGAAGTGTGTTGAGGTGAGAAGTCGGCAATAACTCCACAAGGAGTCCCAGATGGAGCGGAGTGTCAAATCTTTGGAGCAGCCAGGAAGAGGAAAGGGACTCTGAAACTCCAGAGGATCAAATTCTGTTTAAATGTGGGCAGACCTGGAGAGATGTTAGGGACACCAGGTTACACCAACAATGGGGAGAAATGTATATGTATGTTGTTGGGGGGTGCAGAATCAAAGACATTCCATTTATGTAATAAAATGTAAGTTATTCAGATATCTACATATTTATCTTTTAAGTCTGAATGACTGTAGATCTGCCTGTTAATAGTAGTTTCCTCCGTGAGATAGAAGGACCTGAACTTTCTCTGTAGGGTTTGAATTTTTTAAAATAATGTTCAAGTCTTAGGAAAAAATAGATCCATTTTGAAAGGAAAAAAAAAATAGCAAAATGGGGCCAGGCACGGTGGCTCATGCCTCTAATCCTAGCACTTTGGGAGGCTGAAGCAGGCGGATTGCCTGAGCTCAGGAGCTCGAGGCTAGTCTGGCCAACATAGCGAAACCCCATTTCTCCCAAAAATACAAAAAATTAGCTGGGCGTGGTGGTGCATACCTGTAGTCCTAGATACTTGGGAGGCTGAGGCAGGAGAATCGCTTGAACCTGGGAGGCAGGGGTTGCCGTGAGCTGAGATTTTGCCACTGCACTCCAGCCTGGACAACAGAGTGAGACTCTGTCTCCAAAAACTAAAACTAAAACACACACACACACACACACACACACACACACACACACACACATATATATATATATATATATATATATATATATATATAGCAAAGTAAGTGGGAACCATGGGAAGACTGGCATGGGAGCCATGTATATGTGTGTATGTGTGTGTGTGTGTGTGTGTGTGTATGTATATATATATATATATATATATATATATATATATATATATATATATATGTATGTATAGCAAAGCAAGTGGGAGCCATGGGAAGACCGAATTCCAGAAGCAGAAGCCATTCCTCCTTGGAGATAAGGCCTTCTAGACTCTGCTTTCTCTTCCAGGAGAGTATCTGGAAGGCCTGCGGTCCCTGTGGTCACTCCAAACCACCACCTCCAGCTCTGCCTTTCCAGTGCCCTCCTTCCACAAGAAAAGAAAGAAATGCTCCCCTTTACATGTGTAGGGATGGGAGGTTCTGGGCCAAGAGTCTTCTCCAAAGCTTTTCTCATTTATAAGGGGCACTACTAAACTCGTTGCCTGTGAGCACAGAGCTTTCCTATCTACTTCTCTACTTCCACTCCAAGCATTCCACTCGATCCTCCCTATCAGTCCATTTTGCAGATGGAGGCGCAGAACTGCAGATCTAGAGGAGACTGTAGAGATTGCCTTTGTGGGGGACAGAGTGGGCGTGAAGGTGATATTTATAGATACCTATTTTGTGCCCACACTGTACAGGACATTTTGTGAACAGGACTTCTGCCCAGTTCCACCTCATCACTTTCCTGATAGGGAAACTCTTTGCTTGCAGAAACGCTCTCTTGAGGGACTGCAGGGAAATGACTCTCTACCCCCGTCAATATGGTTACACATCCACATCTGCGTTCCATCTCCATGGCTGCCTTGCCTAGCACAGGGTCCAGAACAGAACCAGAGGTTGTATTATTGTGTTGGTTATATGTTTTCCCCTGGGACAAACAAAACAAAGCAGATGGTTTGTGCTGTGGTTCCTTTGAACCAGAAATTACAATCTTTGCTTCAAGACACAAGAGGATTATGAAGCCTTTTAAATGTCCTCCCTTTCTCGTTTTACTGCGAAGCTTCAGTGAACTCCAAACCCAGGGGTATTCATCGTAGCACAACAGATTAACCAAATAGGACTGGGAAGTCATTTGAGATCTTCTTCCTTTACCTAAGCCCCATGAGAGGATGGGGCTTACGGGAAGCTCAGGGAAGGGACTGCCTTTGCGGAGGCAGGCACAGCTTCACTAGGCACAGCAATTATTCTAAAAACATCTGGGGCATGAAAATTTAAAACACAAGCATTACAATGGGTAGAGTTTTTGCCCAGGATATTTCCTGTGCATTGCCTCTCCTGCTGGGAGAGGCTGGTCAGGAAGCCTTCCCAGTTGGTAAGGTCTGTCCTCTTCCTCCACCTGTGCTGAGCAAGGGTTTAGGATTTGAATTTGTTTGGTGCAGCACCCTCCAACCTTCCCTGTCCTTTTGATTCCCAAATAGGAGGAAATCCGTCAATCACAGAGGATTGCTTATGTGTCGGCCCAATAGGAGGGCAACCCAACTTTTGCTTTCTGTTTCATATATATGTTCACTTGACATTAAAAAAAAAAAAAAAAAAAAAAAAAAAACTGGCCTGTGACACTTTCATCAACTCCTTACCCTGAAAATTGGGGAAAAAAAAAAGGATTAAGCAATTCCCCACTTTTAGGAATAGTAGTTTACACCTCATTGATGATGAAAAAATCATCTTTACAGAAGAATGCCAGCTAATAAATATGCAAGGAACCAAGGAATTCGAAAATCACCCGTTTGCAGCCCTAAACGAAGTAAAGGATTCAGGCAAAGATCATCAACAAAAGTTAAAGCCATTTGGTATTAGAGTGGAATAAAGTCAATTTTAGTTATGTAAAAGTGAGAAAAATTATTTCCTATCTGTCTTTGCTTGGAAAGTCATGAGGAGATAAGGCCCAACAAAATAAGGGTGTAAATGTGGCCTGTGGGGACCAGGAGAGCCAGGCATCAGCAAGTGTGGAGGGAAGTCTTGGGAAGATGAGCAATCAGCCCAAACAGGAGACAAGAGGCAAACTGGGGGCTGGAGTCGGAGAGATTTGTGTCATTTTCATGACAATTTAGACTTAAAAAGACAATAAAGGCAAACAACGAAAAAACAAAAGAAAAAATCTCTTTTTTTAACTCCAGCAAGAAAAAAAAATACTGTTCAATGAAAGCACTGTCCTCACAGTGCACTAGTTGGCTCTGAAGTGAATTATGATTCCATAGTCACAGCCATGTAATCCCTATTTACTGATTGTCAACTTTTAAAGTTGAACAAGAACAAACAAAAAGACTTTAGGGTAAAATAACACGATAAAAACATCCTCCACCTTAACGTAGACATCTAAGTACAGATAATGAGAGTGGAAAGGGGTAGGAGATTGTGGGGGATGATAGCACCTTCATCTTACAAGATGAGGAGTCAGAAGATGCTCTTATTGACCAAATTAGAAAAAAAGCATAAACAAATCACTAAAAGTAACAAATGTAACCCATAGAAAAAGGGAAGAATGATATTATTGTATTGAGCGTTAAGGAGAGATGCAGAGGTGGTGGAAGAGAATTAAATCTTCATCTGTCATAGGAAGAAGTCAGTAATTAATGTCTAGAATCGATCAATCTATAAATTGTGGCAAAATATATTTTAAAAATAGGGAGGTAATGCTCAGAAGAAATAGCTAAAAGTGTTAATAAAGACTGTCTCTGGGCCAGGCATGGTGGCTCATGCCTGTGATCCCAGCACTTAGGGAGGCCTAGGCAGGCAGATCGCTTGAGCCCAAGAGTTTGAGACCAGCCTGGCCAACATGGCAAAACCCTGTCTCTACAAAAAATACAAAATTAGCTGGGCATGGTGGCATGTGCCTGTGGTCCCAGCTACTCAGTGGAGGGGGTGCTGAGGCAGTATACAACACAGCCTCCCGAAAGTCAAGGCTGCGGTGGCTATGATTGTGCCATGGCACTCCAGCCTGGGGGACAGAAACCCTATCTCAGAAGAAAAAAACAGGCTGTCTCTGAAGAATGGGGCTCATGATGGGAAGGATGAAGCAAGAAAGAGTTGTTTCTCTTTATAAGTCTTTTTGTTTAATTTGATTTTTTTAACCAAACACATGTATTACCTCAATTTTTAAAACCCATAATAAAAATATATAATAGTTAAAAGAAATCACCAAATAATTAATTTGAGGATTACTGTCATCCTATGAATATGTATTCTCTTGATTTTAAAAATATGTTGACATAGAGTTAACAGAATTGCAACTCAACAATTAATATGAAACTACTGATACACGTAAGAACTGGGTCTTCCCACTCTCAAATTGGTATGTTCCTTAAATTATTTATGTTTTCTTTTATGTCTCTCAGAGAATTTTTGTTATCTAAAGCTTATATATTGTTTATGTATATTTCTTGCTGAGTTTATCCCTAAGGACTTTATATTTGTATTCCTATTTTCAGTGGGATTTTTAAAGTAAGATTTATAAGTGACTATCACTGACATGGAAAAATCATTGATTTTGCTACATTTAAATATCACCCTCATACTGCAATCTTATATTATTATAAATAGTTTTTTAGTTTAATCTCTTTTTGTTTTTATTAAGCTGATGATAATATCATCCATGAGTAATGATTAGCCCAGCCCTAATTCTGCTCATTCCTTTGCTCTATTTACTCAATTTTTTAAGTTATTAAATAGCACCAATGGAGAGCATACTTATTTCTTCCCTTGACGTTAATGGAAACACAACTAATGTTTCACTCAGCGGGGTTTGAGTTAGCTGCTGTCAGAAGCTGACAATGCATAGCAGTCAAGAGGAAGGATCTCCAGATGAGACTGCCACGTCCTGAGTCACATCTGGATCCACCATTTACTTAGCATCATGACCTTGACCAATTACTTAGCCTCTCTACACCATAGCTCTTTCTGTAAAATGGGATGACACTGCCTACCTCTGAGCATAATCGTGCTCATTAAATGAGATTATCTGTATAAAGCACCTGTAACAATGCTCGGGCAGGTCTAGTTAGTGCTGCTTTCAAGAATCTGACATATGACACTCATTCCATATCATCTTGTTAGAATCGGCCTTTTTTCAGCCCCTTGAGGCCATTTTGGACCTTGAGTCTGTCCTCAGTTTTCATGGTTTCCATTAGTTCAGCAAAACCTTGCTGATTCCCTAGGCATTTGGGGTGTCGTATTCATTTTAGACAAGGAATCATGATTGTCACCCAGGTTCCCTGTGGATCTTCTCTTCTTTCTTCTTGTATCCTATTGAGAAATGTGCATCATGAGAAAGGTGCATGGCCCTAGGACTAGAGCCATGACTTCACCCCAGGCTGTCCCTTTTTTTTTTTTTTTCACTTAGAATGAGTTTATTAATATATTCACAATGATATTAAAAGTGCCACTGTGTGGTCTTGGGTAAAGTGAGCTTCTCTTGGCTTTGTTTCTCATCTCTAAGTTGAATGAGACTGTCTCCTTCACAGAGCTGTCTTGGAAATTAAAGGGCAAACAGAAATGCATGGTTAGCCTGGCACCTGTACCACACCTTCTTCATTTCTTTCCACTTCTCCACCCAGGGCTCCTTTGTCCAAAATGAGAAGTAGTGAGTGGCCTGGAATGTGGGAGAAAACCATGCTTCCTGTGATTAAGCTCAGCTCCACTTGGGTGGATTGAATTTGGTCTTCTTTCCAGGCTCAGCTCAGGACAGAGTCAGACATATTGGTTCCCAGTACTGAAATAGAAACTGAGCCATCTCAGAAGATGCTAACACCTCTGAAAAATAGTGAGAATCCTATTCCCTTTACCAGCAGCAGCTCTGAATCCTCAGCTGAGGAACTCGGGTGTGGAACACAGAGACACAGCTTCCTTCTCTGCAGGGATCAATTCTTTCTCAGCCAGAGCTGTTCGACGCCCTTAGATGTTCCAGAAAGGCACCCACAGCTCTATGCAAAATATTTTTATTAATATTTGGACAAGAAAAAGGAATGCATTCTCATGCAGCTACATCTGCAAGCAGCAAAGAGACATTCAAATCTGTCTGAGACAAACCAAGCAAATGCCACAAAAACACAGACGAAAGTCCTCCTACTGCCTGTCTTGGTTGACTGAATACCAATTATCAGCATGTATAGACTCATCCACTTGGCACACATGTGAACACTGATGTGTTCTGCTTGCCAAGCCATCTTCACTGAGGACATGAAGAAGAGCACAGAGACTCTTCCCAACAGTGATGCTTCAACCTCAGATCCAGATGTTCATTACAGTCATCCTTGGGAGGTTTTCCAGAGTGGCATCCGGAACCATTAGACACCTGCAAAGTGTACAGCTTCCTTTAGCTGGCTCTTCCTCCTACTTTCTCCATCTTTCTGAATGGCCTCAACAATTCACCCAAGTCAGAGACTTGGTAAAACCCTCAAATCTTTGTCTGTCACCCCTCCATCCAATCAGTCCCCAAATCCTGTTGATTTGACTTCTTAACTATCATCCAGGTATGTCCATTTCTTTTTCCTTCTTCAGTGCTTCCTGAATTCCTGCAATAGCTTCTTGCTTGGTCTCTTTACTCTAGTGTTTTCCTCTCCAATCTATTTTCCACAAAGCAGCTAAAGTGATTGTGGGTGTTAATGACTCACAAAGGGCTTCCCCTCTGGGTGAATTCCAAATTCTTAGCGTGGCATACAAGGCCCTGTGTGATCTGACAGTGCCAACCTCTCCCTGCCCTCTCCATGCCCCCACTGCTGTGCTCCAGCCAGGCTGGAGTGGTCCAGCTCTATCGCACTTATCTTCTCACTGACTGTTTCCACTGCCTCCAACCACCTCCTCCTCATTAACTCCAGTTCACCCTCAGACTCAAGTGTCATGTCCTAGAAAGACCTTTCTTGATCCTGCTCATACTGAGTTTGTGGTCCTCCTTTAGGCTCCCAGAGAGACCTGGGATGACTTCTTGGTCACTTCTCAGTGTCCTTAGCTAGAC
The DNA here is from genome assembly GCF_000001405.40 of Homo sapiens. Taxonomy (NCBI): domain Eukaryota; kingdom Metazoa; phylum Chordata; class Mammalia; order Primates; family Hominidae; genus Homo; species Homo sapiens. The sequence goes on along the minus strand of NC_000003.12, from coordinate 40,607,996 downwards.
TATGAGCTCCTTGCCGGCCAAGAATGCATCTTATTCAACATTGCATCTCAAACACGAGTAAATAATAACATTTGAGTTAATAGTAAATACTCAATAACATTTATTGAAAATATTAATTTATTCCTCAAAATAAAGCATTGACAAAGCACCCTGCTGCTACTCTCTTTTGAGCATTACATTACTGATTACAAACACATCCACCACCTTTATTCATCTAAACCACAAAATAACCCACCCAAGATGCTGCAAGATGGTACTGTTTCCATTTTATAGGTAAGAGCAACCAAACCTTTTAATATGAAAACTGAAGCTCCAAGAATTTAAGTGACCTGACCAAGACCGTGAGCTGGTAAACAGATCTGTATGGATGTAATGATGTTTTACATGGCTGACCTACTCAGCACCTCCTATATGCCAGCACCTACTACATGCCAGGCTCGGTGAGGTCCTTTACAGGAGTCATTTTGTTTATTCTTCTGAACCCTAGTTTAGTGTTCTTCCTACAAGACTACTAAGTTTGTTTTAACCATCCGGAAACGTTTGTGCAATGAGAGACATCAGAAGGGCTTTTTTCTGAAGATAACTCACCCACTGCTACAGTGTCAAGAGTTTATCCATGGTTCCAGTTCAAGTTAAGACCATAGAATTTCCACGTTATAAGAGAACAGCAACTCACAGGTCTACCCCAACCACTATAATGTAGCACACCAAGGCCATCTACATAGCTCTAGTTAGTTGCCTAGTATCCGCCAAGAAAATAGGACCCAGCAGGAGGAGGAAGGAGTAATGAGACATTTTGATTCTCTTCCCAACATCTTTTTCATCCTATATCTACTATGCAGTTTCCAGGAAGTCTGGGAGAAATGTTACTCCAATCTAGGGGTTGAGGGTGGGGATGATGCTCTTATTGTTTTTAACCCAACCAGCTTAATCCTATGCCTACCTATAACAAAAGTATACTTTTAATTTTTCCATGCCTTTTCCAGCTCATGGCATCTCCTCGATCTAAGGAATTAGTTCAGGGATGTGCAGATGAACAAATTCAGGACTTTAAGACATGAGTGTGGATTTCAGAAGGTTTCAGGCAGGGAAATTTTCTCACTGTAAAAAAAAGCATTCCTAGTAATCACTCCTTTGTTTTCCTCTGGCATATGGAAGCAAAGCCCAGGGTGGCTATAGCCACACTAGCACCATGAGAGAAGCCCCTCTGAGGATGAAGTCTCCACGCAGGCAAAAATCCAGCCAGAGTGATCACAGAGGCACAGCTCCAGAGCCACTGTGATGATACACTCTCTGATGCCTACCTTACTCTGGATGATTATTCAATAATGTAAGGTGACATATTTCTTGATAGTTTAAGCCAGATAGAGACACGTACTCAGGTATTTGTTGCAAAAAAACATTTCAACACATACAATCCCTTTACCAATGAAAGGGTTGAGAAAGATCTTCATGGGAATGCCATGAGGTCACAAAAGTGAGAGAAGCATAATAAAACCTTGGCATCTTGGGAGGCAGTGGTTAAGGACATGGACTCTAACTGTATTCAAATCCCAGCTGTGACATTCACTAGCTCTGCTACTGAGCATGTTACTTAATCTTTTGAAATTTCTATTGCTGCATTTATGAAATAGGGATAATAATTCTTACTTCATAGGACAGCTGTAAAGATGAAATAAAATAATGCATTTTAAAAACTTTGCACAGTGCCTGGTGTATAGTAGCAGTAGCTGCTGTTATTTAGTAATGGTGGTAGTAATGGTAGTGGTGGTAATGGTGGTTGGTAGTAATAATTATTCTACGTACATAAAACCTTCAAAGTCATCCATGCATTGCTCAGCCCTGGTGGTGTTGATGGAATCTAGAGTCCACTATGACTCAGAGTTTAGCTCATTGCACCTAATGGCTGAAAACTGAGCTTTTTGCAAATAGATATAAATCCCCAATAAAATTGTTGGGGAGTTTTAATTAAGGTGATCAGGCTAATTAATGATTCCCTCTGGGCAAGTGCTGAGGAACCCAGAAGGGGAGCAAGAGCTTTCAAAACATACCCAGAGCAATCCATTCACTGATTTACAAACGGCACCAGCTCTTCCCTGGCTGTTGGCTCTCAAGGCTGTTCCCCCATTCAGGGTCCTCCTGGCTCTTTTGCAACCACATACACACCCATTTATCAAAAGAGAAGGTTGGGTCATCAAACCGGTGATTTCCTTATTCTCACTCAATTCTTGCAGAGGAAGAATTGAGTGAATTAATGGACTAGAAATGGCTGCAGAGCTTTGGAATAAGGAATCCAGATTCTCACTCTGTTCCACCATAAACTTGAAACAGATAAAGCCCCAGGACTCAGGAGTTCAAGTCCCTCTAAACCCTATGGAATGTAAATCCTTCCCAGACATGATCTTGCCCTTGGCAGCCCTCTCCCAACTCTTCCAGACAGGAAAAGGAATAAAATATACATTTATTCAGGATCATTACCTCGAGCCAGGTCTTGTGCTGGGTACTGGAACTCTAAGACTGGGTGAGGTTCTGGAATCAGAATGTGAACCAAATAATTGTCTTAAGGATTAAATGAGTTTCTTCACATGCTGAGAGCAGTGCTCCTCAGACAGTAACATGCACACGAAATATGTGAGGATCCTGTTAAAGCACAGATTCTGATTCAGCAGGTCTGGGGTGGGGTCTGAAAAACTATGTTTCTTACAAGCTTCTGGGTTATTCCAGTGGTGCTGATCCAAGGACCATACTTTGTGTAGCAAGGACTTAGAAGCCTGCCTCACTTAGTGAATGTTACATGTGGTAGCTATAATTATATGTGTTTAGTAATTGATGAGCAAAATTGAGCTGAAGTTTTTACAGTCTGATAACAGTATATTCAGGGTTTTCATATCTCTCATTTTCTTTAATCCTCATAATTCAACACCGTAGGGATTCATGTCCCCATTTACAAGTAAGAGATTTGAGGCTCAGGGGGTAACTCAGAGTGACCAACTGTCCAAGTTTGCTTGGGATTTTCCTGGGTCTAGCACTGGAAGTCTTGCATCCCAAGAATCCCCTCAGCCCCAGACAAACTAAAAGGGGTTGGTCACCCTAGAACTAATAAGTACTCTACTGGAATTCAAAGCCAGGTCTCTGAATTCCAAAGATGTATTCTTTCCTGGAGACTAGCACTGCCTCGAGGCTAAACAGAGGAGGTAAGCATGTGTATGTGGGGGGATGGAGGGAGGTTGAGGGGCTTCCAGATTGTGAGTATGCTTCTCCTCGTTTCTAAAAGCTTTCTTTCTTCTAATATAAAACAAGGATATACAAAGACTCATGAAACGAAAATATAATTTAGTGAATTACTCTAAGTCAAACCCTTCTGTAATTACACCTATGTCATGAACTAGAACTTGCATCTACATGAGAAGCCCTTCTGTGTGCCCCATCTCAATCACTACACAAACACACTCTCCAAACAAGACCACTACTCTCACATTTTTTTAACTTTTAAGTTCATGGGTACAAGTGCAGGTTTGTTACATAGGTGAACTCGTGTCATGGGGGTTTGTTGTACAGATTATTTTTATCACCCAGGTATTAAGCCTAGTACCCATCAGTTATTTTCCTGATCCTCTCTTTTCTCCCACCCTACACCCTCCAGTAGGTCCCAGTGTGTGTTGTTCCCCTCTGAGTGCCCATGTGTTCTCATGATCTAGCTCCCAGTTACAAGTGAGAACACGCAGTATTTGGTTTTCTGTTCCTGTGCTAGTTTGCTAAGGATAATAGCCTTCAGCTCCATCCATGTCCCTTCAAAGAAGATAAGCTTATTCTTTTTTAAGGTTGCATAGTATTCCATGGTGTGTTTGTACCAATTTTTCCTTATCCAGTCTATCATTGATGGGCATTTAGGTTGATTCCAGGTCTTTGCTACTGTGAATATTGCTGCAGTGAACATATGCATGCATGTGTCTTTACAATTGCTTCCTTGCAATTCTTTAGTTTTATCACCCAGGATAAATCCCTGAACAATATAATTTACCTGTGCCTGTTCTTTAATTTATTTCATATGCCTTTTAGTTTCATATGTCTCTTTGTTTATAGGTTTTCTCTCCCTCACCCCCCACTCTTACCCCTTTCTATTTGTTAAAGGAAATTTGATCCATCAAGTTTCCCACAAGCCATTACTAGTTTGTTCTTGTTTTTGTCTTTGCATCCTCTTGGTATAGTGCAAAATATCCCTCTGTCCTCTGTATTTCCTATAAACAGGTAGCTGTGTGTAAAGGCAAGATCAGATTCAGGTTTGGTTTTGTGGGGGCAGAACTTTAGAAGTATGTTCTTCCATCAAGAGACTCATAATGTCTAGTTGTCTCCCTCTGTCGAAAACCTGTAAATAAAGGAAAAAATCAATCATTAATCCTGACTTTCTATAGGAACTCTTCCACTAGGTAATGAAATAGTAGACCAAAAGAAGTGCCTCTTCAGAGAAGTCTTCCAGCTAATAAATGAAAAAATAAATGATAAAACTAGATATCATTATTTTTCAACCCTCAATCCATCATTAATGAATGAATCATTATATTTCAATGAAATTCAGAGAATAGGAGGGGCTCAGGTCTCCTCAGCTCCCATTCAGTAACAAAGTAATATCAAAGGAGGGAAGTGACAGTCCAAAGTCACTTGGGTTAGAGAAGAGAGTCAACAAATCCCAGAGCTCTGGATCCCATATACAGACTTTGTGTACAGACCAATTTCATGGTATTTACAGCTGTTGTCTCTTGTCTCCTCTCTCCATATTCAGGGATATATGCTCATACACTGTAAGAGATTGTCTCCAAAGGTGCCCCCTCAGCCCCCAATGAATAATGCCTCTCAGTACTTATGTCTTTATATAGTCACACTCACACACACACACACACACTCATGAGCATGCACATACACTTACTCACACACTGAATCCAGGCTAGCTCTGTAACCAATAAAATGTGGTGGAAGAGACACTGCATCACTTCCAAGTCTAGGCATAAGAAGCCTTGCAACTTCAACCCTGTTATCTGGGAACACTCATTCTGTGGGAAGCCTGGACTATGTCAGAAATCTGACTATGCTGAGACTGCCACGCTGTGAGGAAGCCCAAGCTTAGCCATGTGGAGAGGCTGCATGGAAAACTGCCTAACCAACTCCTGGCTGTTTCAGTTCTACAACCCAGGAGGTAAGTATGTAAGTGAAAACATTTTAGGTGTTTTTGACCTGACTGATGCCATGTGGAGAAAAAAACAGGGAACCCAGCTGATAGAACCAAGGGTTCTGGATATATGGCCCCAGTCAAGTTTTCCCCACCATCTCCAACCATTTGAGCTACTCCAGTTAAGACCTGATACAACTTAGAGCAGGGACAAGCCATCTCTGCCATACCCTGCCCAAATTCCTGACTCACAGAATTGTGAGCATAATAAAAAGTTTGTTGCCTTATGCCATTGTTTTGACATGACCTGTTACAGCAATAACCAAACATACACAGAGTTTATATTCATATGCATAAATTAGATGCCTTCTGCTATCACAGGACATAAGAACCTCTTGAAAAAAGAAATCCATTGATTCCCCTTTGGACAAGCTTCAAAATGTCAGAGACCAGGTCTCTTGTTAACTCACCCTTGTATTCCCCAGCCCCCGTGCAGCCATCTGGTCCCATTTTAATCTCTAAAATCACCCTGGGTTGAATGACCTTTGGGTGTCCTAGTCTCTCATCATTTATATTTTTTCATTTATCTCTTCTCTACCTGCCTTGGGTAATTTTAAGTTCCTTAGGGATAGGGATACTATCATATTTTTATTATGGAATATTTCACATGAACTAAAATATATAATGTGTATGTAAAGTATATGCATTATAATGAAACAAACACCATAAATCTACTTGGTGCCAACTTGAAAAATAAAACATGAACAACAGGGAGCTTTCCTTTGAAGTTCTCTAGTGCCCCTGATGGCAGACATCATCTTTCCACAGAGGGATCCACTTTCTTAAACTTTATGTTAACATTTCCTTCCTTTTCTTTATAGTTCTGCAACAGATGTACGTATTTCTAAAAAACATTTGACTTAGTTTTGCATTCCTTTGAATTTTATAGAAATAATATTACAGTGTATTAATTCTTCAGCAATTTGCTTTTCTATTCAACATTATATTTCTGATTGTACTCTCCATTAAAATGTGTAGCATTACTTTCTCTGCTGTATAGTATTTCAGTATACGAATACACTATTCTGTAATGTTGTTTGTATTGTTTCCAGACTTTTTGCTATTAAACAATACTGTTATGGACATTGTTGAGTATATCTCCTGGTGTAAGTACTTCTCCAAGAGAACCCATTTGTCACTGTTGTTTCTTTAGTGTCTTGCACAATGCCTGACATTATAGGCATTCAATGAAATATTGAATGAGTGAATGAGTAACTATGTTGTTCAAGTTTTCCTTATTCTTGCATATTTTCTTTTCTGATCTATTTATTGCTGAGAGAAATATGTTAAAATATCCTACTATTCTGGGGATTTTACAGTTCTGTTAATTTTTATTTTACATAACTCAGAGATATTAAGTATAAGTGGATTAGAAATATGTCCTCCTAGTGAACTAAAACTTTTATTCTTATATAAGAATTATCAATCTCTAGAAATAGCTTCTTGATCATGGTATATTTTGTGTGACATTAGTGTTATTAAACCAGTTTTCTTTTGTTACTATTTGCCTGTTATAGCTTTTAGTATTATTTATTCTCAAACTTCTGCTGTCTTCTTCTTTTTCTTTATAATAGTATACTTTGGGGTTTTTCCTCTAGTCTGGTAATCTATGTCTTTTAAACAGTTTAGTGTACTAACATTTACTGTGATTACAAATGTATTTGGATTTATTTCTACCATTTTTTTTCCTTGCTATTAATCCTGTTTCTCCTTTGTGCATGATTGTGTGTATGTGTGTTTCTTCTCTTTTGGGGCCTCGTTTCCAATTCATCAAAATTTTAGCTTGCTTACTATCAAACTTTGCAAAAGGCATTCTGGCACCAACCCCACCCCAGGGCCAACCCATGTCCACTGATACATAGAGGATATATTTTCCCCTTTACCCAGAATCAAGGTTAGGCTGAGACAGGCAAGTTTTCTTGCATCTTGCCTCTGCAGGAGGGTTTTTCTTGGTTTACTTTTTACTGAGAGTGTAGCCCTTTGTGGATCATATCTTCATATGGAGTGGAGAAAAGATACCACTCCAACTCTCTCCAGGCTTGGTGCCTTGTCTCCTTCCATGTCTGTGGCTACAGATGCCCCCAGACAGCCAGTAACATCAGTGCTTATTCATTCCCACTCTCACTTCATCCCTGGTCTCTGAAAACTTTCTTCATTTTTTTACAAGGCCATCCATGCATTTAAAATTATGTCTCTTACATTTTATCTATCATTTTAGTTGTGTGGTAATAGAAGGGTTTCAGATTTTCCAATCTCCCAATTTACCAGAATAGAAATCTCTTTTTCTAACTCCTTTAAAGAAAATAAATTGTCACATACAACATATGGCAGGCAAACTACCAAGATTATTCTCCTTTTTTAAAAAGAATAAGAGGTCAGATATTATTCAAACTAATGTATCTTGGGGATGATATTGCTCCAGAGGTTCACCAATAAACACTTAGAAGAAAATGGCGTCATCCAGAAATGATTCCACGAAGGTACATTCCTAGGAGAATTTTCTTCTTGGAACAGCAACAAAGACTTGCAACCAAATATTAGGGAGAGATTTCTCTATACCTCATTTGTAATTAATGAAAGCACTCCATTGAAGATCAATGTATTATTAACAATGGTTACACAAGTTTAAAGTTTCATGAAGATCACTGTTTACAAAGCACTTTTATTATACTTATCTTGTACCCCTTTTGACAGATGTTCCGAAAGACCCCTGGATTAGGAGCTATGGGCAGGAGTGCTAGGGCACCTTCCACAGAGTCAGAAGACCCAGCACCAACAACAATAACAAACCTTTTTTGAAGAAGCTTTTGACAAGCCACCTAAAATCCAAAAACCTCTGCTTTCTCCCTTTCCTGGTTTAGCTTCATTATACTGAAATCTATTAGGACACAGGTTCTTTCCAGTCACTGCCTTTTGCTAAACTCAGAGTTCCTACAGTCCTCACCTTCCAGTAAGCACATTTTACCATAGATTCAACCCAAGTCCATCAAAGTTTGTATATAGTACCCTCCCTTCCCCATTAATAGCCGGTCTCCCAGGCTCTTAAAGCAGAAGTGGATTATGAGAAGACAGTCAAACAGTGAACAATCTGAAACTCTCCCATTCCCCTCATGTCCCCACCCAGTGTAGGACCTCTCAAACAACAAGCTCTCCACAGTCTCAGGACATCGCTAGTGCAGAAACCGTGGCTTTGTTGGATGAAACTCTAGCTCTAAGCAGACTGATCCTAGGCACTAAGAAGACTGATCCTAGGCACCTGGCCATCAATGGCCCCCAATGTTGTTCTTTTTGAGCAGGACAAATATAGAAAAGCAGAGTTTGGGCCCCATTGCTATTTCTAGGATTGCCAAGAATAACCCGTTGTCATGCTCCGTAGTCCATATTGTGTGAGATCTTTATTCTTTCAATGCTCTGATTCTTGACATTAAAAATGAGAGACATTGATTTGTCTTTCCTTATGCAAAATCTGCAGTTTTTCTGGCTCTTCCCCCACATAGTACCTCAGAACATTTTTGGCCTTTTCTCTGACATCCTGACATTGTAACCACAGAACCACTTCGATGTGGTTCAACTTTGTCAGTAACAAAATAATGAGCTGTTTCTCAGTGCAATGGACTCTCAGGTTGCAGGTCACATAACCTGAGCTTACCCAGATGAACCAGCATGCCCAATTTGTGACCCCAATGCCAGCCAGAATAACAAAGTCAACCACAGGTGGAACCTAAGTGCTTGGATTGAGGAACAGGGACCAAATTAAGAATCAAGGGGTGCTCTGTTTCGTTGCGGTACAGACCCAAAAGCCAAGGACTCAGCATCACCTCTTTGCATAAACCAATTTAGATCGTGCCTCATTGCATTTTCCTATCTCTCTCATTGTTACTCTCTGCTTTTAAAATATGCCCCTAGACCGCAGCTCGGGGAGACAGTGTTGAACGTTGCCTCCTGTCTCCTTGCCAGTTTACTTGCAATAAAGCTTTTTCCTTTCTCAAAAGCTGATCCTATAGTATTGACTTCTATGCACATGGATAGCAAAACCATTCCTCAGTAACAACATGACCCAGAACATTCCAAGGCATGATTATAATCACCTAACATTTCAATATTGATTCATCTCAATAAATTGAGAGTATTTATTCACTCTCAAAACATGTCACAGTTCCAGTTTCAATCAGAACACAAGTATTGCAAAAAAATTGAGGCTCTTAGAAAATGTAGCAAACCAAGATCATTTACATATATAAGATAGCTTAGGCTCAGAGTAGGTACTTACTCCAGGTCTCACATCCCCAGAGTTACAGGGCCAGGACACAAACTCAGGCCATCTCTACCCAAATCCACTGACTTTGCCACTAGTCCATACTAGCTCACATTGGGTAGCTCAGTTCTTCAGAATAACTCCATCTTATGGGGAAAACTGATAATATAAAAAAGTCTAGTCTTTACCATGATGCCATAGCTGGGGTGAGAATCAAATTTATCAAAACAATGGAGAGAATGAGGGAAAGAGAAAGGGGAAAGGGAGTCTCTTTGTGAAGTGATTCTTGTTTCTGATTCATATTCTTTATGGAGTTTTTCACCTTTTAGACCTCCTGTTAATCTGAATTAGAGTTCTGTGCCACCCTGTCCTGGTCCCACACACAAACACACACTTGAATAGTCTAAGGGTAATGTGTCCTAAGAAGGCCAGAGAAGTCACTCAGTAGGGGTGCTCCATCCCAATGGATGCAGCTCTCTGTCCTGAAGTGCATGGGGGAGAAACATAAGTCAACAGCTGGGGACTCTATCCAGATAAAGCCACAACCCAGATGAGAAGAGGCCAGATAAACAAGGCTGCCCAGTGCTCGGCCTCCTCTCTGGGCAAGGTGGCCTAGGGTCAGAGAGCAAAACATGTACCTGTCCCCAGGGCTGGTATGTTTTGTTTTGTTTTTTTAATCATTTAGGCAATGGATTAAGGAACAGGGACCAAATTAAGAATCAAGGGGTGCTCTGTTTCGTTGTGGTACAGACCCAAAAGCCAAAGACCCAGCGTCACCTTCATCAAGAATCTGGCTCCTTTAATTAGACTGAGCTATGGACCAAGGGCCAGGAATTCAACTCTCAGCCCCATCCTACCACTGTGGTGTGACTCACCTGACCACAATGTCTTTTCCTCTTGCCTCCCTTCCCCACTGCCTCGCTCATAGGTGATAGAAAGTCTGCCTATAGGCCTTCCTCAGAGGGCCTCAATCAGGCATATGATAAAAATAACAGCAACACCCCCTTTCTCTGCAGGATCACCATGGCAGCTGGGACCCTGTACTCATATCCTGAAAACCTGAGGGCCTTCAAGGTGTTCATTGCTACTCAGTACAGCGAGTCTCAGGTCCACGTGCTCTCCGCACCACCCCACTCCCACTTTGGCCAAACCAACAACACCCCTGAATTTCTCTGCAAGTTTCTTGCCGGCAAGTTTCCAGTATTAGAGGGTGATGATGGATTCTGTGTGTTTGAGAGCAATGCCATTGCCTACTATGAGGAGCTGCAGGGAAGTACTCCAGCGGCAACAGCCCAAGTGGTGCAGTGGGTGAGCTTTGCTGACAGCGATACAGTGCCAGTACCTGGGTGTTCCTCACCGTGGGCATCATGCAGCATAACAAAAAGGCCACTGAGAGTGCAAAGAAGGAGGTGAGGTGAATTCTGGGGCTGCTGCATGCTCACTTGAAGATGAGGACTTTTCTGGTGGGTGAACAAGTGCCACTGGCTGATATCACAGTTGTCTGCATGCTGTTGTAGCTCTATAAGCAGGTCCTGGAGGCTTCTTTCCACCAGGCCTTCCCCAATACCAACCGCTGGTTCCTCACCTGCATTAACCAGCCCCAATTCCAGGTTGTTTGTGGGGAAGTGAGTCTGTGTGAGAACATGGCCCAGTTTGATGCTAAAAAGTTTGCAGAGAGCCACCCTAAACAGGACACCCCATGGAAAAGGAAGTGTTCACAGGAAGGGAAGCAGAAGCCCCAGGCTGAGCAGAAAGAGGGTAAAAAGGCAGCTGCCCCTGCTTCTGAGGAGGAGATGGATGAATGTGAGCAGGTGCTGGCTGCTGAGCCCAAGGCCAAGGACCCCTTCACTTACCATCCAAGAGTACCTTTGTGTTGGATAAATTTCAGTGCAGGTACTCTAAGGAGGACACACTCTCTGTGGTGCTGCCATATTTTTGGGAGCAGTTCAATAAGGACAGCTGGTTCCTGTGGTTCTCAGAGTATCACTTCCTTGAAGAACTCACCCAGATCTTCATGAGTTGCAATCTCATCACTGGAATATTCTAGTGACTGGCCAAGCTGTGGAAGAATGTTTTTGTCAGTGTCTTCTTTGGAACCAACAACAGCAGCTCTGAGTCTGGGTCTTCCAGGGCCAGGAGCTTCCCTTTTCGCTGAGTCCAGATTGGCAGGTGAGACTACAAGTCATATACATAGTGGAAACTGGATCCTGGCAGCAAGGAGACCCAGGCACTGGTTCGAGAGTACTTTTACTGGGAGGGGGCCTTCTAGCATGTGGGCCAAGCCTTCAGTCAGGGCAAAATCATCAAATGAGCAACTCTTGCCATTGCCTACCTGCCTGCACCTGCCCTTCAGGGAGATGGGGGTCATTAAAGGAAACTGAATACTGAAAAAAAAACAACTAGCATTTATAAATACCTACTATGTGTCATATTCTTCACATATATGATTTTTATCTGCCAACAACTCTGTGGGGTAGTGATTATTCTCATTGTCCAGATAAGAAAACTAAGGCTCAAGGAGTTAGACAACTTGCCTCAGGTCAGCAGCCGGTAAGAAGTAAGACTTCAATTGGAACCCAGGTAATATCTGGCTCTAAAACTGTGCTGGTTGCGCTATGTCATGGTGCACTCACTGTTGCTCTCACCTTCATCACAACAGTTTCTTTCCCCAGGGAAGAGCAGTGGCCCTGTTGGAAGAATGATTACACTTTCTCCTTTCTTTTTTTTTTTTTACCCATTCACTGCACCACCTCTCTCCAGTGGACTTTTAATGTTGGAATCTGGGGATTCAGACCCAATGTATTAGTCTGTTTTCACACGGCTATAAAGAAATGCCCATGACTGGGTAATTTATAAAGGAAAGAGATTTAATTGACTCACCGTTCCATATGGCTGGGGAGACCTCAGAAAACTTACAATCATGGCAGAAGGTGAAGGGGAAGCAAGCACCTTCTTCACAAGGCAGCAGGAGAGAAAAGAATGAAGGAGGAACTTCCAAACACTTACAAAAGCACCAGATCCCCTAAGAACTCACTCACTATCATGAGAACAGCATGGGGGATACCACCCCCACGATCCAGTCACCTCCCTCCCTTGACATGTGGGAATTACAATTCGGGATGAGATTTGGGTGGGGACAAAAAGCCAAACCATATCATCCAAATTTGGGGAGTCATGCCCATCAGTCCCTCATTAATTTCACTGCAAGTTTGGGAGACCATGTGACTATTTTTCAGGTGATTCCCCCCATTCTTTGAGAAGCACAGATTGTACAGAATAATCTGTATATCAAACCCTTGTAACATAAAATTTACCTATATAGCAAACCTGAGCATGTATCCTCAAACCTAAAATAAAAGTTTAAAAATAATAATAAATAAAATTCATAATCATCATCATTATCATGAATTAAAATTTACCAAGTATGCTTAAATCCATGAATTCATAATGATTTTTAGTGAGACACTGGGAAAATGTGCACTTTGGATATTCAATAATATTAAGGAATCTCCAGTTTATACACAAAGATGAAGAAAAAAGACTAAGGAATCTAGGAGTAATTATGGTACTTGAGATGTTTATAAAAGAGTCCTTATATTTCAGAAATATATACAGTCAATACTCATTATTTATGACTCTGTATTTGCAAATTTGCCTACTTGCTAAAGTTTATTTGTCACCTCAAAATCAATATTCCCGGTGTTTTCATGTCATTTGTGGACATGCGCAAAACAGCAAAATATTTGAGTTGCCCAATGTGCATGTTACCAGCCCAGAATGAACAAGGGGAACGCTCTGCCTTCTTTTTTCAGCTCACATAAATGTAAACAAGTGTCCTTTTTGTGGTGTATTTAATGCCATATGTTTCCATCTTGGTGCTTTTTGTTGGTGATTTTCCTGTTTAAAACGGCCCCTGGCCAGGGCCTGTAATCCCAGCACTTTGGGAGGCCCAGGCGGGTGGATGACCTGAAGTCAGGAGTTCGAGACCAGTCTGGCCAACATGGCGAAACCCTGTCTCTACTAAAAATACAAAAAATATTAGCCAGGCGTGGTGGTAGCCATCTGTAATCCCAGCTGATCAGAAGGCTGAGGCAGGAGAATCACTTGAACCCAGGAGGCAGAGTTTGCAGTGAGCCGAGATCGCGCCACTACACTCCAGCCTGGGCAACAGAGCAAGACTTCATCTAAGGGAAAAAAAAAACAAAAACAAAAAACAAACGGCCCCCCAGCATAGTGTTGAAGTGCTGTCTCATGTTCCTAAGAGCAAGGAGGCTGTGATGTGCCTTCTGTGTATTAGAGAGGCTTTGTTCAGGTATGAATTATAGTCCTGTTGGCTGTGAGTTCATTGTTAACAACTCAACAATATATACTAAATAAGGTGTCTTTAAACAAAAACACACATTAAACAAGGTAATGTATTGACTGATTAGTAAAATGTGACCAGAGGTTCACAAGAATCTAATCCTGTATTTCCCCTGATTCAGTGTATGCAGTGACTTTATAAAGCATAACTACCCCAAATAACAAGAATAGACTTTGCTAAAATAGTTATAAAATATATGGCAAGGAGGGGTGGAGGGGAATACTATGTAAAGTGAATAAAATATTTTTGCTGGCCTGGATCTGGCCTTCAGGACCCGAATATATTGTCTCTGGTCTACTTCATTCTCCTTAACTACTAATGTACAGCGTAGAATCTTTTCAAATTTGTTTCAATCATTTCCCTATTGATAGACATTTAGATTCTTTCCAGGTTTTCACTATTATGATCCGTGCTGAGTGCACATCTGTACATGAGCAAAAGTTTCTCTTGAGAAGACACGGAGAAGTGTAATTGCTGAATCACAGGGTACGCACATTTTACATTTTAATAGACACTGCCAAATTGCCTTCAAAGTGGCTGTACCAATTAAATACTCCCACCAGCAGTGTGCGCAAGTCTGGGTTTCTCACTCTCTTGCCAACACTTAATTCCACAAATATTTTTGGAATCTGAATCCTCTGTGTGAGAGATACTAATGAGGTTCTGGGGGTGGAGAGGAGGCAAAACAGGATATAAGCTACATGAGACATGGCATTGCAGACCCAAAGACAAGATACTCAGACTCTCCAGAGATTTCCCAAAGACTCACAGAACAGTATGGTGGAAATAAAAAGCAAGCAACAGTTTTCAAATCTTATCTAGTGGCCCACTTACCTCAAACAATAAGCCATAAAAATTAACTAATTCACTTTAGACTGCTAAATGTGCTAAGATATGACTGTTAGGTTTAGCTGAAGACTGTGATAATTTAATTTTCAAAATAAATCACATTTTTCCTTATTATACATGGATATGTATTTGCCTGTGTATTTCCAAAACAAGGCTTAAAACATGCATGCCATTTAACTAAGCAGTTCTTTTCTGTATATACCCTAGATAAATTATTTGAAAAATTTGTAAAAGCTTAAGTGTAACGATGTTCATTCATAGCATTGTTTACTATCCTCAAAAATATGAACTGCCTACCAATCCAAAAAGAGGGAATTTAATAGTTAAATATGTCAAACAAGCAAAAATAGTTAATCCAATAAAATGTTAAATAAATTTAACCATTCCAACCATCATGAAATGATTTATTCATTGTCATGGAAAGATATTTAGAAAGTAGTATTGTTTTAAAAAAACTATTAATGTGTATGCAATTTTTTTATTCACTCACCAAATATATACTGAGCACTCATAATGTGTCAGGCACTGTACTAGGCTCAGGGGACAAAATCATAACACTTTCAAGCAAAGTCCTGCCTTCAGGGAGGTAATCTGTATTTTTTTTCTTTTGTTTGCTTTGTGGACTACATAGACAGGCTTCTCCAGCCGGGATATGAGCAAATTACTTTTTTTTTAATTAAGCTCTTTGTGATTTCACAAGTGCTGATGGAGTGCTTCTAATTCTTACACCATGTATGACTGGAAGCTCCATTTGTTTAAAATGCCTCCTTTCTAACATCATAGTACTTAGACTAGCGGGAAGAGGGTTTATTTCATTCACAGAATGAGCAGAGCAGACTTCCCTCTCCCAGTACCGTTCTCTGAGAGAAGACATCTCGAATAGTGAAAATACCATGGCTGAGGGGTCAAACAGTCCAGGCTCTGAGCCTTCTTCAGCACCTGACTTAACATCATCCAGCTTCAGTGTGGCCACCTATAAAATGAGCACTATAGATTTCATGTCAAATGAAGTCACAACCATACAGTGCTAAGACAATGACTGACATACAGCTAGGAACTCTCTAGATACTAGTTTTTCTCTCACCTTCTGTTTTTCTTGCCAAAGATTGGTCTCTTCTACAGAAATCACTCATATGAAAAGAAGTAAGATGCAGGACTTCAGCTGGGATATTTGTTTTCTATTTCTCTCATAACATTGAAAAAAAAGAGTGGTCTAGCTTACACACAGATTCTTTGAATATTTCACCAATATTGTTTGATAGTTAGCAAGTGATCAGATTCTACACAATTAGACATCAGCACATGCATGCAGACGTGTGTCTGTCTTTATCTACTTCCAAAACACAGGACCTTCATCCCTGCTTCTGATTTCTCTCCATTGTATACCACTAGAGTGTGTGGGAAAAGTGGAATGGGAGTGTACAGAGGAGGACATAAAAGGGATCCATAGTCACATGAATCAGGACTGGCCAATCAGAGTGTGATGGTTAATACTGAGTGTCAACTTGATCGGACTGAAGTATGTAAAGTATTGATCCTGGGTGTATCTGTGCAGGTGTTGCCAAAGGAGATTAACATTCGAGTCAGTGGGCTGGGAAAGGCAGACCCACCCTTAATCTGGGTGGGCACCATCTAATCAGCTGCCAGCACAGCTAGAATATAAAGCAGGCAGAAAAACGTGAAAAGGCAAGACTGGGCTAGCCTCCCAGCCTACATCTTTTTCCCTTGCTGGATGCTTCCTGCCCTTGAACATCAGACTCCAAGTTCTTCAGTTCTGGGACTCGACCTGGCTCTCCTTGCTCTTCAGCTTGCACATGGCCTATTGTGGGACCTCGTGATCGTGTGAGTTAGTACTTAATAAACTCATATATATATATAAAATAGTTTTGTCCCTCTAGAAAAACCTGACTACTAGTACACAAAGTATTCCATCCACCTGGCCTCGATGATGGGCTTAGAGGCGTGCAAGTCAGTCCAGTGGTTTGCAATTTTAAGATATCCTAGGACAAAAACAAGTTCTCCTCTTTCTGCTAGGGTAGTTTAGTTTGAAGACTTTAAGCCTGGAACTGCTGAGATCCACTGGGTTGACAGAGTCCACCTGAGAAGAAAGCACAATCAAGTGATGGGAAGACCTGATCATCCTAAAGATATTGCTTGAGTCCTCTGGGTCCAGTCCTACCTGAAGCCAAAGCTATGCCTGGACTCCAATTATATGTACTTTTGCTTTTGCTCTCATGCTCGCTCTCTCGCTCTCTCGCTCTCTCTCTCCCTCTCTCCCTCTCTCTTTCTCCCTCTCTCTCTCTCAGTTGAGCCCCTGCTCCACCACAAAGAAAGATCCTGAAATAAGGATTGATAGGCAAAGAGTTTATTTGAGAAGTAATATTAGAAAACACCAGTAAGGTAATTAGAAAGTGAGGGCAAGAGAAGGCAGCCAGTAAAGGGTGCATCATTGAGCAAGTAACTCCTAAAGAGCAACTTGGGGCCAGGCGCAGTGGCTCACGCCTGTAATCCCAGCACTTTGGGAGGCTGAGGCAGACGATTACTTGAGGCCAGGAGTTCGAGACCAGCCTGGCCAACATGGTAAAACCCCATCTCTTCTAAAAATACAAAGATTAACTGGGGGTGGTGGCGGGCACCTGTAATCCCAGCTACTCGGGAGGCCGAGGCAGGGGAATTGCTTGAACTCAGCAGGTGGAGGTTGCAGTGAGCTGAGATAGCACCATTGTGCTCCAGCCTGGGTGACAGATCAAGACTCTGTCTCTAAATAAATAAATAAATAAATAAATAAATATTAATTAATTAGTAAAAGGCAACTTAGGCTCAGTCCCTCTCGGGAACTCTGGGAGACCTTGTGGAGGACACATCTCAGAGCCACGCCATCCAAGAGGCAAAGGAGCTGGGGTATTCATCTCCCTCTCCTACCTATCCATATGTCAGGCTCTTCCCAGGGCTTCATTTTTGGACCCACTGTGAGAACGGACAAAGCAGACTCCTCAGGCAGAGTTGCAGGGGCTGGCAGTCAGCAGCCAAACTGGTGTGCACAGCATCAAGGAGGAATGGATGGGATATGTTTGCTTTGTATTGTTTGGGGTTTTTTTTGTAGGACTTGGATGACTAAACTAGGCTTTCTGCCATTTTCAAAGGAAAAGCATCCTGATTAATATTAATATATGTAAAACTTCCACTCAATGAGAGGTCGTCCTATTTAACCCTAGAATGTTTCTGGGATAAAATATCCATGGATTGCTTCCTAAATCTACTCCCATCCCAGATATGACACCATCGTGGTACAGGAAAAACCTCCACCAATATCTTTTGTGCCCTGCACCCACACTGATCACAGCCAGCTTGATCATCATTGAGACCCCCTAGACTGGTAGAAGCAGCCAACCCTGAAGCTTTCCAGAGTCAGTGGGTACTCCAGGAAACCAGCATCACCTTTATAGCTTCCTGCTCCATTTAATGTCCTGTGACCCAGTCACTGCTCTAAGCTAGGGTAACCACCTGCAGTAACCACAGTGGGCTACCAGCATGCTCAGAGGGCTCTTGGTAGCTGCCCAGAGCTCATATCTTCAATATGCCTCAGAAGAGGCAGAAACCTCCTGCCAAGGGAGCCAGGGAAACACTGGCCCCCAATCCTCCTATGGCAAAGGTCTGAGGGGCAGGGGCCAGGAATCCAAGCTGTAGCCATAACAATTCTCTCCCTCCCACCAGAGAAGGATGCCTGGGACAGAGGGAGGAAGTGCAGTACATGTGTCGTCTCCTACAAGTTTGCTGCAAGGTGATAAATATCTTTTGTTTCTATTGTGAATGAGATCTTTCTTTTCCATTATTTTTTTCTAAGTGGCTACTGTTGGAAATAGGAAAGCTATTGATTTTTGTACGTTTATTTTGTAACTTGCTACCTTACTGAACTCTCATTATTTCTAATAATTTTTCAGGTCAATTCTCCCAAAGGAAAAAAAAAGTTTAGGCGATGTGACAAAACTCATAAAAATGCATGAAATCAGCCACCACCATTCAATTTGTTCTAAGATGTGTATAAAATCAAGGTAGAAATAAAATTCCACCTGTGCTACATGCAAACCATCTGTTCCCACCCACTCCACTGTCCTCCACCGAAAGGCTACTCCCCTGTGTTGAGAGGAAAGTCTTTGAGATCCAAACACAGAAAAGTCCTTTGCTGGAGTCAAATGGCCAAACTTCCCCCATTCCTAGACTGTCAGGACCAGAGTGGATTCCCAAGCTGTGAGGAGAAGCCCAGGACAGAGGCTAGCTCTCTAAAACCTGACCCCAGCGTGCTATCCATCACTCCAGCCCCCTGCAGGCATCCAGTCACCCACTCTACCAGAAGTCTTCAAGCCTAACTGAGCACCTACTGTGTGCCAGGTTTGGGAATGCAAGAATACAAAAGGTCTAGTCCCTTCTTCAGACAACTTTCAAACACAGAACCTTCCCACAGATGTGCCAAATTTTGTTTTATCGGAATAAGCCTAGACAGTCTTCGATATACCCTTTATTATTGACTTTTCTTTGTGGGATGTGGCAACACAGTCAACACTCTACCCAGACACCCACTAAGTCCTTTTACAGTTGCTGTGTGTTGCTCTCCTGGCCTCTGTGGGATCTTGTTTCTGCTGCCTACACCTGCAACTCCTGTTAGAGGACTGCCCTCAGGTGGCTAGAGCTAGTTTGCCCACACCTGCAGAGATTGGAAATGCCTGGGAGCCAACATCCCCGCAAGGCAGCCCCAGGCCAGTGATTGACAGATGCAGGTGCGTCAGATTCCAAGATGTAACTCACACTTCAGAGCTCCCCTGAAGGATCAGGAGGAAGCTACCCCTGCAGGACTTCACTCTATCTCTCCCCCCGCCCTGCCTCGACTCCCTTACCAATCTCCCAAGGAGCGCTTCCTCAATGCATCACTTTCTCATAAGTCTTCCTCTCAGGAAGACACAGAGCAAACCTCTGACCTCCATTGCTATAGTTTTCCATCTGTCAGGTCAGCATAATTAGAAAGTCTCCTGAGAAAAAGATTAGAGTTCTATTATGAGTTAAATTGTGTTCCCCCAAAATTCATATGTTAAAGTCCTAATCCCTCAATGTGATTATATTTGGAGACAGAGCCCATAAGGAAGTAATTAAGGCAAGGTGGGGTCACAAGGAAGGGACCCCGATCCAATAGGATTAGTGTTCTTATAAGGAAAGACACCAACAGCTCACATGCTGGCTTGTGTTCTCTCTCTCTCTCTCTTTCTCTCTGTCTCTCTCTCTCTCTCTCTCTCTGCATGCACAAAGAAGAGGCCATGTGAGGAAGGACACAGCAAGATGGTGTCCACTACAAGCCAAGAGAAAAGGCCACAGGATGAAACCTACCTTGCCAGTACCTTGATCATGGGCTTTTGGCCTCCATAGTTGTGAGAAATAAATGTCAGTTGTTTAAGCCATCCAGTCGATGAATTTTATAAGGCAGCCCAAGCTAATACAGATTCCTTCACCTGCTCTATGGCTTGGATCCTGGAAGAGCCTCCTCAGTTGTATTCAAGTCACCAAGATCTTGTTCCACAAAATAAAATTCCTGTGGCTCTGAGGACAAGTCTGCCTCACCCTATGAAAGATAAAATAAAATTGAAGCCATAGACCAGATGTTGGCAAACTTTTCCTGTAAAGGGCCAGGTAGTAAATATCTTAGGCTATGCAGGTACATGGTCTCTGTGGTAACTACTCAATTCTGCATTGTAGTGCAAAAGCAGCCACAGACCTGATTTGTAAACGAATGAGTGTGGCTGGGTTCCAATAAAACTTTATTTAGAAAAGCAGACCTCTGAGGCCTGTAGGTATGTTGAGCTGTGAACATGGGTCTCTGTTCTACAGGAGGGGTTTGCTAAAGTTGTCAAAAACAAGGCCTGCTTTAAGAGAAACCAAGTGAAATTCAGAAAATGATAGAAGCGTAAAAACTGAAGATTATACTTGGAAACGCTTGGTGATACTGTATAAAAATAAGTACAACACACCCAAATACAGGATGATAGTTTGGTGACAAACAGAGATATCATTTGTCAGATTGCTTATGCCTGTATAGGAGGGGATATGATAGTCTGCACAGCTTAAGCATATGAACTGCCAAAATATGGTGTGAAGGTTGGCCTGACACATTATGCTACAGCATATTGTACTGGCTTGCTGCTGGCCTGCAGGCTTCTCAGTAAGTCTGGCATGGTCAAGATTTATGAAGGCCAAGTGGAGGTGACCAGAGATGAACACAACGTGGAAAACATTGATGGTCAGCTGGGTGATTTTACCTGCTATTTGAAGGCAGGCCTTGCCAGAACCACCACTAGTAATAAAGTTTTGGGGGCTCTGAAGGGGGCTGTGAATGGAGGCCTCTCCATCTCTCACAGTACACAATAACAGATTCCCTGCTTATGATTCTGAAAGCAAGGCATCTAATGCAGAAGTACATAGGAAGCACATCATGGGTCAGAATGTTGCAGATTACATGCATTACCTAATGGAAGAAGCTGAAGATCTTACAAGAAACAGTTTTCTCAATACATAAAGAACAGCATAACTCCATACATGATGGAGGAGATGTGTAAGAAAGCCCACGTTGCTATATGAGAGAATCCAGGTTATGAAAAGAAGCCCAAGAAAGAAGCTAAAGAGAAAAAGTGGAATTGTCCCAAAACGTCTCTTGCCCAGAAGAAACACTGGGTAGCTCAAAAGAAGGCAAGCTTCATCAGAGCTTGAGAACAGGCTGCTGAGAGCTAAACCAAGAAATTTTCTATGAGAATTTTTCAGATAAAGACAATAAATTTATTGACTAAGCTGCTAAAAGAGAAAAAGAAGGAAAGAAAAGCAGACTTCTCCAGGCAATTGTTTCCTGACCCCTACTACAAACTCTTTGACTTGGAAGGGAGTTGAGCAAACCTCAAATCCACCCCAGATTGTGAAGACAAGGACAAGCGCAGATGGTGGATGGGACTCCCCAGGGTCTCCCAGGGAGTTCATGGCAGTCAGACTAGAAATGGATACCTCTTCTCCTCGTT
Source organism: Homo sapiens (assembly GCF_000001405.40). Classification (NCBI taxonomy): domain Eukaryota; kingdom Metazoa; phylum Chordata; class Mammalia; order Primates; family Hominidae; genus Homo; species Homo sapiens. The sequence continues at coordinate 40,586,256 of NC_000003.12, read as the reverse complement.
TCTCTTCTGTTGTTCAGAACTAAAGCTTAAGCGGGTGGGGCTGAATCGTAAAGGCTTCTGTGAATGTTGGTAATAGAGGGTGAAATGATGCTGCAGGAGGGGAAGGGAAGGACAAAAGTCAGCAAAAAGCCAGGTATTGAGACAGCCATCACCTGAGGATCTGCCTCCCAATGGGCAAGTCTGCCCCTCAAAGACTATGAGGCAGTGATGATACTGACCCCTGAACTCCAGGACCCCATTGTTCTTCAAAGGAAGATGCAAGGCTGGCCCCTCCCCCAGCTGCTGAAGACCATGCTGAGGGGCCCAAGGGAAGAGGAGGCCAGTGGCTGAGCATTGTAGAGCAGTGGGTAGGGAGGGACCTTTGGTCTGCACCAACAATGTGACTGTAACGCTCACTTGCACAAGTGTGACTCAATTCATGCTCTCATGAAACTGTGCTTTAGGCATGAAGCTGGGGGCCTATTTTGAGACATCAGCTGCACAAACTTTAACCTGTGGCTTTATACTGAGAGAGGTAGTGTAGGGCTTGCAGCCTCTGGTCCCAGGAGAAGATAAAGGAGACTCGAGCAGTTGTCAGAACCTATGGTGCTCTCTCTCTCTCTCGTTACCTCTCGCTCTCTCTTGCTCTCTGTCTCCATTTGTTGCCACAGACCACCGGGCTCAGATGAGAGTCTCTCAACAGATGCAGGGAAGAGAGCAGCTGTTCACGGCAGTGGCCCTCCTAGTGCTTTGAGACTCCTCACAGCCCCACAAGGTTCCTTTGGGCCCTCTCAGAAGTCTGGCCACCCAGCATGAAAATCTCCCAAGTCAGAGCCTCAAGTTTTAAAGAAAGAAATTTACAGATGTGCAAAGAGAAAAGAAAAGGGGCTGTTTGGTCCCTAGCAGAGGACCGATTTTATTGGGAATTGTTTGACCAAGGAAACATGAACCAAACATACCACCAAGGAAAACATACTGCCAAGGAAAAATGAACCAAACATACCACCAGCACCCTAGAAACAGACTTTTTTTAATCTTCGTATCAACAAGATTTCGGCCTTCAATCATCTCAAATTAAATGGAACCTAAGCAGCAGGAGTTACTGTAGTTACGTAGGGGAAAGACAGGAGACAGGGGAAAAAAAAAGCTTTGCATCACGTGACTTTTATGCTGCAGAAACTTAATGAGAAACACACCACATTTCCAGAACCCTCTTTCTAGTCAGGGCTCCCGCTGAGATAAAAGGTCACAAGAAGAGAAGGAGGGAGAGGGAGGGAGCGCCGGCGTGGAGCAGGGAGGCACTTTTACTGCAAAGTCGGGCCCAAATTTCATACAAGCTGCTATCGGGTCTGATAGTCTAGACTGATTATCTTCTTTGAATGCCAGATGTGAAGGGCTTGTATAAAAGAACTGCAAACATTACCCATTTAAAAACAAATCGACCCAAGCTGCATTCACTGCGCAAAGGAGAACTTTCCATCCCAGACTCTGCAGAGAGAGCCAAGCAGCCGGGCCAGGAGACCTGGCCTAGGCGGTGCGTCCCGCTGCTGCCCCCTGCAGGCCATGAGCCTCAGGCTGGCCAGAAAGCAAGCCAAGTCCGGGGGCCAATGGCTCAGCCAGGCCTCTGCTCATCAGTGGAGACTTTTTCTGTCCATCCAGCTCAGGGTGGCAGGAGAATGCTCCTCTACAAGGTGCCAGGCTATAGCTGGAAGACTGAGCTGGGCCTGGGCCTCAGCGTTACACATTGTCCCGTTCAACCATTAACCCTGCAAGGTAGAGACGTCAATCCCTTTCACAGGTGAAAAATTGAGAAGTTAAGAGATTTACCCATTGGATGCAACTGGCTTATCCAGTTTTGGTATTGGACACTGGTGCTCCTTCCATGGCCCTATGTGCGGTTGGCCATCAACACCAAGATCCTCTCCTCAGGGAAGATGGAATGATAGAACTGCAGCTCCAGTACCCAAACTGGACCATACCAGCCCAGAAGACACCCGGCCCATAGGGCCAAGCTAGGAGTAGGGCGGCAGGAGGTATCTTCCCATCCCTCAAGCTGGGTGTGGTCCTGGATCAGGGGTCTTTACCCCTGCTGGGCAGTTAGGAGAGGCTTCTTGATCCCAGGCCCCTGCAGAGTACCAGGCCCTGAGCCAGGGCTCAGGAAAATTTGTAGAGCGAGAAACATCCTGATCACACTATGGCCTCTGGAATCTCCTGATGGCCCTGCATTTCTCCACCAGCCCTGGCCGCTTTGGGTTGTGTCTCCGCACACAGGGACTGACTCTGTAAACACCATGCCAACATAACCTCTGACCAGGCACTTCCCATTTGGCCGCAGCTACAACTCAGTGCCAGACACTCAGGATCAGTGACCTTCAGAGGGGGCTGGGCATGCAAGGGCCTTCCAAGTGATCTGTGTTTAATCTAGTGTGAAGGACCTCCAGCCTTGCTGCTACAGGCAAGGCCAGCGCTCATCTGGGCCCTCTGGCCTGCCTAGTCCTGGCTGTCACAGGAACGACCAGACACTCCTGAGGGCGTTTGGTTTTCTGCCAGCGTTGTTAGTTTAAGACTCTGTAGTGTACCTTTGGGTTTTCCTTCCTTTTCTGAACCCTCCTAAGTGGCCCACTTACCTCTCAAGCAAGGCAAAGCTGCTTTGCTGTCTTCCACCTCTGGAGTTTTTTTTGTTTTTTGTTTTTTGTTTTTAAGACAGAATCTCATTCTGTCACCCAGGCTGGAGTGCAGTGGCGCAACCTCAGCTCACTGCAACCTCTGCCTCCCAGGTTCAAGAGATTCTCCTGCCTCAGTCTCCCAAGTAGCTGGGATTATAGGCATGTGCCACCATGCCCAGGTAATTTTTGTATTTTTAGTAGAAACGGGGTTTCACCATATTAGTCAGGCTGGTCTTGAACTCCTGACCTGAGGTGATCCACCCGCCTCGGCCTCCCAAAGTTCTGAGATTACAGGCGTGAGCCACCGTGCCCAGCCCCACCTCTGTGATTTTGCACAAGCTGCTCCCTTGCCTGGAAAATCTTCTACCCCTTCTTCATGTGGCTGACTCGGACTTGTCAGACAACTCTTGCAACGTCCTCCCTCTCCTGCATGCCCCTGCTCTGAGCTCCCACCTCACCCCCACCTGTGTATTCCTATGACGTTTACTTCCCCAGGCAGTTGTTCACCACTGTCCTGTCTTCCCACATAGAGTCAGCTGTAACACGCTCAGCAAAGATTTGGCTGATTCCCTGATTGCTTTTCATCTGCACATGACCACCCCTGTCTTCAGGGACCCAAACTTGCTGCATTGGAAACTGGGACTTGAGACCTGTCTACAGGTCTAAATACTTGCCTTTGGGTTTGTTCTGGGAGGAGAAGTTCCCTTCTGGCCCCACTCCCTCCCCTGGGTGGCCAAGGAAAGGAGCCAACTGTATCATTCCAGTGTGATTTGGCCAGAGGTGCCGATGGGGCCCGGGGTGGGGTGACAGGCCCAAGGAGGTGTCACTGAGCTATGGATCCAGGTCCACCCTGGCTTGTCTGACCCACTAGAGCTTCCTCCTCCTGGAAGGGTTGGCAGAGGTTATTCCTGTATGTAGCTGGGAGCTACAGGAGGGCTCCTCACAGAGCTGCAGTTGCTTTTGTTTTCCCCTGGAACAGCTGCCTGGAGAATCTGGCTCAGAGAAGTTTGTCTATCATTCTTGAGTAAACCATAAGGACAGCAGAACAATGTGTCAGTCATTTACACCTCAATGAAAACAAATGAATAAGATCCAGTCTTTGAATCCCAGATCTTAGGACCAAAGGGGACCTTAACAACCAATGCTCTTTCTGTCTAGCTGGCTTCCTTCTTTTCATTCAGTGCTGGTGCTATAGCTTGATACATTTATAAAACATACCTCCTGCCCCTCCCCCTTTGCACAGCCCCCTACTATTCTCATCAATTTAGAATTTGAGCACTAACCATGAACCTTGTAAAAACAGGCATCCCTTCATGAAATTACAAAAAATGAAAAAGCCCCAGGTCCAATGCCATTTGCTCCCTGCCCAGCTCCTGGATGAAGCTCTGTGACCTGGGAGGCTCCTGAACACCCTTTGGCCCTTTGACAGAAGGGAGGGAGGGTGCATCACGAGCTTCCTTTCTGGCCCAAGGTTGGAGGTGATGACCCTCAGGCAATGAGAAGGCTGCTACCATGAAGAAAAGTGTCTTGCATTTTCTAATTCGCCATGCCCAGTGTGACTTCAACCAACAGCACCCAAATGGATCAATGACAACTATATCCTGGAGGTGTCCCTATGCTTAACAGAAGGTTAATGGTGCTTAGGAGTGGAGGGACCCCTTACTTTTTCCTCATCCCTGCAAAGGCAACACCCACCCTCCCTGCAGCAGGACACACAGAGTAGGGCTCACCCATTCTGCTCTCCCAGGTCCCCTCAATCTTCCTCCTCTCTTCTGCTCCATCCCAGAAGAGAGAAGTAGATGGGGCGTGGAGAACAGCTGGGCCCAAGCAAGGGCCTTGAGGCTGGAGGCGAATACAAAGGGAGGTGAGAACCACAGGGAGAACTACTTTTAAGCCTCCATCTGGTAACAAATGAAAATGTGGAAAGTAAGGCACATGGATTTCCATTGCAGCAACATGTCTTTGAGCAGGAGAGGCCATCTGTGGGTAGTAGTGAGGCCCCTGATTTCAAAGTTTGAAGCAACGAACCTCCATTTCAAGCCCCCTTTGCCACAAACTAGCCTGCAAGAGATATAGAAGCACCTGCCTTACAGGATATGGGAAGATTTCTGAATGACAAAATACTTAGAACCATGCCTCGCACATGAAAAATGCTGTCTAGGAGGAGGAGGAGGCATAAATAGCACAACAGAGGACTTGGCACCACAAGTGGAGCTGCAATAAGCATATAGAGCACTTCCCAGTTTGCAAAGCCCTCTTGATTCTGTTCTTACATGTGTTGCTCACAGCAGCCCTACAAGGCACAAGCTGTCCCCACATCACAACATGAAAACACTGACATTGTGAAATGACAAGAGATTTGCTAGTCATTCACATGGATTTCCCAATGGATATCAAAACAGGGCACCAGGAAAGGAGAAAAAGAGAATAGGTCTGATGAGCCCAAGCAGAATTTTGCCACAAGGAAATTTAGAAAGATGCTTCCTTGCCAGTTGGCATCATGCATGTTTTGGGGTCTTGTAGGGCCAGTGTTGTGTTTTACACATGTGGGAAAAAGGTGAGGTACCATAATCATTTCAAAGTCCAAATACAGCTGTTTGTGTACCCCCACAGATAAATGCAGGCAAAGCAAAGGTAAGAGCCCAGGCTCCTAATTCCAGCTTCCCTGATGGTTTCAGGGCACAGAGACCTCATGGAGCCAACAATGACATTCAGCCCAGGATTTGCAAATGGACCTAGGCAGATCTTAGCAGGCCTGCAAGTGGGATTGTCATCCTGCTTGTGTCCAAGGCCTCCTGCCTCCATCCTGGTTTCTGTTAGAGATGTGAGCACAGTCACCTACCCTCTGTGCTAATGCAGCCTCTGCCAAACCCTTAAACTGAGGGTTTATGCCTGCATCTGAGCTCCACCTAGTGGCAGATGTTGGGCATGGCGTCCAAGTATGCGTTTCCTTTCAGGACCACCCCCCTCCATTTAGAGTCATATAGTGTAAAATAGACACTTTTGACTCAGCACATCTGTGACCTGGACCCTTTGTAACCACATTCATATAACCTTCCCTTTGCTGGTCCCTTAGCTTTATGTATGCTGGGCAGCCTGAAGGCATTAACCTGGCCAATTGTAAACCTAGCCAGAGATTGTGTGAGCGTCCTTCCTACTCCCCTTAAAGCCTTCGGCTCTATGATGTTCCAAAGGCGTGATTTGGGCTGACCTAGCAGCCACATGGCATAATGGAAAGAATACAAAAGTAGGGATCCAAAGACATGAGTTCTAATTCCACCATCTCAACTAGAGAGCTGGATGGACTTGGATAAGTCATCCAAGTGCCCCAAATCCACTTTCCCATCAGTAAAACTGGGATAACAATACCCATCATTGACATCACATGTTGTGACATATGTGCTAAACTGACACGTGATACTTCTCAGCAAGAAGCCAGCATATAATTCAAGAGAGTTTCTACACCTTTTTAAGAAATGGGTAGCAATCTGTGTGCCCGGTTCTTCCTTGCCTTTGCACATGCTGGTTTCTCTGCCAGACGTGCCCTTATCCCCACTCCTCCCAGCTAACTCCTCCCTCATGCACTAGGGTGAAAGTCTTCCCTCACCCTACTTCACCTTGCCTCTGGGCTCCCTTAATATACTGTTAGGGGGTTCATCACCCTTTGTTGTACTCATTTGCTTCTTGTGTCTTTCCCCAACTAAACTGCATCCTCTTGGAGGGCAACTAAACTGTTCACTCTTGTATCACTGCTGCCCAGCACGAAGCCCAATATATGGTAGGCTTTCAATCCTCCTTTGTGTGGAATGACTTAAAAAGTGAACTAAATAAACAAGCAGTACTGCAGGCTCCTGAAGATTCCTCCTATGTATTCTTTCAGAGTCCTACTTGTTTTAGATCTGCAATTCACCTGGAATTGAGTTTGGTGTATGTGTGAGGCAGAGATAAAGACAGACTTTTTATATGTAGATATACAATACACCCAACACTGTTATTTTAAAAAAACAACCTGGTCAAGCACAGTGGATCACACCTGTAATCCCAGCATTTTGGGAGGCCAAGGCGGGCCGATCACCTGAGCTCAGGAGTTTGAGACCAGTCTGACCAACATGGAGAAACCCCGTCTCTACTATAAATACAAAATAAGCTGAGTGTGGTAGTGTGCCCCTGTAATCCCAGCTACTTGTGAGACTGAGGCAGGAGAATAGCTTGAACCCGAGAGGCGGAGGTTGCAATGAGCCAAGATAGCGCCATTCCACTCCACCCTGGGCAACAAGAGCAAAACTCCATCTCAAAAAAATAAATAAAATAAAAAATACAACCTTTCACCACTATACTGTAGTGTCACCTTTGTCATAAATCAGGTGGCTATATAGGTGTTTTTCTGGTTTCTGGACTACCTGTTGTGTCCCATTGGTCAGTTCATCATCCTGCCTCCTAAGGCAAAGACCCTGCTACAGCCCAGGTGTGGTGCCTCACACCTGTAATCCCAGCACTTTGGGAGACCGAGGCGGGTGGATCACAAGGTCAGGAGATTGAGACCATCCTGGCTAACACGGTGAAACCCCGTCTCTACTTAAAAAAAATACAAAAACATTAGCCAGGTGTGGTGGCGGGTGCCTGTAGTCCCAGCTACTCGGGAGGCTGAGGCAGGAGAATGGTGTGAACCCGGGAGGCAGAGCTTGCAGTGAGTAGAGATCGCGCCACTGCACTCCAGCCTGGGCGACAGAGCGAGACTCCGCCTCAAAAAAAAAAAGACCCTGCTACATATTTACCCTGTGCAAATAAATAACAAAATGTAAGCCAATTAACAACTTGATGCAACACCATGCCCACTTGAAAGCCCTGAGCTGTGGCAGTCGAAGGAGGTAAGTTCCAGGCTGTAAGCGGAGGCTACAGGTAAGCAGGAAGCCTAGGGTCCAAACCAGGAGAGGGCTATCAAGGAATAGAAGGTTGCAGCCACCTCTGAGAATCTGTACACCTCATAGGAATGAACAAGGGGTGGACTGTCAGTTTAACAAGGGCCCAAGCAGAAAGGCAAGTTGGGGAACCAAGTCAGGGGAAGCTCAGGCATTGCCTTAAATTCCTGACAGGAACCAAGGGAATTGTGCACTGCTCTGGGCTGAATTCACTGGCCATTACTGCTATGGCATCTGGTTCTTACCCCTACAGGCAGCTCTTAGGGAAGATCTGCTGAGCAGCTCAAGGTATCAGGGGGCTTCTGACAGCTGGGGCTTGGAAAACTGCAGAGAATCAGGAAGAGACAGATGCTGAGAAAGCTTCAATTTCTGTGTACCTTCATCGGGAAACTCAGGTAAGTGAAGAGGTCCCAGGTGGGGACTATGAGGATCTCTGTGGCACCTGGCCCTCCTAAAGGGCCAGCTGTCACTCAGTATCAGGCAAGTATTGCCACATAGAAATGAGGCCCAGGGTTATCAGCTCTTTCAGTTTTCCAAGAGAAGCTGCAAATCCAAACTTATATGCACAATTTTTAAGTACCGGCAGCTAATCTTTTAAAGTTGTAAACACTGTGAGCTATAAAACCCATCTACAGATCATATCTAACCATATCTGATTTAGTATCTAATTGGTGTCTTTGAAACCAATGGAGGGAGAAACAAATTCTGGTATTCTTAAGTCCTGGGTGAACCTACAGTGTTGTTCAGCTATCAGGAGGAGAGTGTGGAAGAGGTGTCCACTAGACCCTAAAAAAATTTACTGTGAAAATGACTGAGAAAAAAAAAAATGTGGTCCCCTGCTGGGTTACTTTTCTGAGTATAATTGCATTTTAATAATCTGGGACTGATTCCAGAGGTAATAATTGACTGGTTCTCACATTGGGTTTGTGTTGATTATTTTGGAAAATGTGTCAAAGCTTATTTTATTTTACAATCTTGTACTACTTTAATGAAAATTCATTACCAACAGAGCTTTCTGAACTGGAAATGAAGAAATTGAAAATACGCATCTGTGTATAAGCAGGCATGCTAAATAAATAAATTCTTTTTACATGAGCTATCTGGCTCATTTTGATGAAAAATGAATAAGGGAATATTTCAACCTTAGAAATAGAACAAAAACACTATGGAAACAGTAGGTAAATGAAACAATATTATTTTAAGGATCATTTAGGACAACTACGGTGTAGAAGGAAAAGCATTAGGTTTAGAATCTTAAGATCCGGGTTGAGTCAAGATTCTGCTCTTTAGGGTAAATCACTTTACCTCTAGAGGATGGAATTATATTTCCCTGCCCCACTGGAGTCCTTTGTCCTTTGTCCACAAAAGTGAGCAAAGTGAATATATCACTACTAGGTGAAACTTTGAGAGCTTGTGCAATCTTTGCTATGCTTTTTTTTTCCTTTTGCCACTGTATCAGCAATGTGGTGCACACTCTGTTAGCCAGAGTTCTACAATGAAAACAACAAAGATACGGAACAGAATTCCAGACCAACTCATGATGGACGTATATATGGGCAAGAAATAAGCCTTTGTTGTTTTAAACCACTGAAATATGGAGAGATGTTTGTTACTGCAGCATAGCCCAGCCCATTTCAACTGGTAATTGTCTGTAAGCTTCAGATTCCTTATGTTAAAATGAAATTTGCAAACACCTACCTTAAGGCATAGTAGTACATGTTATTTCACTTAGCAATCAGTATACTAATTTACTCATTTTTCCATTTCATTTTTCATTTTATATATGAGGTATATAGTAAATATCTCATGTTTTCTATTCCCCATTTTATATTTTACATGCAATAATATGTTGATGTGTTCCTTACATTATGTTTCTTTAAGTCAGGAATCCTGTCTTTTCATCTGTGTATCTCAAATAACAAGGACCAAAAACCTTAAGCTAACAAACGAGCTGTATTTCTCTTGGAAGAAAAACAAATTTTGAACAGGTTGCATAATGGGTTAAAACAGGTTTATTCCTCATTAGTCATCAAGTAAATGCAAATTAAAAACCACAATGTGATAATTCCATGCCAGTTGGAATGGAAAATCAAAAAGACTGGCAACACAAAATGTTGTTGCGGACGTGGAGCAAGTGGAACTCTCATACACTGCTGGAAGGAGTATAAAAATATACACCCATGTGAACAAGAGTTTGGCAGTTCCTTCAAAAGTTAAATATACACTTACTATATGATCTAGTCATTCCACTCTTAGATATTTATCCAAGATAGTTAAAAATGCGTGCCCACTGTTTTAACCTATTGCTGTGTAACATTACCACAAACTTAACAGCTTTAAAAAGCTGCATTTATTGGCTCACAGTTTCCGTGGGCCAGGAGTTTGGGCCTGGCTTAGCTGGGTCCTCCTCATTAGCACCTCTCATAAAACTGCCAACAAGGTACCAGCCAGGGCTCAGGTCTCATCAGAGGCTCAACTAGGGAAGGAACCACTTCCAAGCTCATATAGTTGTTGGCAGGATTTGGTTTCCTGCAGACTCTCAACTGAGGGCCTCAATTTCTCACTGGCTCTTGATCAGAGGTCACCCCTAGCTCCGTGTCATGTAGGTGTCTCCATAGGGAAGCTTATTTCATAGAAGCCAGCAGAAGAGTCAACAGCACCTGCTAACAGGATGAAAGATACAGTCATATGTGACATAATCATGGAAATGACATCCCATCACCTTTACCAGATTCTGTTAGTTAGAAGGAGTCACAAGTCCCACCCACACTCAAGAGAGGTGACTGCACAGGGTCAAGAACAACAGGAGACAGGGATCACTGGGAGACATTTTAGAGACTTCTGCCACACTCACATAAAGACCTGCACACAGATGTTCATAGCAACTTTATTCAAAATAGTCCAAAACTGAAAACAATTTAAATGCCCATCAACAGGTGAACAGATAAACAAATTACCTGACACATAATGGAATACTACTCAGCATAATAGGGAATGGACTATACATACACACAACAGCATGAATAAATCTCACAGACATAATAATAAGTAGAAAAAAGAGTCAGATACAAGAGCACTCATACTGCATTTATACAATATTCAAGAACAGGCAAAACCTCTCTATAGTGATAAATATCAGAACAGTGGCTGCCTCTGAGGGGTGAGTATTGACTGGAAGGGAACAGGAGGGAGCATTCTGAGGTGATGGAAATGATCTATGATCTTGTTTTGGTGATGGTATATGACTGTATACAATTGTCAAGACTCATCAAATTCTTAAGATGTGCATTTCATTGTCTGCTAATCATATTTCAATAAAAATAAGGCTTACTCTCCTGCCATTATAGAAGAGTTTTTTTTCTTATGAATATTTATTCTGGTCATCAGCTAGAATAATTCTCATTTTTAAATTTTCACTTCTATTGAGAGGACTATGATACAATCCATAACAGCACAGGGAAAAATGTTGGCACAACAAAACATTCATGAAGATATTTTGCAATATAATCTATAGACCTTTTTGACTATTATCGAAAAATAATAGCCAAGGGGGAGGGCTGTGCTCAACAATGGCTCCAAAAGTGTAAGGCTGTTTCTACTATTATTATTACTGTTGCTACTCTATTTATTATTAAATACAGAGCATAGACAGCATTTCAAGTTGGTATGGGCTTTTGCACCCAAAGCAAAATACATCATTCAAGACACCATAAGAAAGATATCCTAAGCTCATTTTCCTGCTACAGAAAGAGACAGCATTTGGCAGGGGCTGGACAGAGTCCAATCACTGAATGGCCCAACCGCAGCGCGGAACCGCAGCCCAGCTTGAAGGGCCAGATGCAAAGGGAAGACCAAAATGAAAGCTATCAACAGAATAAAAGAACACACAGGCAGGAAAACAGCAGGAGGGCTGCAGAAATAGAGGCAAGCACAGGGAAATATACCAAGAACATGAAATGTGCTGTTACTGATTTGCATGCGGGTTGGGTCAATACACACTTTTTTTTGGAATAGAAAACTAAAATGGGGAAAAAATGTTTTTAATGAACAAAAAAGATGATATGCAGGCATATTCATGGTAACCTGGGAATGAGACCAATCTCTTGTAGTCAAAATCTAATACCAATAAAAAGAAAAATTGGGTATATGAATAAAGATGCATTTTAAACAAAGAGAAGAAAGGGTATTTGGGGTTGAGAGATATTACGTACCTTAAGGCAGGCTAGTTGAATCTTTAAGCATAATAAATACACATAACTCCTTATAAATGTTTCTTAACATGCGTAGTTCAGGGGGCTGAAAACCCAGAACTAAAAGACAAAAGCAGTGGAAAACAGGGTATTTTTCCATCCAAGGTCCTTGATGTTGTCATTTATTCCACATACATTTATCAAGCCCCAAGTGCTGTGACAGCATCCTCCCTCCTCCCTCATTCTCTGTGCCTTGCCCTTCCCCAGAACCCCACTAAGTGTTCATAAATTCTCTCCTCCCACTCCTCACTCCTCTGCCACAAGCAGGCTCCCACCCCTCTGCCTATTCCTGACTCAGCCTGGGACACAACTTTCAACACCCGCATTAGACTGAAAACCAGAATGTGCCACAGCATTTGTGCTGATTTCTTTCAGGTATAACAATTTAGGGTCTTTGTAGACCCGTCATCTTTTAGAGTTACCTACTGAAATATTTATAAACAGAATGATATGATGTCTGAAATTTGCTTCAAAATCATATTGAGGAATATTACATACCAATAAAATATTACAACTACGTGGAAGAATCTCACATGTTGAATAAAGAAACTAGACTCCAGGCAGGGTGTGGTGGCTCACACCTGTAATCCCAGCACTTTGGGGGGCCAAGGCGGGTTGATCACCTGAGGTCAGGAGTTCGAGACCAGCCTGACCAACATGGAGAAACCCCGTCTCTACTAAAAATACAAAATTAGCTGGGCGTGGTGGCAGATGCCTGTAATCCCAGCTACTTGGGAGGCTGAGGCGGGAAAATCACTTGAACCCGGGAGGTGGAGGTTGCAGTAAGCTGAGATCGCACCATTGCACTCCAGCCTAGGCTACAAGACCAAAACTCCGTCTCAAAAAAAAAAAAGAAACTAAACTCCAAAAAGAGTACATACTGTATGGTTCCCTTTATATGAAGGTCTAAAACAGGCAAAAACAACCTTTCGAGATACAAGTTAGAATAGCAGTTACCTCGCAGGGGAAGGTAGTGAGAGAAATGAGAACAGTGGCTGCCTGTAGGTAATGGGTAGTGATTGGAAGGAAACAGGAGAGAACGTTCTGAAGTGATGAAAATTTTCTATATATCTTGTTTTGGTGGTGGTGCATGGTATATACAATTGTCAAAATTCATCAAATGCTCAAGATATGTGCATTTCATTGTATGTTAATTATATTTGAATAAAAACTAAGTTTGGTCTCTTGCCATTCTAGTAGATTGTTTTTTGCTTTTTTGTTTTGCTTGAAGAACACTTATTTTGACCATCAGTTTTCTTTATGATAATGCTGTGGAAACTCTCCTTATACATAAATCTCTGTATAAGCCCATAAACATTAATTCTCTTTCCAAGTAAACAGATGAATGAAAATAACTGTACTGTTACTTGGCTGTGAGAATAATTCCATCCTGGAGCCACAGGTGCTTAGAAAAGCCCAGGAGAACTTTGTCACTGATCGACCATCCGATTTGAGGTCTTCTTTCTGAATTAACACTTTTTCATATGATGTATGTCAGGGGACATGCAGAACCAATGAATATAAAACAAATGATTTCTTTAGAAAGAAGTAAATGTACCACATGTAAGCAGCCAGAGAAAGCCCAATCCCAGCCATCCCCACAAAGCCAGGGACCTCTCTGCCCTTAATCGCCAGGCACTGGAGGAGCACAAGGTGGGTGTGGCCTGTGCATTTCCTTTACTAGTCAAGATTGGTTGCAAACAAGGAAAGCCCCTCCTCAGGAAAGAACTTCTGCCTTGGAAACCAAGCACATTTTGAAAATAAGCATTCAGTAACTCCGTACAGAAATAAAGGCTTTTCCCTGTCCTGAGATTAATGGTGGATTGCCTGAGGGTCACACAGTCAAGGTTTATCTGGCTCTGAGTAGCAGGAGAATGTAACCTGAGGACTTACCAGGTTCAGTCTCAGCCTGAATTTATTCTTTCTTTTCTTGGGGTTGCTGATAGCTCTGTTTAAAAATATCTGCAGCTTTCACCTGACTGGTTGGTTTGTCAATCTACTGAAGAACTAGTTGGAAGTTTGCTGGCATTCTGCAACTATTTTACACGCCAAGGATAATTTAGTAGAATTGTAAAAGTTGATTCAGTTTCTGTCTCATGCTCCGCTCATTATACAGATATATATACCTATATAGATATATCTATATATCTATCTATTATCTATATTTTAAAATTAGGGTGATAATTCAGCCAAGAATAGGTGAAAGTTTGTGAGGAACAGGTTATTCACATACACCCTAACTATTGCCCACAAAAGTACTCATTAATTACAAAAGAAAAAAATAGTAATTTAGCAGTGCAGAAACCTGATGGACACCACCTTATCCATTCTTGTCATGGCTAATGGGACAGTCTCACAATGTATGTTTCATGGTGTAATACACTGAGAAGGACACAATATTATTTCTAGGATATTCTGTCCAAAACATATAACTTGAATTCAAAGATAAGAAAACATCAGACAAACCTAGGTTAAAGAATACAGAGTCATGAAGAACAAAGAAAGGCTGAGAAAGTGCTCCAAATTAGAGACTAAAGAGATATGAAAGCTAAATGCAATGTGTGTCCTGGCTTAGAAATAAAAATAGCTATATACAGGATATTCATGGGACAACTGGCAAAACTGGAATATAGACAGTCAATTAGAAAATAGTATTGGATCAATGTTAAATTTCCTAAATTTGATAACTATGTTGAGGTTACATAAATAAGCAAATGTTATTGCTCTTTGGATATAGTCATGGAAATATTTAGGGGTGAAGGGGTGAAGGGACATGATGTCTGCAACTTACTCTCAAACCATTCAGAAAAAAAGAGAAAAAAAAGCTGTGTGTGCGTGTGCGTGTGTGTGTGTGTGTGTGTGTGTGTGTGTGTGTGTGTGTGGAGAAAGAGAGAGAGACACCAAACTACGGAAATTGTTAATAATTGTTGAACTAGGTGTGGTGGCTAATGCCTATAATTCCAGCACTTTGGGAGGCTGACAGGGGAGGATTGCCTGAGCTCAGGAGTTCAAGAGCAGCCTGGGCAACATAGCAAGAACCATCTCTACCAAAAAAAAAAAAAAAAAATTGTTAAAAAAAATTCAAGCCAGCAACAGTGTATTAAAAGAAAAAATTAACAATAATAATGATTGGTGGCTGAGCGTGGTGGCTTATGCCTTGGGATGCCAAGGCCAGCAGATCACATGAGGACAGAAGTTCAAAGCCAGCCTAGACAACATGGTGAAGCCCTGTATCTACTAAAAATACAAAAAATTAGCCAGGCGTGGTAGCGCACACCTGCAGTCCCAGCTACTCAGGAGGCTGAGGCACAAGAATCACTTGAACCCAGAGGCAGAGGTTGCAGTGAGCCAGGATTGCACCACTGCACTCTAGCCTAGGTGACAAAGCAAGACTCTGTCTCAAAAATGATAATAATAATAATAATAATAATAATGATTGGTGGATCTGTGTGAATCTTTTTTCAAACAAGGTGAAAATGAGGGTGGAGAGTTAAACAGGGTTTAATCCCCTCTCTGGATTACTAGTGTAAACCAGAAATAAGCCTCTCAACTGACTGTATGGACCCCCCTCTTGACCACTGGGACCCCAAAGAAACCTGAAAAACTGGTTCAGGCCATGATGAGAAGGGTGGTGGGAGGTCAGACTTGTCTTATTGTACCTGCCTTCCTCTGGAGTTTAGACACAACTGACCAGCACTAACATTAAAACGGAGATCTTAAAACTGGCAAAATAGATTCCTTGTAGCGGTAAGATACCAAATTCCAACCTGACTCTGGTGTAGTATCAGATGACAGATAACAGGCTTGAAGGAAATCACAGTATTTTACACCAAAATATATTTCTTTGACATATTCTGAAATGGCCCTGCAAAGCTGTCTCTTATGAGAGAAATTTGTTTTCAGTGGAGAATCTCTTTCCCTTACTAGGTATTTTCCAGAGAGTTTGACACCTTTTAAGGTCTGATAAGAGACATTCACCATCTATTCTCTCTGAAGCCTGCTACCTGGAGGCTTCATCTCCGTGGCAAGAACCCTGGCTTCCACAACCTCCTTATCTAAACTCAAGCATTTCTTTATGCTGAATTCAACTCTTCAGGCAGGGCTTAACTCTTTCAACCATATGGCCAATCGAGAAGTCTTTAAATCCACCTATGACCTGGAAACCCCCTACACCCTCTACCCTTGCTTGGAGATGTCCTGCCTTTCTGGCCCAAACTAATGCATAACTTACATATATTGACTTATGTCTTTACCTGTAACTTCTGTCTCCCTAAAATGTGTAAAACAAAGCTGTAACCCAACCACCCTGGCCACACATTCTCAGGACCTCCTGAGGCTGTGTCATGGGCCGCAGTCCTTAACCTTGGCAAAATAAACCTCTAAATTGATTGAGACCTGTCTCAGATACTTATTGGTTTACACTAGCATACCAGCAAAGTCAGAAGACCTCTCAGTTGGTTCCTGAGGAATAAATTGAACTCTATTTTGGAATAGAAATAAATTGAACTATGTTTTGGGTCTATGCGTGTCCAGCTAGATGAGTTGAAATGACTCAAAATGTCTGTTTCCATGATTGACCTGTGTTCTCTCACATGACAATTGTCAATATAGGAATGAAAGATAAAAAGACAATTTTCTCAAAATCTGGGTCATGTCAAATAAAGTTGTAAACAATGCCTAATTTTGCCCCTTTCCCCACTAATAAGGAAAGACCAAACTAGCTGATTCTCACATTATGTCCCTCCCTTATGCTAATAACAAACATTTACCTACCAGTATACAAGTCTATACAATATACAAGTTTAATTTTTAAGATTTTTTTTTTTTTGCCGTATGTCCTTAAAGTAACTCTATAATTATGGGAGCAGTTTCTTCAATTTATAAACGAATATCTGTAGAAATTATTTATCTGTATTTTAATTTACAGTGAGAGCTGTTTTACAATTTGTAGTTCATGAGCCTCTGTATATTTACTGTTTAATCTTCTGGTGACATTAAGTTGCAGCTTGAATTATGATAAAGGCAATAACTATTTATACAAAGATGTTTTAGTAATTTACTTATTTAAAAAGCACATGTTGAAACCCTTAAATATGAAACTGCTCTTGCAAAATTAAGACAGTAAGAGAAATCCGACAGTAGACTTCATCTTGCTTCTAACCTCCAAGCTGTCCTTGGTCATTCCTGGGTGTAGACCAAGCCGACTTTGGGAGAAATTGAGTTTATAGTTTAACCTTAAAGCAAGGATAATAACAGCCCTTCCCAAAACTAAACTGCCTCTGTAAAACTAATGAAAGTCCACAAGGTTAGAATTATGAGAAAGGCCTGAATTCTGCTAACATATAGGCTTAAACCATAACCAACTGCTGTTCCAGAATTCACAAGATTTGTGATTTTCCCAATTGCTTCTGTAGGTAACATCCCTGGTGTAGAACCCATAATTGGTTTTGGAGATGTTTGCAGACTGACCCCACCCAGGCTTGTGACTCATTACTCAGCTGGTCCTGTGGCCCCACTCAGAGACAAACTCAGCACACAAGGACCATTTTCCACACCCTGTGATTTCATCCCAAACCAATCAGCATTCCCCATTCCCTAGTCCCCTGCCCACCAAACTATCCTTGGAAACCCCTAACCCCTGAGCCTTTGGAGAGATTGATTTTCATTAATAACTTCATCTCCATGTGGCATGGCCTGTCTTGTGTCAATTAAGCTCTTACTTTACTGCAGTGCCCTGGTTTCAGTGAAATGATTTTGTCTGTGCAGTGGGCAGGAAGAACCTGTCAAGCAATTACAAATTTGAGGGCTCATCTAGGATCCACCTTTGTGGGTGGGTGCCTGCTCATGGTTTGTTAACCTCCTGCTGGTATGATGGACCTGAATGTGAGCCCTGGTGGCCACTTATTTCTCTTGCACTGAAGGCCATCTCTGCTGCTCTCCCTATCAGTAAGGTGATGTTGACCATGGTGCTTGAGCCTAATTGCAATGCAATAAAGAACTAGTTCCTGGAAAGTTGTCTTTTTTTTCTTTTTTTTTTCCTTTTTTGAGACAGAGTCTCGGTCTGTCACCAGGCTGGAGTGCAGAGGCTTGATCTCAGCTCACTGCAACCTCCAACTTCCGAGTTCAAGCAATTCTCATGCCTCAGCCTCCCAAGTAGCTGGGGTTACAGGTGTGTGCCACCACACCTGGCTAATTTTTGTATTTTTAGTAGAGATGAGGTTTTGCCATGTTGGCCAGGCTGGTCTCGAACTCCTGGCCTCAAGTGATCTGCCTGCCTCAGCCTCCCATAGTGTTAGGATTACAGGCATGAGCCACCACTCTACATCCTAGAAAGATGTTTTTAAACTGGTCTGGTGAGTGTTCTAAGCCCAGCTAGCATCTCTTTCCTTCTCCCAATTAGTCCGGCTCCTATGGGAGTCTCAGTTTTTTAGGATGGGTCTCAGTTCAATGCCTTCAGGGGTCTTGGTTCAGCACTTATGGAGGGCCTCAGTTTGGCTCCTGTGAGGACTCAGTTTGGCTCCTTCCAAGGTCTTAGCTGGCTGTCCCTAAATAGTAGGATGAACCTCAGTTTGGGAAGATTTCTCCCCATTTAGACAGAGAATAGGAGGTTAGATTGGAAGAATCCTCTTCTGGTCTGGAATATTGGTTTGGAAGGCTTTTTTGTTTGTCTTTACCTTGCTGTGCATGTTTGTATGTGTGGAGAGGATTTCCCATGGAAATTGCTGACAGAAGTCCAGCAGGCTTTCCTAGTTTGTCTGATCAGTCACATTCAGTGAGCCCTGAAGGAAGCTCAACAGGCATAACTCAACGGTGACCGTCCACTCTTCCATCTTACCTGGAGGCCACCCATTGATACTCCTGGTCAGAGGTCATCCCACCCCACTTAGTGGATCAAAGACAGCAGGAACCAACAGGGGCAAGTTTGAGCCTTGCCAGGTTGATACTTGGGTGCTGAGTGGGGTGACTGGTGTCTGTGTTTTGTCACGTATATTTTGTTTTGGCCTGAATGGAAAATGTTAATTCACTTCCCCATGCAGCCAGTTGGGCTGCATCATGCAAAACTGAGAGGCTTTTCCCTATGTTTCCATGAACAGAAAAAGATGATTTTCTTTTGTAATGCAGCTTGGCCCCCACTGCTACAGTATAGCAAACAGGGTCTCAAAACCACTCGGAGAAAGGGAACCCAGAAACCTGGCAAGTTGGCAAAAGGGTAAGGATTTCTTACAGTCAGGCTTCTGACTTCTCTCTCTCTGTGCAAACTGGCTGAGTGAATGGTAAAAATCACCGCTTGTCTCCTCTGCAAAGTTTTGATTAATGGGAAAAAGGATTTGTGTGACAAATCTTAGGTTGTAGCAAACCTGGTGTACTTTCTGCTATAAATTTGTCCTTCTGTGTTATTCTGTCATAAAGAGGGGTACTATGGGATAAAACGCTGCTGTAGGTCCCTTATAAGCCCTCTCTTCAAGCTAGCTCTGAAGACTGGTCAGTTACAAACTTTGCTTCAGGTCCCTGAAACAAAAACCAGATGAGGTTTCCCTTTCGTCTTGTTTTATGTCCTTGAGAGCTTGACTTTGCAAACGTGTGGGAGTATTCTCTCTTTGTCTCTACCATCTGGAAGGTAGAAATTTTCAGGTTCATGTCAGGCAGCCAGTCTGAAGTTACCGAGTGTCTGAAATGTGTCAGTACACTCTTCATCCCAAATGTGTCAAGCACTTAGGTGAGTTTTGTCTTAAAAGGCCCCATCCTATGAGGCTTTTGTCATTTTCATGCGCATCTGTGTGAAGAGACCACCAAACAGGCTTTGTGTGAGCAACCAACATGGCTGTTTATTTCACCTGGGTGCAGGTGGGCTGAGTCCGAAAAGAGAGTCAGCAAAGGGAGATAGGGGTGGGGCCGTTTTATAGGATTTGGGTAGGTAAAGGAAAAAGGGGGGTTGTTCTCTGGCAGGCAGGAGTGGGGGATCACAAGGTACTGAGTGGGGGAGCTTTTGAGCCAGGATGAGCCAGGAGAAGGAATTTCACAAGACAATGTCATCAGTTAAGGCAGGAACAGGCCATTTTCACTTCTTTTGTGGTGGAATGTCATCAGTTAAGGCAGGAACCGGGGATATGGATGTGTACGTGCAGGTCACAGGGGATATGATGGCTTAGCTTGGGCTCAGCGGCCTGACATTCCTGTCTTCTTATATTAATAAGAAAAATAAAATGAAATAGTGGTAAAGTGTTAGGATGGTGAAAATTTTTGGGGGTGGTATGGAGAGATAATGGGTGATGTTTCTCAGGGCTGCTTCCAGCAGGATTAGGGGCAGTGTGGGAACCTAGAGTGGGAGAGATTAAGCTGAAGGAAGATTTTGTGGTAAGGGGTGATATCGTGGGGTTGTTATAAGGAACATTTGTAATTTAGAATTATTGGTGATGACCTGGATACAGTTTTGTACGAATTGAAAAACTAAATGGAATAAGAGAAGGAGAAAAACAGGTATAAGAGGTCTAAGAATTGGGACGATTCAGGACATCTGATTAGAGAGCGCCTAAGAAGATTCAGCATAGTCCTGCCAGCAAAGATTATTTATTTACTTTAAGAGTTAAGAGTGGCAGTTTGGGGATAGCACCAGGAGATATCAGCTGTGATGGCTTGGAGAAACAGTGTAAACCGGCAGTGTAAACAAGAGCAGGGCATGTATGAGTAGTTCAGAACGGTGAATAGGAGTATGACTAGACAGAAGATAGTAGGGATGACAAGTTTTTTGGGGGCACAGTCTAAGTTGGTCTAGTGTCTGCAATGAGACTGGGGCCTAATAAAAAGGAGCATCTATACAGGAGCTCAAATGGGCTGTACCCTGTAGCATTCTGAGGACAGGTCTGACTTCTGAGAAGAGAAAGTGGTAAAAGTATTGTCCAGTCCTTTTTAAGTTGGTGGCTGAGCTTGGTGAGGTGTGTTTTTAAAAGACCTTTAGTCCGTTCTACTTTTCCTGAAGACTGAGGACTGTAAGGGATATAAAGGTTTCACTGAATACTAAGAGCCTCAAAAACTGCTTGGCTGATTTGACTAATAAAGGCTGGTCTGTTATCAGACTGTATAGAGGTGGGAAGGCTAAACTGAGGAATTATGTCTGACAGAAGGAAAGAAGTGACTGCGGTGGCCTTCTCAGACCTTGTAGGAAAGGACTCTACTTATCCAGTGAAAGTGTCTACCTAGACTAAGAGGTATTTTAGTTATCTGACTCGCATGTTGAGTAAAGCTAATTTGCCAGTCCTGGGTGGGGGCAAATCCTTGAGCTTGATGTGTAGGGAAGGGAGGGAGCCTGAATAATCCCTGAGGAGTAGCAGAATAGCAGATGGAACACTGAGAAGTTATTTCCTTGAGGATAGATTTCCACGATGGAAAGAAAATGAGAGGTTCTAAGAGGCAGGCTAGTGGCTTGTACTATAGCATAGCCTGCCTTTGCTGGTGTGTGGCGATTAGGCCTGGTGGAACTGCCATTAATAAATCAAGCGTGATCAGGGTGAGGAACAGGAAAGAAGGAAATATGGAGAAATGGGGTGAATGTCAGGTGGATCAGAGAGATGCAGTCATGAGGGTCAGGTGTGGTATCCAGAATAATGTGGGAGGCCGGATTGAAGTCCGGGCCAGGAACTATGGTAATTGTGGGACTTAACAAAGAGTGAGTACAGCTGAAGGAGCCGGGGAGCAGAAAGTATATGCATCAGGTATGAGGAAGAAAATAGATTTTGGAAGTTATAAGAAATGTAGAGAGTAAGTTGAGCATAGTTTGTGATTTTGAGGGCCTCTAAAAGTATTAGGGCGGCAGCAGCCACTGCACGGAGACATGATGGCTATGCTAAAACAGTAAGGTCAAGTTGTTTGGACAGAAAGGCTACAGGGTGTGGTCCTGGCTCTTGTGTAAGAATTCTGACTGCACTAACCATGCCTAGGAAGGAAAGGAGTTGTTGTTTTGTAAGGGATTGAGGTTTGGGAGATTAATCGGACACGATCAGCAGGGAAAGCACGTGTGTTTTTATGAGAATTATGCTGAGATAGGTAACAGATAAGGAAGAAATTTCAGCTTGACTGAAGTAATGGGGGCTGTCTGTGAAGCTTTGCGGCAGTACAGCCCAGGTAATTTGCTGAGCCTAATGGGTGTCGGGGTCAGTCTAAGTGAAAGCAAAGAGAGGCTGGGAAGAGGGGTGCAGGGGAATAGTGAAAAAAGCATCTTTAAGATCGAGAACGGAATAGTGAGTTGTGGAGGAAGGTATTGAGGACAAAAGAGTGTATGGGTTGGGCACCACAGGATGGATGGCAAAACAATTTGGTTGATAAGGCGCAGATCCTGAACTAATCTGTAAGACTTGTCCGGTTTTTAGACAGGTAAAATGGGGGAATTGTAAGGAGAGTTTATAGGTTTTAGAAGCCCATGCTGTAGCAGGCGAGTGATAACAGGCTTTAATCCTTTTAAAGCGTGCTGTGGGATGGGATATTGGCATTGAGCGGGGTAAGGGTAATTAGGTTTTAATGGGATGGTAATGGGCATGTGATCGGTTGCCAGGGAAGGAGTAGAGATGTCCCATACTTGTGGGTTAAGGTGGGGGGATACGAGAGGAAGACGCGAAGGAGGCTTTGGGTTGGGGAGAAGGGTGGCAATGAGATGCGGCTGTAGTCCAGGAATAGTCAGGGAAGCAGATAATTTGGTTAAAATATCTCAGCCTAATAAGGGAACTGGGCAGGTGGGGATAACTAAAAAAGAGTGCATAAAAGAGTGTTGTCCAAGTTGGCACCAGAGTTGGGGAGTTTTCAGGGATTTAGAAGCCTGGCCATCAATACCCACAACAGTTATGGAGGCAAGGGAAACAGGCCCTTGAAAAGAAGGTAATGTGGAGTGGGTGCCCTCCGTATTGACTAAGGGGACGGACTTACCTTCCACTGTGAGAGTTACCCAAAGCTCGGCGTCCGTGATGGTCTAGGGGGCTTCCGAGGTGATCGGGCAGTGTCAATCTTCAGCCGCTGAGCCAAGAAGATCTGGGAAGGACTCAGAGAGCCTTGGGCCAGAGTTCCAGGGGCTCTGGGAGTGGCTGCCAGGTGAGTTGGACAGTCCGATTTCCAGTGGGGTCCTGCACAGATGGGACGCGGCTTAGGAGGAATCCTGGGCAGCAGGCATTCCTTGGCCTGGTGGCCAGATTTCTGGCACTTGTAGCAAGCTCCTGGGGGAGGAGGTTCTGGCTGCTGCGGTTCAGGCATTTGGAAGTTCTTGTGTGCTGGAGATGTGGCTGGGGTTTTTCTCACAGTGGAGGCAAGGAATTGCAACTTTTTTCTATTATTGTACACCTTGAAGGCAAGGTTAATTAAATCCTGTTGTGGGGTTTGAGGGCTGGAATTTAATTTTTGGAGTTTTATTTAATGTCGGGAGCAGATTAGGTGATAAAATGTATTTTGAGAATAAGACGGCCTTTTGACCTTTTAGGGTCTAGGGCTGTAAAGTGTCTCAGGGTTGCTGCCAAATGAGCCATGAACTGGGCTGAGTTTTTCATATTTGATGAAAGAGCCTAAATGCTCACTGATTTGGGAGAGGTCTAATAAAGAAAAAGGAGCATTAACCTTGACTATACCTTTAGCTTCAGCCACCTTTTTAAGAGGAAATTGCTGGGCAGGTGGGGGAGGGCTACTCACGGAATGAAACTGTAAACCAGACCGGGTGTGAGGAGGGGAGGTGATAAAAGGATTATAGGGTGGAGGAGCGGAGGCTGAGGAAGAATTGGGACCTAGCTCGGCCTGGCGAGGAGCAGGTTGGGGAGGAGGGGAGAGGTCAGATGGGTCTGTAGAAAAGGAAGATTAGAAAGACTCAGTGACGCTTGGGGTTGGGACTGAGGGGACAGGCGGGAGGGAAAGAAGGAAGATTTGGGACGAGTTCCATTGGGCACAGAGACTAGGGAGGGACCGATGTGTAAAAGAATGCCTGGATGTCAGGCACCTCAGACCATTTGCCCATTTTATGACAAGAATTATTTAGATCTTGTAGGATGGAAAAATTGAAAGTGCCGTTTTCCGGTTATTTGGAACTACTGTCGAGTTTGTATTGGAGTCAAGCGGCATTGCAGAAGAAAATCAAATGCTTAGATTTTAGGTCAGGTGAGAGTTGAAGAGGTTTTAAGTTCTTAAGAACACAGGCTAAGGGAGAAGAAGGAGGAATGGGCAAGGTGGAAGCTTGCCCATAGTGAAGGAGGCAAGCCCAGAGAAAACAGTAGAGACACAGAGAAAGGGTGGGGTATTCTTGCCCTCCAGAAAAGCAGAGAAGGGGTTGGGGCACAGAGATACGACATCAGGGTGTGGAAATAAGGGATTGGGGTACAGAGATATAAGAGGTTGGGGCGTGGAAATAAGGGATTGGGGCACAGAGATATAAGAGGTTGGGGTGCAGAAATAAGGGATCGGGGCACAGAGATATAAGAGGTTGGGGTGTGGAAATAAGGGATCGGGGCACAGAGATATAAGAGGTTGGGGTGTGGAAATAAGGGATCGGGGCACAGAGATATAAGGGGTTGTGGTACTTGACCCTCCCCTAGAAAAGCAGGACTTGCTGCTAAGGGTGAAGGAGAAGGGGTTGGGGGTTTCTTGCCCCCCAGAAAGGCAGAGAAGGGGTAGAGACATGGAGAGAAGGGGTTGGGGTACTTGCCCCTCCCACAGAAAAGCGGGACTTGCCGCTAAGGGTGAAGGACTAAAGCAGGCATCCCTGCGTGGTCTGACACCTCTGAAACATGGGTGAATAATCAGAGAGGCGTCCCTGCAATGATTAAACACCAAGGGAAGGCTGCCTTCCCAGTCCATGACTGGTGCCGGAGTTTTGGGTCCATGGATAAAATGTGTCTCCTTTGTCTCTACCAGAAAATGAAAGGAATTGAAATTAAGAGAAGGGAGAGATTAAGTGTGGTGCCAAGACTGAAAGGAGAAAGAGGTTGAGGGATAGTGAGGGAGGTTGGAGAAGAGAGTAAAAAGAGGCCTCTTACCGGATTTGAAATTGGTGAGATGTTCCTTGGGCTGGTCGGTCTGAGGACCTGAGGTCGTAGGTGGACATTTCTCATGGAGCAAAAAGCAGGAGGACAGGGGATTGATCTCCCAAGGGAGGTCCCCCGATCTGAGTCACGGCACCAAATTTCATGCGCATCCATGTGAAGAGACCACCAAACAGGCTTTGTGTGAGCAACGTGGCTGTTTATTTCACCTGGGTGCAGGCAGGCTGAGTCCGAAAAGAGTCAGTGAAGGGAGATAGGGGTGGGGCCGTTTTATAGGATTTGGGTAGGTAAAGGAAAAAGGGGTGTTGTTCTCTGGCAGGCAGGAGTGGGGGGTCACAAGGTACTCAGTGGAGGAGCTTTTGAGCTGGGATGAGCCAGGAGAAGGAATTTCACATGACAATGTCATCAGTTAAGGCAGGAACAGGCCATTTTCACTTCTTTTGTGGTGGAATGTCATCAGTTAAGGCAGGAACCAGCGATCTGGATGTGTACGTGCAGGTCACAGGGGATATGATGGCTTAGCTTGGGCTCAGAAGTCTGACAGTCATCTTTTACTATCTTAAGTCCATTTCTGAGAGTGAATTCTTGGGGACCATAGACATGTCTCCTCTCCCCCATCTGTAGAAACACTTCTTGCTTATGTGGTAAAATCTGGGAAAGTTACCATCTGGTTTAACTGGCTTTTGGACTGAGACGCTATTGGAATTAAGTATGCCATTTTTTAAAACGGATTTTACAGAACTTTTACTTGCAACATTTTTTTAAAGGTTTGAATTAAAAGAAGGACACATGATAAAGCCATGGCTAGTCTCAGAAAATTCTCTTGAGCAGTTAAAATCCTCTGAAGCTTGAAAATGACTGCTCTAGACTCCTTCTGGGAAAGAAGATGATAGTCGCCTCATGCTGTAGTTCAGTAGCTAAGCCATTTCCCTTTCAAAATGGTGGCCTGGATTCAATTCCTGGCTTAAGGAATGAGTTCTTTCTGGTTTAATACTTGTGGGAATGGCCCGGCGCGGTGGCTCATGCCTGTAATCCTAGTACTTTGGGAGGCCAAGGTGGGCGGATTGCCTGAGGTCAGGAATTGGAGACCAGTCTGGCCAACATGGTGAAACCCTGTCTCTACTAAAAATACAAAAAAAAATAGCCAGTTGTAGTGACGTGCGCCTGTAGTTCCAGCTACTCAGGAGGCTCTGAGGCAGGGGAATTGCTTGAACCAGGGAGGTGGAGGTTGCAGTGAGCCGAGATTGCACCACTGCACTCCAGCCTGGGCAACAGAGCGAGACTCCGTCTCAAAAAAAAAAAAAAAATTGTGGGACTTTTACTGTTTACTGATTCTTTTTCCCTCCATGGACAGCTTCTGATTTTCTATCTTGAGTTTTCCTTTCTCCAAGATACCTTAGTGGTGATTCTAGATCTTGTAAAAACCGCTTGTCATCTCTTTGGAAACACTTCATGTGTCCACAGATAAATCATAACCTTAGTTAAGGATTTTGGGTTCACTTGGGAAAATACCTTTGGGGAACAAAAATAAAGCTTAAAAGCCAGAGGTGTTGGCTGTTTGTCCTGGCTAGAGTCTGGTAATAAGATATTTAAAACGATTTTTTTAAAAGAGCTCTATGGTTAAAAGTCAACTTAATTAAAAGTGGATATCCAAACTATGCATATATTCAAAAGGCCTTTATGCTTTTTTCTCTTCTTGGGTCTTGTTTTTAGAGAAAAAAAAAGTTTTTTTCCTCTCAGTCAACTGAATTGTGTCTCCATTTACTTTTGTCTGTCTTGTTGCCACCCTCAATGCCCGCATGAGAAGACCTAAGGTAATTCCAGAGAGCCTGGGACTTTTGGGGAGAAACAGAGGAGATGCTACAGACCCCATTTTGGAAAAAACCTGTCTTCCTCATGGAATCCCAAAAAGTGTAAGCAGACAGATCCCTCTCAAAATCTAAGGCCCTGCTCTGTTTTTCATTGCGTTACCTGGCCTTTTTGACTTTTGGGGCATCAGAAGTTACTTTGCATTATGAAAGGGTTGTTAGCCTTGGTGTGTAATAGGTAGGTAGAAGGTATACTTTTAGGGATGGCTAATGTAATGGCAGTTGCTTACAGTGAGTGGATATTACTACAGGACGATGCCGGTTCTTTGGGTAAGAAAATCATGCTCTTGGGCACCTGGTAGGTAAGGATTGGGGATGGGCTGATTACAGAATGTGCTGGTTGGCTTTGGGTTGCTCACAGGCCTCAAGAGAATATCGTTGCAGTGACATGCATGGTAAAAGCATTGCACTGTCTCATCCCATAGCGGTTTCCTCTTTTGGGGGACCCAGGATCCAATGTAAAAATGAGATACTTGAGTTTGGAGGATCTGTTTTGCCTTCCAGCTATTCCTGTTTATTAGGCCCTAGAAACTGCATGCTTTCTTGGGCCCATTCCTTAAAACGTTCCACCCTAAAGCCACTAATCCAATTTATAAACTTAAATCTTTACAGAAATACTCCATGTATAAAGAAAGGTCTTTGCTTTTCCTGGCATTCTTAGCTGGACTTCTACACCATTTTCCGTGATTTGAGTAAAACATAAATTCTGTATCTTGTTTCACCTTGTCCCTTTAAGAATGCAAATTTACAGGCCAGGCACAGTGGCTCACACCTGTAATCCCAGCACTTTGGGAGGCCGAGGTGGACGGATCGCCTGAGGTCGGGAGTTTGAGACCAGCCTGACCAACATGGAGAAACCCCATCTCTACTAAAAATACAAAATTAGCCGGGCGTAGTGGCACATGCCTGTAATCCGAGCTACTTGGGAGGCTGAGGCAGGAGAATCGCTTGAACCCGGGAGGCGGAGGTTGCGGTGAGCCGAGATCGTGCCATTGCACTCCAGCCTGGTCAACAAGAGCAAAACTCTGTCTCAAAAAAAAAAAATGCAAATTTACAATTTTCTCTCTAAGAATTATTTAGGGCAAGGAACAGGTAATCAAGAGACTGACCGTATAAAAAAGGAAGAGAAACTTAAAAACTGGCAAATGAAGAATCTTATAATGCTACCAGATCTACTTCTGTCTTTGTATTCACATGTGTCAGGTGTGTGATGTTTCACTACCAAAATATATAAAAGAGCTCTAATTAATTGGCTTAAAGAAAAATAAGCACTTAGGCTGGGAGTAGTGGCTCATGCCTATAATCCTGGCACTTTGGGAGGACAAGGCAGGAGGATTGCTTGAGCCCCAAAGTTCGAGACCAGCCTTGTTGATGGCTGTTGTGAAACCTCAATTCTTGTCTTCTGAGTTTAAAAGAATTTAAACAACAGGCACATGACAAAGGAGATGCAGCATAGAGCAATGTATAGCAAAGGAGAAAGAATACTCTGAAAGTTAGGTGCAGAATAAACAGTACAACCTGAGAGAGGGTTCAGAGTAGGCTGCTCATGAGGCTAAGACGGCATTGGCTGTTACTGGGGAAACTCCCTTTATAGGAGTCTTACGTGATTATTCAAAAGGGGATGGGAAGAGGTGTTACCAACAAGCATGTTCTGGACGGTCCTCTCAACACAAATGTGCAGTAGTTGTATATGCTTGTTCATACATCACATGTCTCATTAGATCTTAAGTCTCCACCCAGGGGTGTGTTTTTTACTATCATAATGAACAAAGGGTCAGTCTGAGGTCAGGTAAAATCAACGTGCTCTCTACAGGGGCAATTCCCTACTAGAGATAGCTATACTTGAATAAGCGTGGTCATCACGGTTGCTGCATCCTGAGGACATAGTTACTTCCTTGACTAACTATCCTGCCTCGCCTGGGCAACATTGTGTGACCTTGTCTCAAAAAAAAAATAAATTTAACATGAACAGACACTTTTCAAAAGAAGATATACATGTAGCCAACAATCATATGAAAAAAAAACTAAACATCACTGATAATTAGAGAAATGCAAATCAAAACCACAATGAGATACCATCTCACATGAGTCAGAATGGCTATTATTAAAAAGTCAAAAAATAACAGAGACTGGCAAAGTTGTGGAGAAAAAGGAATGTTGGTGGGGGTGTAAATTAGTTCAACCATTAGTATACACTGTTGGTGGGGGTGTAAATTAGTTCAACCATTGTGGAAGACAGTGTGGCGATTCATCAAAGTGCTAAAGACAGAAATACCATTCAACAGCAATCCCATTTCTGGGTTTATACTCAAAGGAATATAAATCATTCCATTATAAAGACACATGCATGTGTATGTTCATTGCAACACTATTCACAATAACGAGGACATGGAATCCACCTAAATGCCCAACAATGATAGACTCGATAAAGAAAATGTGGTACATATACACCATAGAATACTATGTAGCCATAAAAAAGAATGAGATCATGTTCTTTGCAGGCACATGGATGGAGCTGGAGGCCGTTATCCTTAGCAAACTAACACAGGAACAGAAAACCGAATACCACATGTTCTCACTTATAAGTGGGAGCTAAATGATGAGAACACATGGACACATAGAGGGGAACAACATACACTTGAGCCTATCAGGGGTTGGAGGGTGGGAAAAGGGAGAGGATCAGGAAAAATAAGTAATGGGTACTAGGCTCACTACCTGGATGATAAAATAATCTATACAACAAACCCCCATGACACAAGTTCACCTATGTAACAAACCTGCACATGTACCCCTGAGCTTAAAATAAAAGTTAAAAAATAAAAATAAGAATACATTTTGGCCAGGCATAGTGGCTCATGCCTGTAATCCATCACTTTGGGAGGCTGAGGCAGGCGGATCACTTGAGTCCAGGAGTTCGAGACCAGCCTGAGCAACATGGCAAACCTCCATCTCTACTAAAAATACAAAAAAAAAAAATTTAAAAATAAAAAATAAATATTTTAAAAATTAGCTAGGCACAGTGGTGCATGCCTGTAGTCCCAGCTACTCAGGAGGCTGAGGTGAGAGGATCACTTGAGCTCAGGAGGTCAAAGCTGCAGTGAGCCATAATCATGCCCTTGCACTCCAGCCTGGGTGACAGAGAGAGACTCTGTCTCAAAAAAACAAAAAACAAAAACAAAAAAAAGAAAAGAAAAAAAAGCACTTAAATCAAATATTTTGCCAGAAAAATAGAATCTTTAATCACTTTATAATCTTTGGTAAATATGGTTTTAAAAATTATTGGTAAAATAAAATAAAAATATTTTCAGAATTTAGACAATTGGTTTGAATTAGGCAGATCAGATATGGTGTTTGCTATAAGTTTTAAGGTCATAAACTGCTTTTATGACTTTTTTAATAATTGTTTGACTTTTCTGTTTTACAGCCATTAAATTTTACATAAGGCCTGTAGACATGGAGTTAGCCATGTCCCCTGGCTATGCTGGGAAGAGTCAGACATGTCTGCAGCTCTATCCTTATCCTGGGCTCTGCAATCTGATACATGGTTAAACTTGCTTATATTTCAGGTTCCTCACCAAAAATAAAAGTTTGCTAAGAGTTAACACTGTAACATATGTAATTGAGACTACTGAGAAATAGTTTTACATGCAAGGCATATAAGGAAAGTAGAATGTGTTTTCATAAAAGATTATAAGAAGACATGGTTTTTATAAGAAGTATGGTTTTTATTAAAGAGAAAGTAATTTTTTCTAGTTTAGAAATTTAAGGATTATCTTAAGTTAAAAAAATTATAGGACAAAACTGAAAGGCTAAGCAAGTTGTAAAAGATTTGTAAAACATCGATCTCGTAATGGAAGTTCTATGTGTTTAAGCAAGTTGGCTAACATTTGAAAAAACTTATTTAGTTTTTCTATAAATTAAACATTAAAATAAAAAGCACACTGATGCAGGGCTAGAATCTGGGCCCATGTGTCAGAATAACAGGGTTACCTTGGAACATTGGTCTGTTCTTTGATAGAAAATTATAATGAATTATAGAGGGTTTATGGAAATCTTGCCATATGGTCAAATTGATTAAGAATGATTTTATAAGGTTTTATTAAAAATTAGGTTTAACATGAATAATACAATGAAAAGGTAGAATTTGGTTTTCTCTTTTGAACAAGATTTTCACATAATATTGAGAGATGATGAAAGATTTTTCTTTACCTTTTAAATAAACTGCAGGAAAAAAAGGGAAAAAGATGGGAAAGAAAAGAGACAGCCTCAATTGAGTTCATATTGTCTTTACTGGGTCTTATTTGGAAAGCTGAGTCTCCCTTCTACCAACAAGTAAAGGTTTTTGCACTTTAAAATTTTTTTAGTTATCACTTCAGCTAAATAAATGACCTATAATCCTATTTTGGGGTATCAAGTGTTTTAAACCTTTGATATTTGACACACTTTCCAAAACCAAATGCTAAAGTAAGTCTTTTTTGAGGGTCCCCTAAAGTCCGAAAGAGACATAATCACCTTTGGCATACCAAAACCATACAGAAAACATTGACAAATATAAAATGGTGTTTAAATTTATTTAGGTTATATTTATATAAATATATTATCAGTATGTGTTCCAAAATTAAGCTTCCTATAATTCTAATATGTCTCCGTATACGTTATCAATAATATTTATAATTGTTACATTCAATTGTTTGTGTGCCACAGAGGTGACCAGATTTCCTTGTTGATTGTGTCTTTAACCATTGCTTTCCTGAGATATTTGTCACAGATAATTACTATCTTGATTGATCCTTTTAAAAAGGTGGTTTGTGACTGGGCATGGGGGCTCACACTTGTAATCCCAGCACTTTGGGAGGCCAAGGCAGGAGGATCACTTGAAGCCAGGAGTTTGAGACCAGCCTGGCCAACAAAGTAAGACCCCATCTCTACAAAAATTAGCCAGAGATGGTGGCATGCATTCATATTCTCAGCTATTTGGGAGGCTGAGGTGGGAGGATCACTTGAGCCCAGGAGTTTGAGGTTGCAGTGAGCTAAGGTCACACCACCACACTCCAGCTGGGGAGACAGAACAAGAACCTGTCTCTAAAAAATAAAATAAGTAAAAGGTGGTTTGCCTTTTAAAAGATACTCTTGGCTGCAGATTTCTGATAACTTTGGAAACTGTGCCATTAAAGTAGAGGGAAAAACTTCCAGGACTCTCACAGGAGAGCTGATGTGTTCATCAATATCAAGCAGAACAGGAGTTAATTGCATGAACTGAACTAATAGAAGACTGAAATAATCTTGTTATGACTTTTTGCTTGAAATGTGGCTGATTCTTTGTGTTTTGTTTTTAAGAGTCAAAAAATTTCTTGTCTTTTGAGCTATTTACATCTTTTAACAATTGAGTAATGTACACTCCTGTGAGCGAACTTTAAAGCATATTTCTCTCTACCTGATTTCTCTAGAATTTGGAAGCTATTTCTGAGTATTCTTAGCTTATGGTAATATTGTTATTTGTATAATTTCAATAAGGATCTGTTTTCTTTTGTAACAGGACACAATTGGAGACGCTGGCTGTTTTACCATTGCTTTGGCTGGAATGACATGTTTTCAGACTGTTTTGAGGAACTGAAGTTGATCTAATAGAGCCAGTCAAAACTCTTTGGAAAAACTGGCCTCATACTTTATCCTTTACAGGGTTTCTAAACTGTGGTAGATAAAGAACGTCACTCTTTTTTTTTTTAACCTTTTATTTTGAAATAATTTTAGCCACACAAAAAAGTTGAAAAATAGTACAAAAATCCTGTATGTATCCAGATTCCCCAAATGTTAACTCTTTTTTTTTTTTTTTTTTGAGACGGAGTCTCGCTCTGCTGCCCAGGCTGGAGTGCAGTGGCGTGATCTTGGCTCACTGCAAGCTCTGCCTCCTGGGTTCACACCATTCTCCTGCCTCAGCCTCCCAAGAAGTTGGGACTACAGGTGCCCCGCCACCACACCTGGCTATTTTTAGTAGAGATGGGGTTTCACTGTGTTAGCCAGGATGGTCTTTATCTCCTGACCTCGTGATCCGCCCACCTCGGCCTCCCAAAGTGCTGGGATTACAGGCATGAGCCACCACCGCGCCCGGCCAAATGTTAACTTCTTATATAACCATATTACAATTTTTGAAACAAGGAAATTACCATTAATACAGCACTATCTAACCTACAAACTTTATTCAAATTTTTACCAATTGTTCTTTTTGTCATCTAGAATCTAAGTTTAGGACGTTCTTATGTACTTTTTGTCATCTAGAATCCAAATTTAGGATCACACATTGAATTTAGTTGTCATGTCTCCTCAATCTCCTTTAATCTGGAACAATTCCTTCGCCTTTCATGACCATGAAAGAATGTTGCTTTCTGACAGGCCTAGGAACCCCAAGTTATTTTGGGATCTCAAGAAGAGAAGAACTCACTCAATTTGTACAGGTATCTGCAGGCACAGATAAATAGTTGGCTGGGCTCAAGAGGCTTTTTAAAAGATTTAATCTGAGCTTCCTTATGAAATAAATTCCAGGAAAGCCTTTTATTAAAAACAAAAGAGCCTATATAGCAAATACTTATTCTTGCTGCTCAGTATACAAATAATTGAGCCAAGTATTATAAAACTAAAACTTATTTTGCAAATAAATTGGTCCTATTATGATTTGTTTTAGGTAGAAATGGAAAATTGGAGAGAGAAAAATTATGTTTCAGAAAAACTATAGTTTGCCTGTTATTAGATTCCAACCTTGTCCATTGTTTTTGAGTCACTGCTAATGACCCAATATCTGATTGGTTCTCAGGGTCATTCACCTGGATCTCTCAAGGCTTCAGGTCAGTTCTACAGGGATTCCTGAAGCTAAGACTATCATTCCTTAAGTTGGGCTCATTATTTATCTTATAGTCTGTGATTCACTTAAGTGCTGTGTGGATAAGAGTACTAATGTTTTTGTTATGAAGACCTTGGTATCCCAACCCAGGGACCTGTGAATACACGCAAACAACTGCTAGATGGTTTCAATCCTCCTACCCTATGGGCAACCCTACCCCAACTATTCCCCTGTCAACAGGAAGAAAAGCAGTCATTGCCCTTTTCCCATCCCCATCTCCATAGCTCACACCTCAGGATTGATATGTACTAAAACTCAAGGAAGAGATTGAAACCACCTTTTTTTTTTTTTTTTTTTTTTTTTTTGAGACGGAGACTCGCTCTTTCACCCAGGCTGGAGTGCAGTGGCGCTATCTTGGCTCACTGCAAGCTCCGCCTCCTGGGTTCACGCCATTCTCCTGCCTCAGCCTCCCGAGTAGCTGGGACTACAGGCGCCCGCCACCGCGCCTGGCTAATTTTTTGTATTTTTGGTAGAGACGGAGTTTAACCGAAACCACCTTTGCAAAATTATGACAGAAGATAAATCTGACATAGTCGATTCCACCTTGTTTCTAATCTCCAAGCTATACTTGGTCACTCCTGCATGTAGACCAGCTGACTTTGGGAGAACTCATAGTTTAACTTTAAAGCAAGGATGAATAGCCCTTCCCAAAACTAAACTGCCTTTGTATAATTAGTGAAAATCCACAAGTTTAGGATTAGAGAGGGGCCTGAATTCTGTTAAGATATAGGCTTAGTTAAATGATAACCAGCCATTGTTCAAGAGGTCACAAGATTTGTGGCTTCTTCAACTGCTTATAGATAATATCACTATTATAGAACCTAAGATTAGTTTTAGATATAACATCACTATTGTAGAACCTAACATTGGTTTTTTGAAATGTTGTTCAGACTGACCCCACCTGGACTCATGACCCATGACTCAACTGGTCCTGTGGCCCCACCCAGAGACAGACTCAGCACCTCAGCAAGGACCATTTTCCACACCCCTATGATTTCATCCCCAACCAATCAGCATTCCCCATTCCCTAGTCCCCAGTCCACCAAACTATCCTTGAAAACCTCTAATCTATGAACCTTCAGGGAGATTTATTTGAATAATAACTTTCTCTCCTGCATGGCATGGCCCACCTCATGTCAATTAAACTCTTACTTTATTGCAGTGCCATATGGTCTCAGTGAATTGGTTTTGTCTGTGCAGCAGGCAGGAAGAACCTCCCTGGTGATTACAAATATGCCAAGTACTCTGTTAGTTATTTGGAAATCAGATAGCTGTATAAATTAGACATGTCAGCCAATCATAAATTATTTACTTGTTTCTTTTTTTTTTTTTGAGACAGAGTCTCACTCCTGTTGGCCAGGCTGGATTGCAGTGGCGCAAACTTGGCTCACTGCAACCTTCGCCTCCTGGGTTCAAGCAATTCTCCTGCCTCAGCCTCCCCAGTAGCTGGGATTACAGGCTCCCACCACCACGCCTGGCTAATTTATTGTAGTTTTAGTAGAGACAGCGTTTTACTATGTTGGCCAGGCTGGTCAGGAACTCCTGACCTCAGGTGATTCACCTGCCTCAGCATCCCAAAGTGCTGGGATTACAGGTATGAGCCACCACGCCCGGCCTACTTGTTTCTTATAATAAAAATCCCACAATGACTAAGGTTCAAATGAGAACCAACAGTTGATATCCCTTGTCATCATCCTTCAGCACCAAGATCATAGCAATCAATCTTGTTCTTCACTTTGGGTTTCCACATGAAGCTATAATTCAAGACATAAAGAAAAGTCCTGGCTGGGCATGGTGGTTCACGCCTGTAATCTTAACACTTTAGGAGGCTGAGGTGGGTGGGTCACTTGAAGTCAGGAGTTCGAGACCAGCCTGGCCAACATGGCAACCCCATCAAAACCCCATCTCTACTAAAATACAAAAATTAGCCAGGCATGGTGGTGTGCACCTGTAGTTCCAGCTACTTGGGAGGCTGAGACAGGAGAATTGCTTGAACCTGGGCAGCGGAGGTTGCAGTGAGCCAAGATCACGCCACTGCACTCTAACCTGGGTGACAGAGCGAGACTCCCTCAGAAAGAAAGAAAGAGAGAGAGAGGGAGAGAGAAAGAGAGAAAGAGAGAAAGGAGGAAAGGAGGAAAGAAGGAAAGAAAAGTCCAGCAGCCCACACCAATGAACTAGTCTTGAATAATCCATGGTGAAGATAACAAGCTATCTAGCCAGCTCTTGGTGTCTGAATACCATCCCATACCAGAGCTCCTCAGAGAAATCATTGATTCCAGGGCTGAGACAGGAAGTATCAACTAAGTGTAGGACATCATATTGCATCAGCAAGCACAAAAATGCTCAAATACCAGTTGGAGGAGGGCCAAAGGACACAGGAGCCAGAATGAAAGGGCTCCTAGAAGCCAAATTTAAGACAACTCAAGAATAAGAATAATGGTCAGGCATGGTGGCTTATGCGTGTAATCCCAACACTTTGGGAAGGTGAGGTGGGTGGATCACTTGAGGTCAGGAGTTTGAGATCAGACCTGGTCAACATGGTGAAACCCCATCTCTACTAAAAATACAAAAATTAGCTGGGTGTGGTGGTATGAGCCTCTAATTCTAGCTACTCAGGAGACTGAGGCAGAAGAATCACTTGAACTGGGAGGTGGAGGTTACAGTGAGCCAAGATGGCACCACTGAACTCCAGTCTGGGTGACACAATAAGACTCTGTCTCAAAAAAAAAAAAAAAAAAGGAATAATAATAATGACTGAAATTGGTTATAACACATTGAATAATAACTTTTTAAGAACATGAGTCCAGGGCCGGGTGTCGTGTCTCATGCTTGTAATTCCAGCATTTTGGGAGGCCAAGGCAGTAGAGGAACACAGGAACAAAAAAGACATAAGACATATAGGCAACAAATGGCAAAGTTGCAGATGTAAATCCTACCATATCAGTAATTACATTAAGTTTAAATGAAGTAGGCCTTATAAGGCATAGACTAGCAAAATAGATTTTTTAAATAATCAAACTATATGCTATCTTAAAAGACACAATTTAGAATCAAAGTCACAATTAAACTAAAAATAAAATCATGACAAAAAGATATGCTATACACACAGTAACCATCAGAGAGCTGAAGTAGTTGTATTATATCGACAAAAGAGACTTCTAGACAAAAAAAAAGTTACCTGAGACAGAAAGATGTTTTGTAACAGTTAAAAAAAAACTCAATTTGGCATGGAGAAATAATAATTATAAGCATACATGCACCTAATAATAGAGCCCCAAAATACATGAAACTAAAATTAAAAGAATTGAATTGTAAAAGAGACAACTCAGTAATATAGTTGGAGACTTCAATACTCCATTCTCAATAATTGATAGAGGCCAGGTACAGTGTCTCAAACCTGTAATTCCAGTGCTTTGGAGGCCAAGGTGGGAGAATCAGTTGAGGCTAGAAGTTAAAGACCAGTTTGGGCAACAGAGTGAGACCCCATCTCTACAAAAAGAATTTTTTTAAAAAAATCTCTATTTAACAAGTAAGCAAGTTACACTAGTAAAATGGTACTATCGTGTACTTTTTATTTTCTCCATCCTTCACTCATTATTCGAGCCACAGCAAACTTCCTTCAGTATTTCAAATGAGCCATGTACCTGACTATTGCAGGACATTTGCGTTTTTCCCTCAGCCCCTCCTCTTTACTCACAATACCCCATACCTTTCCTTCAAGTGCTTACCAAAATTATCATAACTTGCTCAATTATCTGTTGTACTGTCTCCCTCAAAAGATTATAAGGTCCAAGAGGGGATGACTTGTTTATCACGATATCTTAGTCCTAGCGCAATGCCTAGCACATAGTAGGCACCCAATAAGTATTGTTAAGAGAATGAATTAATTTGTTTAGTGGGTTCACCAATGTGTCATCAACTGTCGCATATCTCATTATTGTTAGAAAAGCACACTTAATTTAGAATAAATTTGTCTTCAAAGAACAGTTATCATTTTTTCTGTTTGTTTGTTTGTTTTTTGAGACAGGGTCTCGCTCTGTTGCTCAGGCTGGAGTGCAGAGGCATGATCTCGGCTCACTGCAACCTCTGCCTCCCAAGTTCAAGCAATGATCCTGTTTCAGCCTCCCGAGTAGCTGAGATTACAGGCGCGCACCACCACGCATCTAATTTTTGTATTTTTTAGTAGAGACAGGGTTTCACCATGTTGGCCAGGCTGGTCAGAACTCCTGACCTCAAGTGATCCATCTGCCTAGGCCTCCCCAAGTGCTGGAATCACAGGCATGAGCCACCATGCCAGCCAATCATCATTTTTTTGTTGTTTTGTTTTGTGTTTGTTTGTTTTTTGAGACGGTCTCACCGCGACACCCAGGCTAGAGTGCAATGGCACGATCTTGGCTCACTGCAACCTCCGCTTCCCTTGTTCAAGTGATTCTCCTGCCTCAGCCTTCCGAGTAGATGGAATTACAGGTGCCCGCCACCATGTCCGGCTAATTTTTGTATTTTTAGTAGAGACGGGGTTTCACCATGTTGGTCAGGCTGGTCTCAAACTCTTGACCTCAAGTGATCCTACTACCTCAGCCTCCCAAAGTGCTGGGATTACAGGCATGAGCCATCGCGCCTGCCCATAATCATTTTAGATTCAAGTCTGCTGATGTTCCCTGAAGGTTTCTGCCAGCCTGTTTCTCAGTATCTTTGTAATGAAGGTTTGCCGGGAGGTAGAAAATCAGGCAGAATGAGCATGCACTCATTTGCAGGGAAAATATATTGTAAAGAGCAGAAAGAGTAAATCAGGCAGAAAGCATCTTGAAAAGGTTCATCTGATGGGTCTTACTGCAGCATCTGGCATACATGGATGTGGCAGGGCAATTTAAAAAGTGACTTACGGTTCGTTTGCTTGATTTTGCTGCTGCCAACCATCAAGGAGTGAGTTATTTTTGTTTCCTCTACCAGGAGAGTAGCCAGTATCTTGGGTACTAAAATCTGGATTTTTCTCTTTTCATGGGAGCAGTTAAAAAGTGTTTGTGTTTCAAAAAAGGGTGAGTTCATGTCCTTTGTAGGGTCATGGATGAAGCTGAAAATCATCATTCTGAGCAAACTGTCACAAGGACAGAAAACCAAACACCGCATGTTCTCACTCATAAGTGGGAATTGAACAATGAGAACACTTGGACACGGGGTGGGGAACATCACACACCGGGGCCTGTCGTGGGGTGGGGGGAGGGGGGAGGGATAGCATTAGGAGATATACCTAATGTAAATGACTAGTTAATGGGTGCAGCACACCAACATGGCACATGTATACATATGTAACAAACCTGCACGTTGCGCACATGTACCCTAGAACTTAAAGTATAATAATAATAATGTGTTTATGTTTCTTAAAAAAAAGAAAGAATGAAAGAAAAAGAAAAAAAGAAGAAAGAGAGAGAGGGAGGGAGGGAGAGAAGGAGGGAAAGAAACTGCACATTGGAATCTACTGACATGAAAATAATCCCTAAAAACAGGCATTTTCTCTTAAAAGCCTAAGTTTATTGAGGGAATTAACTAGCCTGGAGAGAGGATTCAATGCAGGCCTTGTGTTTTTCTGTTTGAGAAGGGGAATCTAGAATGGGATTATTCCCTCAAGACTCGAGAGAGCAGTGGGAGGAGTGGAGACATGAGTCATGAATGTTCAGAAGGTCTGAGGTGGCCAGGCCTCCAGATGTGTCTGCCCACTAATCCTTGGAAGGACTGAGCATGCCCTGCAGTGTGGCATTTCTGTGAATAGGATCTAGTAATCTGTATTTAAGAAACCCTCCAGAGAATTCTTAAGCATTTTCAAGTTTGAGAATCACTGGCCTATAGTATGATCCCCATTGGGCTTTTTAAAAATTGTATATGTGTTCATGTATGTATGAACATACATACATTTATTTTAAAAATCACATATGCATATGGAAAATGACCTAAATAATGTGCACCCTGTTCACAATAACATCTGGATGAAGGACTTAGATGGCAAAAAGTACTAGTTTCTTTCTTTTTTTTTTTTTTTTTACTTTATATTTATTTTATGTTGATTTTATCTTTTAAAGATGTTTCCAAAAGAAAATATAAGGTGTAGTGTGATCCGGGCTCCACTTCTCGGAGATTATCTGGGCTCTGTCTGCCCTCTGTCATTTTGTCTGGCTCACCTCAGGCTCACAAGATGAATGCAACAGCTCTGAATACCACATCCAGACGTGACAATACCGAAAGGCCACTTCCTCAGT
This sequence comes from Homo sapiens, assembly GCF_000001405.40. Classification (NCBI taxonomy): domain Eukaryota; kingdom Metazoa; phylum Chordata; class Mammalia; order Primates; family Hominidae; genus Homo; species Homo sapiens. The sequence goes on along the minus strand of NC_000003.12, from coordinate 40,546,424 downwards.
GTCTCTTTTGTAAGAGTAAAAAATTTACTCCTTCAAGCTCCTAAGAAGCCCTCCCTTGTGTGTTATTGGCTAGAATTGCAGCACATTGCTGTGCCCTAGCTGGTCAGGAAGGGGTACAGAAACAGCATAATTGACTTGGAGCAAGCAATGTCTACCCTCTGGAGATGCACCTTGCTGTGCATGGCTAATGGAGGGAGGGAATGCTGAACGAAACCCAGACAGAAGGAAGGAAGCGATTGGATGTTTTGTAGACAACCAACTGTAGCTGCCACATGTGTTTACACTGCTCTTCATAGAGGTAGTTATCCATTTTAGCTAGAATCAGTTAAGTTCCTGTTGTAATTATTGAGGATTTAGCTGTTTTACATCTCACTATACTCCCATTCTCCCAACATTATTACTCTCATTCTCTCAATATTATTATATCCATAAATTTTGGTTGTAATGAAATGCAGCATTTACATTATCATGGCTGCATAAATATTACTTTCTAAACTAAGTAGTGTTTTCTAATTACATTTTTTCTCACTCAACTTTGTTTTTCCTGTAGTTCACAGTAGCCTGAATTCTTTTTGTAATTTGCTTTGTTTTTTATGACCCTTTTCTCCCACAGACCTGTCAAACAGTATTTTCCCCAACACTTAAGCACCTCAAGCAATCTATCAATTCCCCCCACCTTTTTTTTTCTCCAGAATATGTCCCTCTCACAACCTCTTATTGTTCTATTAGAATCTTGATTGGTTGCTGCCTAACCCTAGTATACAATTGTACGAGAGAAGGAGAATCATTCTCTCCTTCTTCTGTGCTGGATACCCAATTTCCTGGATCCCCTAAATCTTTTCATTATTTCCTCATTTTTCTGAAACACATATATTCTTATAACATGATGGTTAAATTATTTAGTCCCTGAATGCTTAAAATATCTTTATAATATTTTTTTGTTTTGGAAAAATTTCAAATTTATAGAAGAGCTGTTAAGAATAAGAATATACATGAAACACTTGTTACCCTTTACCCAGACTCACTTATTAATATTTTACTCAATTTTCTTCAGCATTTTCTTTTTCTTCCTTTCTTTCTCTCTTGTGGATGGGTGAATGAATACGTGATAGAAGATTAGATAGACAAATAATCATTTTTTTCTAAAATATTTAAGGATAAGTTACATAGGCCGGGCGTGGTGGCTCATGCCTGTAATCCCAGCACTTAGGTAGGCTGAGGTGGGCAGATAACCTGAGGTCAGGAGTTTGAGACCAGCCTGACCAACATGGTGAAACTCCATCTCTACTAAAAATACAAAATTAGCCAGGTATGGTGGCGCATGCCTGTAATCTCAGTTACTCGGGAGGCTGAGGCAGGAGAATCACTTGAACCGGGGAGGTGGAGGTTGCGGTGAGCCGAGATCATGCCATTGCACTCCAGCCTGGGCAAAAAGAGCGAAACTCCGTCTCAAAAAAAAAAAAAAAAAAAGTTACATACACCATGGCCCTTTTTCTATAAATACTTCAGTGTATATATAATATTTCCATGGAATAAAATATTCTCCAAATAACCATAACACAGTTATCAACTTTAGTAAATTTAACATTGGTCCAATGTTTTTATATATTGTCTAGATTCTAATGTTGTAAATTGGCCCAACAATGTCTGTTTTAGCAGTTTATTTCTCCTCTAGTAGAAGATTCAGTCAGATCAAGCATTGCATTTAGTTGACATGTCTCTTTAGTCACCCATAATCTGGAATCTTTTCTCAATCTTTGTCTTTTACACCAATTAACACTTTTTTAAGAATACAGAAACTCCTTTTGTAATATAACGTACTCTATTTTGGGCTTATCTGGTGCATCCTTGTGGTTAGATCCAGATATTTGTCTCTGGTTCGAAAATTCATTCAAGTGATGTGCCTTTTTCAGATCATCACATATGGAGATCACAATTTCTACATACTTCTCATTGGTGGTGTTAATTTTTTGTGTCCAGTCAAGATGTTGTACAATCTCTAGATGCTTACTGTGCTTTCTCTTGCAACTAATAAGCTTTCCATGGGTAGATATTTAAGACTATACAAATATTCTCCTCCTCATTAAATTTCCCTCTAGATTCAGCATCCATTAATGATTGTTACCTGAACCAATCTTTACTATAATGCTTGCAATATGATTATTTTTCTAACTCCAGCATTGTCAGTACGTTTATCAGTCAGTGCGTGGCATTCTGCTCACATAAATTTACTTTCGATTGATATTTGACTATGGGTGTAATTCTAGGTTGAAAATAATTTTCTTTAGGATTTTGAAGGAGATCCTTCACTATCTTTCAGCATCCCATGTTGCTATTGAGAAGCCTGATGCCATTCTGAATCCAATTTCCTGATGTGTAATCTTTTCTTTATCTTTGGTGTTCTGACATCGTACAATAATGGATTGGGATTTTTTAATTTTTTGCCCTTTTTTCCTGGAGTCCTTCTTCTCAGTTTTTCATCCTCCTCCTCCTCCACCAATTTGAACTGGTTGTTGCCTAAGACAGGCACACAATTGTCTTCCTGTTCCTTCACTTTTCTATGAATATTTGATCCTCCATTTCCTGGACACAAAGCTTTTCTCTTTTTTGGTTTATTCCCTAATTTTGCTAAACCACATGTTCTATAGTACTATATCTCAAGCAATTTGTTAATAGAAAAAAGTTGCTAAATGATACACTGAAACTAATATAGAATCACTGTACATAGTTGTACCTGGCATAACTGTCTCCAGTGCCCCTGGAACAACAGCATCTATGTAACTTTTTAAAATGTACAAATTAGCAGAATATTGTGCACATCTCCCAATTAACAAGTAAGCTATGTTTAATGGATGCAGGAGATGTGAGTCTCCTGGCTCACATCTGCAATCCCAGCACTTTGGTAAGCCGAGGCTGGAGGCCAGGAGTTCGAGACCAGCCTAGGCAACACAGCAAGAACTCATCTCACCAGCCGTGGTGGCTCACACCTGTAATCCTAGCACTTTGGGAGGCCGAGGCAGGCAGATCATTTGAGGTCAGGAGTTTGAAACCAGCCTGGCCAACAGGGTGAAACTCCGTCTCTACTAAAAATACAAAAAAATTAGCCAGGCATGGTGGCAGGTGCTGTAATCCCAGCTATTTCGGAGTCTGAAGCAGGAGAATCGCTTGAACCCAGGAGGTGGAGGTTGTAGTGAGCCGAGATCGTGCCACTGCACTCCAGCCTGGGTGACAGAGGGTGACAGAGGGAGACTCCATCTCAAAAAAAAAAAAGAAAAGAAAAAGAAAAAAGAATCCATCTCTATAAAAATTAGATTAAAAAATTAGCCAGGTGTGGTGACGGACACCTGGAGTCCCAGCTACTAGGGAGGCTGAGGTAGGAGGAATGCTTGAGACCAAGAGGCCTAGGAAGCAGTGAGCCATGACTGGGCCATTGCACTCCAGCCTGGGTGACAGAGTAAGACCCTGTCTCAAAAATAAATACATAAAGCAATATTATATATTTCTTATGAACTCTGGGAAAATAACAGAGGGAAACAGGGAGAACAACAAAAGGGATCTCCACTTTAATTGAAATATTTTCCTTCCTTCCTCCCTTCACTTTAATTTAAATATTTCTCTTCCTTCCTTCCTCCCTCCCTCCGTCCTTCTTTTTCTTTCTTCTCTATTTCTCTCTTTTTTTGAGACAGGGTCTCACTCTGTCACCCAGGCTGGAGTGCAGTGGTGCAATCACAGGTTGCTGCAATCACTGCCTTCTGGGCTCAGGTGATACTCCTGCCTCAGCCTCCTGAGTAGCGTGGGATTACAGGCATGTGTCACCACAACTGGCTAATTTTTTCATTTTTTGTAGAGACAGGTTGTCACCATGTTACCCAGGCTGGTCTCCAACTCCTGGGCTCAAGTGATCTACCTGCCTCAGCCTCTCAAAGTGCTGCATTTACAGGCATGAGCCGCCAGACCTGGCCCTATTTCTTTTATTAAAAAAAAAAAATCCTTGGAAATAAACTTTTAAAAATCATGACTGTATCATCATGTATGTACAAGTTGTTTCTCAAAGTATTTAAAAGAGATTCAAAGGCTGGGTACGGTGTCTCATGCTTGTAATCCCAGCCCTTTGGGAGGCCAAGGAAGGAAGAGCACTTGAGCCCAGGAGTTTGAGACCAGCCTGGGTAACATAGTGACAACCTGTCTCTACAAAAAATGAAAAAATTAGCCAGTTGTGGTGGCACATGCCTGTAATCCCAGCTACTCAGGAGGCTGAGGCAGGAGTATCACCTGAGCCCAGAAGGCAGTGATTGCAGCGACCTGTGATTGCACCACTGCACTCCAGCCTGGGTGACAAAGCGAGATCCTGTCTCTAAATAAATAAATGAGATTCAAAATGGAAATATCCTAAATGTTCAATAATGAGACTGCTTACGTAAAGAGTATAAGTCCATGGAATGTAATATGATGCATCCATTAAACATAGCTTGTTAATTGGGACATGTGCATGATATTCTGCTGAGAAACAGAAACGTACAATAGAATATGCAATTTATAATTTGTGTATGTGTACATATGTGTGTTCACCAAATATTAAAAGTGGTGGAATTCAGGCCTAGGTACTTTTCTAGGTAAGTTTTTTGCTCTAAGCACATATTTCTTTTATAGTTAGAAAACATTTATTTATTTATTTCGGTTAATTTAGAAAGTTTATTTTGCAAAGATTGATGATGTGCCCGTGACATAGCCTCAGGAAATCCTGATATGTGCCGAAGGTGGTCAGGGCACAGCTTGGTTTTATATATTTAGGGAGAGACATGAGACATCAGTCAATATATGTAAGAAGTACATTGGGTCGGTCTGGAGAGGCGGAACAACTTGAAGAAAAGGCAGGAAGACTTGAAGCACCGAGAGAGCTTCCAGGTCAGCTAGGTGATACACAAAGGGTTACATTCTTTAGAGTTTCTGATTACTCTTTCCAAACGCGGCAGATCAGATATGCATCTATCTCAGTGAGCAGAGGAGTGACTTTGAATAGAAGGCAGGTTTGCCCTAAGCAGTTCCCTGCTTGAGTAGAAAACAATTCTTTAATTTTTTTTTTTTTTTTCTTGAGACGGAGTCTCGCTCTGTCGCCCAGGCTGGAGTGCTGTGCTGCAATCTCTACTCACTGCAAGGTCCACCTCCCGGGTTCACGCCATTCTCCTGGCTCAGCCTCCTGAGTAGCTGGGACTACAGGCGCCCGCCACCATGACCGGCTAGTTTTTTTTGGATTTTTAGTAAAGAAGGGGTTTCACCGTGTTAGCCAGGATGGTCTTGATCTCCTGACCTCGTGATCTGCCCGCCTCAGCCTCCCAAAGTGCTGGGATTACAGGCGTCGAGCCGCCCGGGCAATTCTTTAAATTTAAAAGGTGCTTATATAGCCTGGCGCGGTGGCTCACGCCTGTAATCCCAGCACTTTGGGAGGCCCAGGCGGGTGGATCACACGAGGTTGGGAGTTCCAGACTAGCCTGACCAATATGGAGAAACCCCGTCTCTACTAAAAAAACAAAATTAGCCAGACATGGTGGCACATGCCTGTAATCCCAGCTACTCAGGAGGCTAAGGCAGGAGACTCGCTTGAACCCAGGAAGCAGAGGTTGCGGTGAGCCGAGATCATGCCATTGCACTCCAGCCTGGGCAACAAGGGCAAAAACTCCATCTCAGAAAAAAAAAGCTGCTTATATAATCAAGAGATTAAAAATGGACAATCTGTACAAGTGATATAGACATCCCTTCTAGATTGTTTATAAAACAATTAAGCACTTTGTTTATGGAAAATGAGAGATCTGAAAAGTACAAGAAAACTGCTCTGTCCCCAGCTCACAGCAGCTGTGAAGAGAACCTCCCTTCTCAGTAACAGGCACAATTTGTCTTCAGATTTCTGCTGCCTATATATTTGACACTCATTATTTACACCTCTACAATCTAATGGACATCACTCCTTCCATAATTAACCAGTTTGATAGTTACTGAAGAACAAATTACAATTGAACTGCTAAGACTACCTGCAAAAACAGAAATAAAAACAAAAAAAACCCTATTTCATGTAAGTAATCACTTGATACACTGAAAACTGCTGTTATAACTTGAGACTGTTATTGTTAGAAAGTTAGCATCAGGGCTGAGTGTGCACATTAATATACTTCAACTTTGTCCCCAACCACTGCAACCATTAGCAAGGTCATTTACTCTCTCCGGAGCCTCATTTCTTTCTATACAAACCTGAAATGTAAAAGTCTAACCTTTCAATGCCCTGTGCTTAAATGTCAAATGGGGAATAGTACCAGGAAAGTATATCTTTTTATCATTATTAAAATCCAAGGTGCCCTTGTGGAAGCAGCAAAATGGAGTAGATTGAAACTTTTGGGCCAACTGAAATTTCCTATAACACCACAAATCCATTGAAACAAATAAGTAGACCAGTGGAAATGAAATCGTAACACTTGTTGCTGATTCATTTAAGAGAAAGATATGAGCTAGCCTTACAATTGGGTTTCATGTAATACAACTGTCAAATGCCCTGTAGTCCCAGTTACTTGGGAGGCTGAGGGAGAAGGATCGCTTGACCCCAGAGTTCAAATCGTTTGGGCAACATAGAAAACTTTGTCTCTTAAAAACAAATTGTCAAAAGTTTTCTTTATGAAAAATATTAAATCATCAGGCTTTTTAAATGATATGATTTTTAGATTAAGACAAGTTATGTAACTTCTGGACAACCATGAAATAAGATATTATTACTGATAAACTTCATAGCAATGTTAAAAGACCACATTTTGAAAAATACAGGCATATCTTGGAGATATTGCAGGTTTGCTTCCAGACAACTGTAATAAAATGTTTAACACAATAAAGGGAGTCACACAATTATTTTTATTTTCCAGTACCTATAAAAGTTATGTTTAATCTATATTATAGTCTATTAAGTTTGCAATAGCATTATATCTGACAATGTACATACTTTAATTTAAAAATATTTTATTGCTAAAAGATGTTAACGATAATCTAAGTCTTCAGTGAGTCTTTGTTGCTGGAAGACAGTCTTGCCTCACTGTTGATGGCTGCTGAATGATCGGTGTGGTGGTTGCTGAAGGTTAGTGTGGCTCTAGAGATTTCTTTAAATGAGACAACAAGGAAGGCTGCAACATCAACTGACTCTTCCTTTCCGAAAGATTTATCTGTAGCATGTGTTGCTGTTGGATAGCCTTTTACCCACAGTGGAACATTCTTCAAAATTGAAGTCAATCCTCTCAAACTCTGCTGCTGTTTTATCAACTAAGTTTATGTAATATTCTAAGTCCTTTGTTGTCATTTCAACAATGGTCACAGGATCTTCACCAGGAGTAGTTTCCATCTCAAGAAACCACTTTTGTGGCTCTTATATTAGAAGCAACTCCTCATTTGTTCACGTTTTATCATGAGATTGCAGCAATTCAGTCACATATGCAGGTTCCACTTCTAAGTCTAGTTATCTTGCTATTTCCACCACATCTGCAGTTACTTCGTCCACTGAAGTCTTGAACCCCTCAAGATCATCCATCAGGGTTGAGGTCAATGTCTTCTGAACTCCTGTTAATGTTGATATTTTGACCTTCTCCCATGAATCACAAATGTCCTTAATGGCATCTAGAATGATGAATCCTTTCCAGAAGGTTTTCAAGTTACTTTGTACAGAACAACCACTATGGCAGCCACAGCCTTACAAAATGTATTCCTTAAATAATACTTGAAAGTCAAAATTACTCCTTGACCCATGGAGTAATGGATCCTGCAGAATGGATGTTGTTTAGCAGACATAAAAACATTAATCTCTTTGTACATCTCCATCAGAACTCTTGGGTGACCAGACACATTATCAACGAGCAGTAATATTTGGAACTAAATTTTTTTTTTTTTTGAGACAGTCTCACTCTGTTACCCAGGCTGAAGCACAGTGGTGCAACCTCAGCTCACTGCAACCTCTGCCTCTGGATTCAAGCAATTCTCCTGCCTCAGCCTCCCAAGTAGCTGGGATTACAGGCACACACCACCACATCCAGCTAATTTTTGTATTTTTAGTAGAGATAGGGTTTCTCCATGTTGGTCAGGCTGGTCTCAAACTCCTGACCTCAACTGATCCACCTGCCTTGGCCTCCCAAAGTGTTGGGATTACAAGTGTGAGCCACCACACCTGACAGAATTCTTTTTTCCTAATATTTAGTAGGTCTCAACAGTGGGCTTAAAATATTCAGTAATCCATGCTGTAAACAGATGTGCTGTCATCCAGGCTTTGATCTTCCATTTCTAGAGCACAGGCAGAGTGGATTTAGCATAATTCTTATGGGCCCTAGGATTTTCTGAATGGTAAATGAGCATTGGCTTCAACTTAAAGTTACCAGCTGCATGAACCCCTAACAAGAGAGACGAGCTGTCCTTTGATGCTTTTAAGCCAGGGATTAACTTCTCTTCTCCATGAAAGTCCTAGATGGTTTCTTCTTCCAAAAGAAGGCTGTTTGGAATACACTGAAAATCTCGTGGTGTAGCAACTTCATCAATTAACTTAGCTAGATCTGGATAAATTGCTACAGCTTCTACACCAGCACTTGCTGCTTCACCTTGCACTTTTATGATAAGATGACTTCTTAAACCTCATGAACCAACCTCTGCTAGCTTCAAACTTTCCTGCAGCTTCCTCACTTCTCTCAGCCTTCATACAATGGCAGTTATGGCCTTGCTCTGGATTAGGTTTTGGCTTAAGGGAATTTGTGGTTGGTTTGATCCAGACCCCTAAAACTTTCTCCATATCAGTAATAATGCTGTTTCACTTTTTTTGGTTTCATTCTGTCACACAGGCTAGAGTGCAGTGGCACAATCATAGCTCACTGCAGTCTCGAACTCCCTGGCTAAAGGGATCCTCTCACTTCAGCCTCCCAAGTAGATCGGACTACAGGCATGCACAACCACACCCAGCTAAATTTTTAATTTTTTGTAGAGACAGGGGTCTCACTTTGTGGCCCAAGCTGGTCTCGGACTCCTGGCTTCAGGGGATCCTCCCGCTTTGGCTCCCCGAAGTGCTGGGATTCTAGGTGTCAGCCACTGCACCTGGCCACTTTATTATCGTTCATGTGTTCCCTGGAGAAGTACTTTTCATTTCCTTCAAGAACTTTTCTTTTGCATTCACAACTTGACTGTTTGGCAGAAGCAGTCTAGCTTTTGGCCTATCTCAGCTGTTGACATTAGCCTTCCTCACTAAGCTTAATCATTTCTAGCTTTTGATTTAAAGTGAGAGGCATGTGACTTTTTCACTTAAACACTTAAAGGTGTTTGTAAGGTTATCAATTGGTCTAATTTCAATACTGTTGTGTCTGAGAGAATAGTGAGGTCTGAGGAGAGGGAGAGAGATGGGGAACCATCAGTTAGTGGAGTAATCAGAACACACACACACACATCAACTAAGCTCACTGTCTTAGATGGATGCAGTCTGTGGCACCCCAAAACAATTACAATAGAAACATAAAAGTCACTAATCACCAAAACACATATAATGAAAAGTTTGAAATATTTTAAGTTTCTGTGTAAGACACAGAAAAATGAAATGAGCACATGCTGTTGAAAAAAAATGGCACTGATAGTCTTGCTCAACACAGGCCTGCCACAAACCTTCAGTTTGTAAAAAATGCAATATCCGCAAGACACAATAAAACAAACTGCAATAAAATGAGGTATGCCTGTACTTTGATAATCATTAATTCATTATATTTTAGAAACAAACATCTGTTTTACAACAAGAAATAGGTGGCAAAGGTGGAGGGTGCTGGACGATTGGCAGGCAGCACTTGGGACTGGATTCCTGGGATGAGACAGAATGAGAGCAGTAGCAGAATAAAGGAGACAGGATAGAGACAGAACTACCTTTTATATTTTCTCAGCTGTGCCACTAATGCTTACCTCTCTATGCTTTCTTTATAATTTTGTATAAAATATGTATATTTCTAAACAGTACATTATTTAAGATTTTTAAAAATTTCAGCAAATCATGTTACAGGCCAGGTGCAGTGGCTCACGCCTGTAATCCCAACACTTTGGGAGACCGAGGTGGGTGGATCACTTGAGGCTGCCAGGAGTTCAAGACCAGCCTGGCCAACATGGTGAAACCCTGTCTCTACTAAAAATTAAAAAATTAGCTGGGCGTGGTGGCACACACTACTCAGGAGGCTGAGGCAAGAGAATCACTTGAACCCGGGAGGTGTAGGTTGCAGTGAGCCAAGATTGCACCACTGCACTCCAGCCTGAGCAACAGAGCAAGATTCCATCTTAAAAAATAATAATAATACTATTACAGTCTGGGGGTTTTTTTTGTTTCAACTTGGGTTTGGGGAGTTTGTTTTTTGCTTTGTTCTGTGTTTGATGATCATTGTATATAATATCTGGTAGCATAAAACCCCCCATCTTGTTCTTCAAAACTAGGTTAGCTACTCTGTGTCCTTTGCCTCTCTATACACACACCCCTCTGGAATTTTTATATTGTTTTTAATTTATGAATTGATAAAAATTGAAATCTTGATGAAACTAATCTTTCCTACCCATGAATATAGTGCATCCTTCTGTCATTTAGGTAACCTTCAATGCCTATAATGGGTATCTGATATTTTACAGCTGCTCAACATATTCTGAAAATCCCTTCCCCATTTTCAGACTTCTTCATACTATGACTCTCTTCCCAGGCAGAATCCAAAACCTGTATTTCCCAGAAGCCCCTGCAACTTGGACATACATATATAACCAACTCCCACCGAGCAGGTACACCCTGGCTGAAGACAGAAGACCCTACCAAAATGATTGTAGGGGTATTTTTACTACAGAATGTGAAACGACCTTCCTGGTGGTCCAGTCTCTTCAATGGGGGGTGGCAGTCCAGTAGCAGGCACCAGCAGCTGCTGAGTTTCCACTGGAACCACTTGGTTCTGTGGTTGGTCATTTTTCCTGGCTTCTGCCTATGTGGCATCCCAGCTTAGCTCCTCTTAGACATTTTGTAAGCTAATTAATAGTATGGAGCAAATCTAAGGTAGATTCTTCAGTCTACTGCTGATCACTGACACGGAATGAGGAACCAGAAGTGGGTTACTGAGTGTGACAGAACCTTAAAACACTGGCACTGTTTAGTGGAAGTGACTGAGAATACGGTGGTGAAGAATCAGATACGGCAAGGTGAAAAGTAGATGGGCGAAACGAGGTGGCCACAGCCCTTCCGAACTCAAGTTGGCTCCATATGTTCTCATTCTAGCACGGGGCTGAAGGCGCAGCCACTTTCTGGAGCTTGCTGTTCTCTCGCCGAAGGCAGAAACATAACCATCAGCTGAGCATGAGAACTGAGAGGGATGCTTTGGAAGTTACAGAAGAGAGAAAGTATAAAGTAGTGGCCTAGGAAAGCAGGGGAGTTAAGTGGACTCCAAAAATTGTAGTATGACCATCAGGAAACGTTAAGGGCCTCCATGAAGTTACTGGTCATGAATTTAAAGTGACAGTTCAGCCTGGTAATATGCTTTCTCCTGATCATTTTTGGTGCAGGAACAGAGAAGGCAAAGAACTGCATTTAGTCAGAGATGAGGTTTTGCCAAGCGAGCATGACAAAGCAAGAGAAGGGCAAGGGAGTTAATGGAGACTGTAAGGCATTATTTTAAGAATTAACCATAGAGTTTATGCTGGGTAAAGGAGGAGGGGTGGGCATTTTCTGTTTGAAGCATATCTCTCAAAGTATGGTCCATGCTAAAGATCTGGCCATCACCACAGATAGCCAAAATCAGAATTTGTGCAAGAGAGAAAACTCTTCTTTTTACAAGCACACTATGTAATTCAGACACATGGTAAAGTTTAAAAACCAAGAATGTAAAGGTTTTGCTATTAATTGCTATAGAGAAACATCTAGATAGCAACATCAGCAAAAAAAAAAAAAAAATGTATGGACCCTTCCATCAAAGCTTAGGACTTACTGTTTACATTAATGCCAATAAATGCATAATTCAAGTTCTTTTTCCAGTAACTACTTCACACAGTCCTCTGAATAGTTGTAAAGGATCCTCATCAAGGCCACTTCCAAGAGCAACCCCAAATTCCACTTCACTAACCTACCTAGCCACTGACCCACTACACAGCTCCCTTTATTTCTTAAAAAAAAAAATTTTGGAAGCTTATTCAGATTCCCCTCGAGTTGGCTTTACACCATTATTTTTATTTCTTTAGTAATTAAATTCATATTTATAATTCATAAATATGAAATAAAATATAGAAGCCAGTGCTCACAAAGAAAAAAAAACAGAATGCTCATCAAGAAAAATCTGCACAACAGATTCAACAAAGATGAATGCCTTTGTGTATATTTACTTACGAAATAAAAGTTAAAAGAAACATCTAGCTATCAAGAGCAAAACTAAAGAAAAAAAAACTTCACGTTTAAAGACATGATTACTCTCACTGCCATCAACATACTTTTTTTTTTTACTGTTTATTTCACATTATCTTTTTCACAGATGTATGAGATTCTCAAAGATCTGTGCCAAGGGCAACATAACTTCAACTGTATTAATACCCCACCTAGCCATGGGCCCACTAAACAATCTCCATTAATCTCTACAGTCCATTGTTGGAAGCTTATTCCAATTCTCTACCAGTAGCCACAGGTCTTGTATGTTTCTCCCAGGCTGCTTATCTCTAATCATAATGGCCTAATACAGGGATATCCTCTTTTCCAAACTTTCCTAACACCAAAGTGTTCTACCACCAGCAACCCCACGATGCAGATACAGCCACTGTTGTTCAAGCCTGAAAGGGACCAATGCAAAGGTTAAGTATTTCCATTTTCTACCCAGAAGAGATTATGTAAACACGGTCTTTAAATGTATATAGATTATAATGGAGTTTATGTTGAAACAGCTGTTAACACATGTAAGGTGATGAAAAAAATACAAATGAAACTCAAATTAGGTTGGAGGCTGGGCACAGTGGCTCACTCCTGTAATCCCAGCACTTTGGGGGGCCAAGGCAGGCGGATCACTTGAGGTCAGGTGTTTGAGACCAGCCTGGCCAAGATGGCGAAACCCCATCTCTTCTAAAAATACAGAAATTAGCTGGGCGTGGTGAGGCGTGCCTGTAATCCCAGCTATTCGAGAGTCTGAAGGAGGAGAATCGCTTGAACCCAGGAGGGGGAGGTTGCAGTGAGCCAAGATCACACCACCGCACTCTAGCCTGGGTGACAGAGCAAGACCCTTTCTCAAAAAAATATATAAAATTAGGCTGGAGATTTGCTAGGCATAAGAGCCGTAAGACTGCCAAGATAAAGCTCATGAGGAGTGAGAAGAAGGGGTGAGAATAACTGGGGAAGGTTTCACAGTGGGAGTAAGACCCTGGAAGACACGCACTATTTGGGCAGATGAAGAAGGTATTCCAGATGTAGGCAGCAGCATGAAAAAATTCCCAGAGGTAGGAATGAGCACAGCATGTGGAAAGGTCAGTGAAGGCACAGCTACGGCTGAAGCAGAACAGGATCCCTGGAGAAGAACAGGAGGTATGGCTGGAGAGGAGCACTGGGGACTGACCAGGGATGGCCCAAGGACCTTGACTGGCTTCTTCTCCACAGGGTGCAATTTCTGATGCTGAACAAAACTTCCATACCATTTGAAGGCTTTCCCACACACCTTACATTCATAAGGCTTCTCCCCAGTGTGAACTCTCTGATGCTGAATGGAGGCTATTTTCTGGGTGAAGGCTTTGCCACACTCCTTACATTGATAAGGTTTCTCCCCAGTATGAATTCTCTGATGGACAATAAAAAGTGACCTACAACCGAAAGCTTTCCAACATTCCTTACATTTATAGAGTTTCTCTCCCGTGTGTAATCTCTGATGCTGCAGGTATGCCGCACTCCTACGGAAAGCCTTTCCACACTCTTTACATTCATAGGGTTTCTCTCCAGTGTGGATCCTCTGATGTTGAGTCAAGGCTGTGTTGGAACTCAAACCTTTGCCACACTCCTTACATTCATAGGGCCCTTCTCCAATGTGGTTTTTCTCATGTACAATACAATCATAGCTGGACTTGAAAGCTTTGCCACACTCCTTACACTTAAAGGGCTTTTCCCCAGTATGACTCATCTGATGCCGAATAAGCTTTGAGTTATATCGGAAGATTTTCCCACATTCTTTACATTCATAGAACTTCATTCCACCTCGAAGTATCAGATTTGGATTTAGATTGAAAGTCTGCTTCAGTGCCTTCCTTTTAAAATCAAAGTGCTGAGAAACGTTCCTGAGAAGTCCTCCTACTGGCATTCTGTGCAACTCTGTTTCTTCAGAGGCTTCCTGCTTTATAACTAGCCCTTCATTTTTGATCCAGGACTCACCACCTGACCAAAGAAACCACAAGTGTTCCTAGTTACAAAACTGGAAGAAAAGTAGGATCCAGTGTTCCTAATTTTCTCTTGTAGAATGTAATTTTTAAAGATACCTGTGAAATGGTTATATACAAGCATCTATAAAGGAGGATGAGAGAGACAAAGAAAAATAATGACAGGCCAGGTGTGGTGGCTCATGCCTGTAATGTTGGCACTTTGGGAGGCTGAGGCAGGCGGATGGCTTGAGCTCAGGAGTTCGAGACCAGACTGGGCAACATGGTGAAACCCCATCTCCACAAAAAAATACAAAAATTAGCCGGGCATGGTGGCGCACCCCTGTGGTCCTAGCTACTAGGGAGGCTGAGGTGGGAGGATCACTTAAGCCCGGGAGGCAGAGGTTGCAGTGAGTGGAGATCATGCCACTGCACTTCAGCCTGGGCAGCGGAGCTAGACCCTGTCTTAAAAAAATAGAAAAATAATGACATAGAATTGGAGAAGTAAAGACACAGAAATGGAACAGGAAAGATAGCCAGGAAGTGCTCCCCACGAGGAAGGCTGGAAAATTGAACTAAGGTAGGTGATGGGAAGAAGGAGAATCAAGAATGAGAAGGAAAGAAGGTAGGAGGGACAAAAAAGAAAAAAGAAGGAGAGAATAAGAAAGAACAGTGAGAAATGTGAAAAATGTTTAAAGAGAGACAGAAACCCAGAAGAGGAGAAAGGAATGAGAGACTGGGAAGAATAGAGAAGCAGCTCCAGCACTACAAGAGGTCTTGCAGACTGAGAAACACAAACCAGGAAAAAACTAGATCCCAAAGCCCTACCTGTAACCCAGGCAATCACCCCAAATTCTAAACAATGTCCTAATTATCCTATATTTAAATATCCCACACAATATTCAGGGATACAAGATGATTAGTTTCAGAAAGTCAGCTGGAACAGAAGTTGGATCAGAGAGCTGTAAGCCACTGTGGTACCTGTGCTAAAGGAACCACTATATACAAAAGCATAAATGTGTGAGAAGGCTTGAAAATTTTCTTCTGAAGAAATGGAAACGCAAGTAAACAAAACCTTCCAGGACTGGTAAGCCATCTCAGGGAAATTTTAGGTGGTGTGTGTGTGCACATGTGCGTGTGTGCATGTGTTTGTGTGTATGCATGTGTGTGCGTAGGGGGCTATGATGGGAGAATATTCCTAGCCCTTTCCTCTACAGTCCCATCTATGGTAAATATAATGTAGATCTAAAGATTATGGCAAATGAAACTCTTAAGTGATTTAGATACTAAAAAGGCAAATTAAAGCCATTCTTTTCAGGGCTGAAGGCCTAAAGTAAAATTTATAGCTATAGCACAAATAAATCAGTTTGGCCCCAAAAAATCATATTTTCCTTAAATTTGGCTGAAACCCCACTTCTTTGCAATGAAAAATGGCATACAATTAAAACTTTTCCACCAGTAAGTAAGAAAGAAGTGGTTTAGGAGCTACTGGGTCACAGCTTTTCTGCCTTGGAGGATAGCCACATGAATGTGCAGACAGCATGAGGCCATGTACTCCCAGAGGTGGTCTTTCAAAGCTCAGGGTCAGAACTCAGTGTGAGGTCAGAGAGTACAGTGAGTATCGACTTATAAATAACTGGGAGATTTGTACCCTGCAGCATAAGAAACACTTCTTACCTAGTAAACCAGGAAGGCAAAACAAGAAACTTCACCACTGGATTCTCATACTCACCTTGACTGATGCCTCTCAGAATCTCGGTGTCCCAGGGATCTGGGCCCCATGGTGCTTCCCCTCTCTCCAGGTGGGAGATCAGAGCAGGTTTGGGGAATGGAAACGCTACTTCATGAAGAAAAGAGAAAGACAAATTGAGGGGAGACGTCCAGAGCTATTCCTGGGATCTTTCTCAGCCCACCCTCCATCAGGCTACTTGGGAGAGAAATTGAACACCAGCAGACCAAGTGAGAGTTCTGACAAGGAGGTCCAAACTGTGCTCCACGATAAAGCCAAGGAGGTATGATTCTTCTCAGAAAGAAACTGCATTCTGGCCCTGACTCAGAAGAAGGCAAACTCCCTCAGGAAAAATGTACCTACTGCTCCCCTGGGAGAACCTTCCACAAAGGGAGGGCCAACATCCCCAGAAAACTGGATGGACAAAGGAACAAAGGGCTCACTTAGGGTGCCAGAAAGAATGCTTTCCCTCAGGGCCCAGGACCACACTGTTCCTGGAGTATAAGGAAGTCTAATTTCAAAACCAAAGAGAAGCCAGGCACAGTGGCACACGCCTATAGTCCCAGCTACTTGGGAGGCTGAAATAGGAGAATTGCTTGAGCCCAGGAGTTGGAGGCTGCAGTGAGCCATGGCTATGCCACTGCCCTCCAGCCTAGGTGACAGAGCGAGACTCTGTCTCAAAACAAACAAACAAACAAAACAAACAAACAAACAAAAAACAAAGAGAACCAAGGATTTCCCTACCCAGTATTTCTGGAGGCTGCTGATTGCAAAACTCTCCTCTGAAGTCATCAAACCCAAGGGCTACTAGAATCCCCAAAACATCTGAGGAAGATAGCAAACTGTTACAAAGGGCCACAGAGGGAGGCCTTACCCAGAGAAGCCACATTTGCATAATTCTCCAGCATCACCTCCCCGTACAGGGCCCTCTGCGCAGGGTCGAGGCTGGCCCATTGATTCTGGGTGAAGTAAACAGCCACATCCTCAAAGGTCACTGACTCCTGAAACAACAGGTTCCTGCTCAATCTCTGAGTGAGAAGTAGAAGGAAGAAGGGAGCAGCTTGAGCTTCAGGGAAGGGATAAACCTGCCTGCATCCACAACTCTGAGCCCCATGTAAGGTCTGCTCAACAAGAACACCCACCACCACAGCCAGGGGCGAGCCCTCAGCCAGTAGTTCCACTTTCAAATGGGGAGCCCCAACACTCTCCCATCTACCCAGCTCTGGAGCCCGTAACTGCTGCTGATTCTTACAGCTTGGCACCCAGGCTGAGATTACAGGCATGTGTGAAAAACTAGCAAACAATGTTTTGGAGAAAACAACTGAAAACAAAATGAGGGGGAATTAAACTGTATTTTAAAAGGATAACACATTAAGAAAATGAGAAGACATGCTAAAGTCTAGGAGAAAATATTTGCTGAAGACATATCTGATAAAGCACTATTATCCAAAATGTACAAAGAACTCTTTATGAACAAGCCAATTAAGAAACAGGCAAAAGACCTCAACAGACACCTCAACAAAGCAAATATACAGATAGCAAATAGGCATATGAAACTATGCTCAAGATTATATGTCATTAGGGAATTGCAATAAAAACAGTGAGACACCACTACATACCTATTAGAAAGGCCAAAATCCAAAACACTGACAACACCAAATGCTGGCCAGGATGTGAAACAACAGAACTCTCATTCACTGCTGGTGCTAATGAATGCGAAATGGGACAGCCACTTTGGAAGACAGTTCGTCAATTTCTTACAAACTAAACACACTCTTACCATACAACCCAGCAGTCATGCTCCTTGGTGCTTAACTAAATTTAGGAGTTGAAAACTTATGTCCACATAAAAACCTGTACATGGACATTTACAGGGGCTTTTATTCATCATCGCCAAAACTTGGAAGCAACCGAGATGTCCTTCAGTAGGTGAATGGATAAGCTGTAGTATATATAGACAATGGAATATTATTCAGCACTAAAACAAAACGATCTATCAAGCCATGAAAAGACACAGAGGAAACGAAATGCATTACCACTAAATGAAAGAAGTCAATCTGAAAATGCTACGTACTGTGTGATTCTGGCTATATGACATTTTGGAACTGGCAAAACTATGAAGAGAATACAAAAATCAATTGATGGTTGTCAATTGGGACGGGACTAAGGGGAAAGTAAGGATGGATAAGAGGAGCATAAGGTATTTTTAGGGCAGTGAAACTATTCTGCTTATATAATACTATAATAGTGGATATGTGTCATCCATCAAGAGTGAACCCTAATGTAAACTATCAACTTTGGATGACAATGATGTGTTAGTGTAGGTTCACTCCTTGTCACAAACGTGTTACTCTGGTGTGGAATATTAATATTGAAGAAGGTTGTGTGTTTTGTGGTGGCAGGAGATAAATGGGAACTCTTGCTTTCTGCCCAATTTTGTTATCAACTAAAACTGCTCTAAAAAACTATTTTAAGTACCAGTGTTGAATCGTTTCAGGGTAAGTTATTTCTCAATCAAACCACATATGCTGTTTAGGACATATCAGAGAATAAGGAAAGAAAAAAAGCATTTCCATTCTTTTAAAGACACTGACATTTTACTGTGCTGATACCAGACTTGTATTTGAACTTCTATCAGAACTTGTATATACATGTGTAGGGGCAGGGAATATATGGGAAATCTCTGTACCTTCCATTTAATTTTGCTGTGAACCTAAAACTGCTCCAGAAAATAAAAACTACAAATAAATTAATTACATTAAAAAGTAAAATGCAGCCTGGCCAACATGGTGAAACCCCATCTCTACTAAAAATACAAAAATAAGCCCAGCATGGTGGTGTGCACCTGTAATCCCAGCTACTCAGGAGGCTGAGGTAGGAGAATTGCTTGAATCCGGGAGGTGGAGGTTGCAGTGAGCTGAGATCATGCCACTGCACTCCAGCCTGGGTGGCAGAGTGAGACTCTGTCTCAAAAAAAAAAAAAATTTAAAAATGGACAACACTTGCCAGGCACAGTGGCTCACGCCTGTAATCCCAACACTTTGGGAGGCTGAGGCAGGCGGATCACCTGAGGTCGGGAGTTCGAGATCAGCTGACCAACATGGAGAACCCCCGTCTCTACTAAAAATACAAAAATTAGCCGGACGTGGTGGCGGGCACCTGTAATTCCATCTACTCGGGAGGCTGAGGCAGGAGAATCACTTGAACAAGGGAAGTGGAGGTTGCAGTGAGCGAAGATCGCACCATTGCACTCTAGCCTGGGTGTTGCAGTGAGACTCCATCTCAAAAAAACAAACAAACAAACAAAAAACAGGTGCATGCCTGTAATCCCAGCTACTTGGGAGGCTAAGGCAGGAGAATTGCCTGAACCTGGGAGGTGGAGGTTGCGGTGAGCCGAGATAGCGCCATTGCACTCAAGCCTGGACAACAAAGGCGAAACTCCGTCTCAAAAACAAAAAAAATAAAAGGACAACACTTAATATCTTCTTAATTGACCAACACCTTTCTACCATCAATTTGCCACTAAGGGCTAGGAAAATCTTTTTAATATGTAAATCCAACCATGTCATCCCCCTGCTTAAAATTCTTCAGTGCCTTCCCAATGAACCAGTACAGAAACCACTGTCCTCACCATGACCTATAATACAGGTATCTATTTCTTCCATCTCATATTGAACCACTTTCTCTGACCCCTTCCAGTTTCTAGAGTACATCCAGCTTTCTCTGCAACTTCAGAGTCCTTGCATCTAGCATTTAGAAAATGTATATTAAAGCAACAATACTAGTCTCTCTGGGATACATACAATACAATTTGTGGGCAATCTCTCCAATAAAGAATTTCTGATTTCAAGCTAGTGCGGTGGCTCATGCCTATAATCCCAGCACTTTGGGAAGCCGAAGCGGGTGGATCACCTGAGCTCAGGAGTTCAAGACCAGCCTGGCCAACGTGGTGTAAACCCCGTCTCTACTAAAAATACAAAAATTAGCCACACGTGGCGGCGCACATCTGTAATCCCAGCTACTTAGGAGGCTGAGGTATGGGAATCACTTGAACCCAGGAGGCAGAGGCTGCAGTGAGCCGATATCATAGTGCCACTACACTCCAGCTTGGGCGACAGAGTGAGACTCCGTCTCACAAAAAATGAGTCTGATTTCAGTAGGTGACTTTCATTTCTAGAACACGATCTGGATTTCCACATTCAGAAAGAATTTCTTGGTATAGGTCCCCTTTCTTCCATTTAAATCTATACATCCAAACTCATCACTCTCTATACACAAAACTTTCATTTCCCCAGCACATATTTACATCTGCCATAGCCCTGGAGATAGATACAAAGGGGAAAACACAGCTTGGCCAAGTTAGGCCTTCCTCATCCTTTCCTGATTATCTGATAGCTAATGTGAGTAAAAAAACATAAACAAACAAACAAAAAAACTGAAAGAAGCTCAGCTCACCTGAGGCCAAGTTGTTTGGAGCATGGCGGATGTCCCCTGGCTTCATGCACTGTCTTCTGGGTTTGGACAAGCAAGATCCTCAAGAGCTAAGAGAAAAAGAGCCATGAGTGCTAAGGACCCTGTCGTCCACCACCTACAGCAACCTATGGCCCTCCCAGTTTCCACATTTCCAGCACTGGATGCACGGAGATTCTACTAGGACTCCCTCTAATTGTTCTCACGCTGATAGCCCCAAACTTCTTATGAATTGTTCTGCCTAGTCTTCAGGACAATCTTCCACCTGCCTGCTCAGTCCGAAGAGCTTTTTTTGAGCCCATTCGTACGGGTAAACTGAGGGACCCAAGAGCCCTGTCCCTATTGTGTTGGGTCTCTACAAACGTAAAGAGTCTTTACAGAATGCTTACAGGGACGATGACGTGGACCCAAAAGAAAGAACCTCAGGAGAAGAGGGACTGGGGTGGCTGAATGCGGATTAAGGGTAAAATACTCAGCGTCCCAGTGGGTGATGCTGACCGGAGACCCCACCCAACCGTGATCTTAACACTCCACCCAAGAAAACAGGCAACCCCAAACATCAGAAACGTCAGTACCGGGAGCCAGAGGCTGTCAGGGCAAGTTCTTTAGGGCAGAAAAGAGGATCAGGCCTCGGTGGCAAAGGGCTGGACACGGGCTCTAGAAGCCCGAGCAGCCACCTTGACGGCTTCGGCGAGGCCCAGATGCCCACGGTCCGGGTGAAGGAGGGGCGGGCCGCCATTGGGACCAAGTTCAGGGGTAGTGGGGGCTGACGAGCCGCCAGGGGCAGCGAGGAAGCCGGCACCGGGCGGACCTGGCACGTAGAACTCGCTGAAACCCACGCTCTGCAGAACGCCGAGGAGCTGGTCACTAACTAAAGGCCGAGCCGGAAGGGCGAGTGCACGCCCAGGGTCCCTCTAGGCCCCCGGAGGCCGCCATCTCGGTCGCCCCGTGGCCAGACCCGCCCCGCCTTTCATGGCTGGCCCCGCCCTGCGGAAGAGGCGAGGTTGCGGCGACCGGCTGGGCTGAGAGGCCGGCGGCGGGCGTGGAACTGTGGCGCTCTAAGCCCGGCTTTCTCCGGCAGCCGTCGGCATCGCCTCTGGCTGGAGTGTCACGGACTGATACAGCCTGGCTCTACCGAGACCTCGCCCTCTAGGCACAAGTGGGCCCCCAGTTCACGGGCTGCGCCTCAGCTGTTGGCCGCCTTGGCCCCGTGGCTCACCTGAAGCCTGGGCCGTGCAGGTGAGGGGAGAATGGCGCCTGCTTTGTCATCTCTAAGAGGCCCAAGCCCAGGATCTTGCTTGGGTCCTCAGCTGGGCAGTCCTCAGGGAAACCATGGTTTCCACTCGCCGTTTTAGCCCTCTCCCTTCCAAGGACCTAGATGTGCGTAGAACCTTTTAGGACAGATTCATTTAACAACCAAAACACCCGTGGCTACATACAGTTGCTAGGCATCCTGTATACACAGGACATGTCCTATATTAAATGATCTTGTCCTGTGTTGACTTTGGGAGGACACCCTAAATGTCTTATATTTAGCTTTTTCCAATAAATTACAAAAACTCGTAGTTACAGCTATTTTTCTGCTCAGTAACTGGCACTTAAATAAAATGTTAACACCAGCTGAAATATATATATCTCATACTTCCATAAATAATGATCTGGACAGACCTTTATGGTCTGTTCTGTTAGTTGGACTGCAGGAAGAAAAAACAGTGAAGAGGGGAGGCTGCTAATTAAAAGAACTTACTTTTCATATTCAGGAAAGGAAAAGACTGTTTTTTGACCAAAGTCCCAAGTCACTAACAAGTACTTGCCATTAATTTACATAATTTTAGATCAGTACACGTACTCTGAAAATCAACCAGTACACAACAGCCTCACTCCAAGCTTCTGAACATGAGCCAGTCAGTGATAAACACTTCCCGAAGCCAGCCAGTGGCAGCTCTACCCAGCTCATTGGCAAGTACCTCACTACTGTGCCCTTCCTTCTGGACAGGAGCCTTTCTCCAGTATCAAAGTGGTTGCTAAGATGGACAGACTTTGTTTTTTTTTTTTTTGCTTGTTTTTTGTTTGTTTGTTTTTTTGAGACGGAGTCTCGCTCTGTCGCCCAGGCTGGAGTGCAATGGCGCAATCTCGGCTCACTGCAAGCTCTGCCTTCTGGGTTCACGCCATTCTCCTTCCTCAGCCTCCCGAGTAGCTGGGACTACAGGCACCCCGCCACCACGCCCAGCTAATTTTTTGTATTTTTAGTAGAGACGGGTTTTCACCGTGTTAGCCAGGATGGTGTCGATCTCCTGACCTTGTGATCCGTGCACCTCGGCCTCCCAAAGTGCTGGGGATTACAGGCGTGAGCCACCGCGCCCGGCCCAGACTTTGTTTTACTTTAATCACGCTGATAACTTCTCCTGAACACAGTTCCAGATACCAGGCTCCTCACCACCAAGCATTTCCATGCTATAAAGGGGAATTGGTCTCCCACCACTAAAAGATAAAAAATGATCCTGGATATCTAGATATATTGCTTTATTACAGGGGTCCCACTTCTTGGATTTGTTATTCCTTTCTTAAGAATTAGACTGACTTATGAAGTCCTATTATGGAGAGTATCTTAGGTATCTACTGCTGCATAACAAATCACCCTAAAACCTTATGGCTGAAAACAAAACACACTTATTATCTCTTAAAGTTTCTATGAATCAGTGAACATAGTCAGTCAGTCCTAAAAAGAGAAAAAGGAAAAAAAAAAAAGGTTCTGTGGATGAGGAATTCGGGAGTGGCTTGGCTGGATGGTACTGGCTTGGGATCTCTCATGAGGGTCTAGTCAGGTGTCACCTGGGACTGCAGTCACTTGAAAGTTGGACTGAGGCTGGGGATTTGCCTCAAAGGTAACTCACTCACATGGTTGGCACATAGATGCCAGCTATTAGTGTGAAACTTCCCTTCCTGCGCCGGGTGCAGTGGCTCAGACCTGTAATCCCAGCAATTTGGGAGGCCAAGGCAGGCAGATCACCTGAGGTCAGGAGTTTGAGGCCACCCTGGCCAACATGGCGAAACCCTGTCTCTACTAAAAATACAAAAATTAGCTGGGCGTGGTGGCGGGCACCTGTAACCCCAGCTACTTGGGAGGCTGAGGTAGGAGAATCACTTGAACCCAGGAGGCGGAGGTTGCAGTGAGCCAAGATCCCGCCACTGCACTCCAGCCCAGGATATAGAGCAAGACTGTCTCAAAAAAAAAAGAAAAGAAAAGAAAAAGAAGCCTCCCTTCGCACACCGCGTATCTGTACATGGCTGAGTATCCTCACAACACAGGAGCAGACTTCCACTTCCATCTCAGGTGAGTAACCCAAGAGGTCAAGGCAGAAGTGGCAATATCATTTATGTCCTAGCTTTGGAAGTCACACTCTGTCATTTCCTCAATATACTATCATCACAGGCCAGTCATGATTCAGTGTTGGATACACAAGGGTGTGAATGCCAGAATGAGAATCACTGGGGACCATTTTGGGAGCTGGCTAAACACATTTTTTACCTACCACAGAAACAGTCCTTTCTATAATCTATAGTACTTTTATTGTAACATTTATGAAGCACAATTGTTTTAAATAGATGAATTAGATTTCCAAGAACAATAGCATTAGAACATATATTTATACACTGCCCCTTCTCTAAGCCTATCAAAAAGAGTATCTACCATGAATCTAGAGAAATGGACACACATATATTGGTGTACATACATGTACACATTTTTACACCACAAACTCTAGAGTATCAGACAGTTATTACAATTAGTTCTAATTTGAATTAACTAGAGGGAACAAGATTGGACATGTAACTCCTCCATTTGGTATTATGGTGCAGAGAGAAGAGATGAAAGTTTTGGTAGGCAAGACTAAGTGCCTAAAATCCCCAGGTTGGAACCATGACAGGAATCATGAGCAGTCAGAGGAGAAAATTGGGACCATGCTACAAGAGGCCCATTCTTTTCCAGAACAGCCTCAACAGAAGCAAACTATAGGCAGTGCTGCCTAGAGGAAGCTAAAGGGCAAAAGTGAACCAAAAGATATGGGAAACTTCAGACTTTGCAATTGTGAGTCGGTTCACCTAACAGCAAAATTAAACTCTCTGGAGCTGAATGTCTCTCACCTGATCAATGCCAGAGAGATTAGCTTTCCCTAAAAACACACTATCCCCACCCACTAGCCACTACAATAAGGCAAGAAATAAAAAAGCATCCAGAATTTGAAAGGAAGAAGTAAAACTGTTATTTGCAAACACGATTCTCAATGTTAGAAAATCCTATGGAATCTATAAAACGTTACTAGAACCAATAAGTGAGTTGTGCAAGGTTGAAGGATATGCGGTTAATATATAAAAACCAATTATATTTCTATATGTCAGCAAAAACTGGAAATTTACTGTTTATTATTACAAGTATCATAAGTTATTAAGTATTTATACATGAAAAAGATGAAATTTTTAGATGCATCTGAGGAAAAGTGTGAAAGATCTGCACAGTAAAAATTACAAAACATTGCTGAAGGAAATTAATAAATATCTAAATAAATGGGGAGCTCTACCATGTCCATGGGTCAAAAGACTCTGTATATTTGTCAATTCTCCATAAATTGGTCATTATATTCAATGCAATCCCAATCAAACTCCCAGGAGGTGTTTTGTAGAAAGTGAAAAACTGATTCTAAAATTCATATGGAAATGCAAAGGACCTCTAATGGCCAAAACACCTCGACAAAGAACAAAGTTAGAGAACTAACACTATATGACTTCAACACTTATTAGATTTCAACACTTATTAGATAACTATAATAATAAAGGCAGTGCCTTAATGGCATCAAGACAGACAAACAGATCAATGGAACAGTATCTAGAAATAGACCCACACATATATGGACTTCTGCTTCACAACAATGGTACAAAGGCAATTCAGTGGGGGAACTTTTTTCAAAAAATGGTGTTACAGGCCAGGCAATAGTGGCACAGACTTGTAGTCCCAGCTACTCAGGAGGCTGAGGCAGGAGGATCACTTGAGACCAGGAATTCAAGGGTACAGTACACTGTAATGATGCCTGTGAATAGCACTGCACTTCAGCTTGTGCAACATAGTGAGACCCATCTCTTAAAAAAGAAAAAAATGGTGCTACAATAGGATACTTATATGAAGAAAAAGAAAAAAACTTGGATCCATGCCTCAGACAAAAATTAACTCAATAGATGATAGAATTAAATGTAAAACCTAAAACTATAAAACTTCTGGCCAGGTGCGATGGCTCACACCTGTAATCCCAGCACTTTGGGAGGCCGAGGTGGGCAGATCACTTAAGGTCAGGATTTCGAGACCAGCCTGGCCAACATGGCAAAACCCCATCTCTACTAAAAATACAAAAATTAGCTGGGCATGGTGGCACCTGCCTGTAATCCCAGCTACTCAGGAGGCTGAGGCTGGAGTATCGCTTGAACTTAGGAGGTGGAGGTTGCAGTGAGCAACCTCCGAAGCTGCAATCATTGAGATCCTGCCACTGCACTCAAGCCTGGGCAACAGAGTGAGACTCTGTCAAAAAAAAAAAAAAAAAAAAAACACAAAAACTATAAAACTTCTAAAGGGAAAACTTTAGGAAAAAAATCTTTGCAAATGTGGGTACAGCAAAGATGTCTTAGATTTGACACTGAAACCATGATCCATTAAAAAAAAAGGCTAGACACAGTGGCTCATGCCTATAATTCCAGCACTTTGGGAGGTCAAGGCAAGAGGCTCGCTTGAGCCCAGGAGTTCAAGACCAGCCTGTGCAACATAGTGAGACCTCATCTCTATTTAAAAATAAAAAACTGATAAATTGGATTTCATGCATATTAATGTCTTCTGCTCTTTAAAAGACACTGTCATGATGTGCACCTGTAATCCCAGCTACTCGGGAGGATGAGGTGGGAGGATCACTTGAACCTGGGAGGCAAAGGTTGCAGTAAGCCAAGATGGTGGTACTGCACTCCAGCCTGGGTAACAGAGTGAGACCCCATCTCAAAAAAAAAAAAAAAAAAAAAAGACACCATTGTGAGAATGAAAAGGCAAACCACAGGCTAGAAGAAAATATTTAAAAATCACATATCTGAAAAAGACTTGTATCCACAATAAATAATGACCTCTCAAAGATTAATAAAACAAAAACAACACAATAAAAACATGGGCAAAAAATATGAGCAGACACTTCATCAAATAAGTTATATGGAACACAAATAAGCACAATAGTCATTAGAGAAATGCAAATTAAAACCACAATGGGATAGCATTAAACAATTAGAATAGCTAAAATTTTAAAAACTGACATCAAGTGTAGGCATAGATGTATTGGAAGTACAACTGTCATACAATGCAAGTGGAAATGTACAATGGCACAACCTCTTTCGTAAAACAGTTTTGAAGATTCTCAAAATGTTAAATAGGGTATGGTGGTGCACACCTGTAGTCCCAGCTACTAAGAGTAGGACAGGGGGACTGAGGCAGGAGGATACCCTGAGCCCAGGAGTTTGAGTCCAGCCTGAACAACAAAGCAAGAACTGCCCCCCACCAACCTCTAAAAAATAAAAACATAATAAAAATTTAAAACGTTTAATCTATACCAATCTACCTAATGACCTAGCCATTCCACTCCTGTATCAAGATAAATGAAAGCATATATTCTTACAAAGATGTGGACACAAATGTCCATAGCAGCTTTATTTGTAATAGCCAAAAACTGAAAACAACCCAAATGGCCATCAACAGGTCAATGAATAAACAAATTATGGCATATCCATACAGTGGAATACTACTCAGCAATAAAAAGGAATGAACTATTGATATATATGCAACAACATGGGTGAATCTCAAAGTAATTATGCTGAGTGAAAGACACCAGACCAAAAAATAAAGGAAAATTAATCCAAGTGACAGAAAGCAAACCAGTGGTTGCCTGTGAAGGGCCAAGAGGAAGGGATTATGGAGGGGTACAAGCAAAGTTTTGGGGTGGTGGCTGATTATTATCTTGAACTGTGATAATTGTTTCACTAGTATATTGATAAGTCAAAACTTACCAATAGGATTATAATAATAGGTAAAAATTTTTTTTTTTTTTTTTTTGAGACGGAGTCTCAATCTGTCACCCAGACTGGAGTGCAGTGGCATGATCTTGGCTCACTGCAACCTCTGCCTCCCTGGGCTCCTGCCTCAGCCTCCCAAGTAGCTGGGACTACAGGCACATGTCACCCCACGCCCAGCTAATTTTTTGTACTTTTAGTAGAGACAGGGTTTCAGTGTGTTAGCAGGATGGTCTTGATCTCCTGACCTTGTGATCTGCCCACCTCAGCCTCCCAAAGTGCTGGGATTACAGGCATGAGCCACTGTGCCCGGCCAATAATAGGTAATACTTTTATTATATGTAGTCACTGTTTGAAACACTTCTACAAATAATGCATTTAATCCCCAACACAAACCTATGAGGTAGATTAACTGTCATCCTCATTTTACAGATAAGGAAACTAGTGCAGTTTTTGTAACTTAACCAAGGACAAACACCTGGACTCAAACCAAAGTCTGCCTGGCTCTGTATTATTAATCACTACTCTCTGCTTCCTGCAAAATCAAGCTGGCTGCCAGAGGGGATGCTAAAACCTAACACATTTACATCTTCCCTCATTTCCACAGGTAACAGCAATAATGGTAGGTTCTTCCATGATCATAAAAAATAACTAGATGGAATTGCAAGAAAATGCTGCCTGCTTTGAGGTCACTTGAAACAGCAATGAGAATAAATTTAAGACAAATGGTGCCTTGCACCTGACTCAAAGAGTATATACATCCTGACTTTTGCAAAGGCACAGAGTACAACTGTCTAGTGAAGACAAACTGAAGAATAAGTAGGGTGGGTGGACACTGAACCTGAGATAGGTCTCTGGAAGTTTGCACCCTACTAGGAATGTCTTCCAAGATGCATTTGGCTCCACATGGACAGGGCCCGTTTTTGAATTTAGGAGACTTCTGACGTACGGACTGCAATAGGGAATCCATATATCTGTCTTTTTATTTACTGGTTTACTCCTTGTGTAGTGTTGCACATATGAGAAAGGATGCATGGGAGATAAAGATTTCAGATTTAAAGGGTCTGAAATGCCTTTATTCTATACTTATACTTTGGAGTATAGAATTGCAGGGGAAAACATTTTCCATGAGAAGTCTGAAGGCATACACATTGTCATCTGACTTTGAAGGTTGCTCTTGAAAAATCTAATGCCATTTTCATTTTTTACTGTTTTTGAGACAAAGTCTCACTCTGTCGCCCAGGCTGGAGTGCAGTGGTGCGATCTCAGCTCACTGCAACCTCTGCCTCAGGGATTCAAGTGATTCTCCTGCCTCAGCCTCTCTAGTAGCTGGGATTACAGGCATGCGCCACCATGCCTGGCTAATTTTTGTGTTTTTTTTTTTCAGGAGAGACGGGGTTTCACCATATTGGGCGGGCTGGTCTCGAACTCCTGACCTCATGATCCACCCGCCTCAGCCTCCCAAAGTGCTGGGATTACAGGCACGAGCCACCGCGCCTGGCCCCGCTTTCATTTCTGATCTTTTGTTTTCTCTCTCTAGAAACTTTTTAGGGTCTCATTTTTTCTCCATGATCCTCTTATTCAAACTTGGTGTTTTCATAATTCACAGCAATTTTCCTTAATGTAGGTTTCCCTTGAATCCATCCTGCTGGGCACCCAGCATGTCCTTTAAATCTGGAAACTTACATTTCCTTTTATGTTTCTAAGTTTGTTTGTTTGTTTTTTGGTCTTCTCTAACCATAAAGAGACTTCATGTTGGGGAAACAGGTTCAAAAAACTTAAAGAAGAGTTCATGATGAAAGCCAAGTGTCTAACCAGGAAGGACAGCGAGGACACTGATAAAAAGCATGAAAATAAAGAGAAAAAAGGAGAGGCACAGTGGGCCTAACTATGGATAGCCCTATGCTTGGACAGGTGTCTTCTGAGTGTGTAGTTTCTGATGCAGAATGAATCTTCCACACCAGCTGAAGGTTTTACCACACACTTTACACTCATAAGGTTTCTCGCCAGTGTGAACTCGCTGGTGCTGAATCAGGGTTATTTTCTGATTGAATGCCTTCCCACACTCCTTACATTCAAAGGGCTTCTCCCCAGTGTGAATTCGCTGATGCTGAGTCAAGGCTGTGTTGGAGCTTAATCGTTTTCCACACTCTTTACATTCATAAGGTTTCTCCCCAGTGTGCATTCGCTGATGGACAGTGAAACTTGAGCTGCAACTGAAAGTTTTCCAACATTCGTTACATTCATAGAGCTTCTCCCCAGTGTGGAACCTCTGGTGCTGGAGGAAGACAGAGCTGCTACTGAAGGCCTTGCCGCACTCCTTACATTCATAGGGCTTTTCTCCAGTGTGGATTCTCTGATGCTGAATCAAGGCTGTGTCTGAACTTAAACCTTTTCCACATTCTTTACATTTAAATGGTTTCTTTCCAGTGTGAATTATCTGATGCCGAATAAGTAATGAGTTATATCTGAAGTATTTTCCACATTCTTTGCATTCAAAAGACTTTTCACCAGTGTGACATTTCTCATGTCGGTGGAAGTCTGCCATTTGAATGAAATATCTGCCACATTGTCCACATTCATAAGATATCTGACCACTAGGATTTGTCTGATTTGTAGTGAGTTGTGTGCTGACGCTAATATTTTTTCCTAATTTCTCAAACTTCTCTCCATTCTTGACCTCATAGGCCTCATGGTGCCTGGCTGAGGTATCTGTGAAATGTCTCCTCTTTGACTTTGTCTTAATTATCCAATGACCTTGTGGCTGCTCTAGGCTGCTCCCAAAGTCAAGGTGCTGGGAAACATTCCCTGGCAGGCCCCCCACCATCAGTCTGAAGGACTCTGTTTCTTTGGACACATGATCCTTTGGAGTTAATCCTTCCTTCTCAGTTCTGGCCTCATCCCCTATCACAAAAAGAAAATACAAATGTCAGTCCCTGATATCACACACACACACACACACACACACACACACACACACACAATATCTGTGCTGAAGAAGAAACAGAATCAAGTGGTTCTAATTTGCCCTGAATATATGGATATTTTCTAATATGCTCACAAGATGGCTGCCTAAGATCACCACACAACAGAGCCCTGCAAGGGACATGAAAACTCTATGAGACGGGAGGGAAGCAAGGCCAGGAGGCATTCCCATAAACAGTGTGAAAACCAGAAAACTGCAAAGACTGTTAATTAGGGCAGAAAGACTAAGAGAAAAATGAATGAGGTGGATAAAGATGCAAACATAAAAAAAGTAACAAATGGAAATCCATAAGTGAGAGGAAGACTCCCAAGATTAGAGAAGGGGCAGGCTGAGCAGTTCAAGCACTACAACAGGTCCCACAGGCTGAGATTCCTTAAGAGATGCTTGTTAAAAGACATCATGCATGTCATAACCTTGAAAAGAGAGCTGATCTCTACCATCAAGCTGGCTCTAGTAAAGCAGCAGGCTCCCATGCAGTGGTTGAGGATGCCATGCATGGCAACCACCACAGCATCCAGGAGAAAGGAAGGTTTGGAGGCTTGCCTTTAAAACCAAAAAGCACTGGAAATGTGAAGAACTCTTCCAAGAGTGAATGTAAGTCCCAAAGAGGGCCTGGTAACGATGCTTGCCATTTTTCCTAAAAGGTCTCATAGGTTGTGCATTTGTTTAATACAACAGTTTGAAAAGTGAACTACTAAACTCACATGATAATAAGGGAAAACCAAAGAGAAATATTCCCTCCACTATCAAAACCTTTTGCAGACTAAGTAAAATCTTCAGCCTGCATGCATTCACAAAAAATTGTTCAGAAAATATTTTTACTCAGATGACGTAGGGTCCTGAGGTCACATCCAGAAAGGTACAACTTAAACTCAAGACTTGGGGGTGGATCAGTAATGGGCATTCTCTGCAGAAGAGCACAGAAAATTTTCACAGGCAGAGAATGGGTGAAGCAGAATAAGAAAGATTAAAAAATATACTATGTTTTATGTATTTATTTATTTTTGAGATAGAGTCTCGCTGTGTCACCCAGGCTGGAGTGTGGTGGTGCAATCTTGGCTCACTGCAACCTCCACCTCCTGGGTTCAAGTGATTCTCATGCTTCAGCCTCCCCAGGAGCTGGTACTACAGGTGCACACCACCATACCCAGCTAATTTTTGATGTTTTTGGGTTTTTTTTGAGACAGAGTCTCGCTCTGTCACTCAGGCTGGTGTAGGGTCCAGCCCTACTGGGCCTCTGGGTTTTTCTCCTCATGTGCAGAGACGAGAGATGGTAGAAATAAAGACACAAGACAAAGAGATAGAAGAAAAGACAGCTGGGCCCAGGGAACCACTACCACCAAGATGCGGAGACTGGTAGTGGCCCTGAATGCCTGGCCGTGCTGTTATTGATTATGTACAAGGCAAAGGGGCAGGGTATGGAGTGAGAGTCATCTCCAATGATAGGTAAGGTCACACGAGTCACATGTCCACCAGACAGGGGGCCCTTCCCTATTTGGTAGCCGAGGCGGAGAGAGAGAGGGGACAGCTTACATCATTATTTCTTCTAGAAGGCAGAGCCAGGTGTACAGGGCAGAACATGAAAGTGGACCAGGAGCGTGACCACTGAAGCACAGCATCAACAGGGAGATGGTTAGGCCTCCGGATGGCTGCGGGTGGGCCTGACTGATGTCAGGCCTTCCACAAGAGGTGGTGGAGCAGTCTTCTCTAACTCCCCCGGGGAAAGGGAGACTCCCTTTCCCGGTCTGCTAAGTAACGGGTGCCTTCCCAGGCACTGGCGCTACCGCTAGACCAAGGTCTGCTAAGTAAGGGGTGCCCTCCCAGGCACTGGCATTACCGCTAGACCAAGGAGCCCTCTGGTGGCCCTGTCCCGGCTTGACAGAGTGCTCACACTCTTGTCTTCTGGTCACTTCTCACAGTGTCCCTTCAGCTCCTATCTCTGTATGGCCTGGTTTTTCCTAGGTTATAATTGTAGAACAGAGATTATTATAATATTGGAATAAAGAGTAATGCTACAAACTAATGATTAATAATATTAATATATAATCATATCTATAATCTATTTCTAGCATAATTATTCTTATTCTATATATTTTCTTTATTATACTGGAACAGCTTGTGCCCTCAGTCTCTTGCCTTGGCACCTGGGTGGCTTGCTGCCCACAGGCTGGAGTGCAATGGTATGATCTCAGCTCACTACGACCTCCACTCCCCAGGTTCAACCGATTCTCCTGCCTCCGCCTCCTGAGTAGCTAGGATTACAGGCACGTGCTACCACGTCCATGCTAATATTTTGTATTTTTAGTAGCGATGGAGTTTCACCATGTTGGCCAGGCTGGTCTCGAACTCCTGACCTCAGGTGATCCACCCACCTCGGTCTCCCAAAGTGCTGGGATTACAGGCATGAACCACCACACCTGGCCATATATATATATATATATATATATATATATATATATATTTTTTTTTTTTTTTAGTTGAGACGGGGTTTCGTCATGTTGGCCAAGCTGGTCTTGAACTCCTGGCCTCAAGTGATCCACCTGCCTCAGCCTCCCAAAATGCTGAGATTACAGGTATGAGCCACCATGCCCAGCCTATTTTTAATTCTTATATCAATAGCCATCGAAGTGAGAAAGTTATTCACCTTTAATTTACAATAAATTTTGCTTCAGAAATTTTTTTAAGTATCTGTGGGGGAAAGATGAAATAAGAATCAAAGGATATTTGTGACTGTTGAAGCTGGATGAAGGATACATGGAGTGCATTATGCTGGTGTTTGCATATATTTGAAAATTTCCATTATAAAAACAAACTTTTTATTCTTTAAGTCAGTGCTTAAACAATGTAGCCTATGATATGCAGATGGCCAGCCATGTTGCCAGAAGCCTATTTTCCTCCAAAGGTGGCTGACATCCTCATCTTTGCAAAAACAAACTGGCAGAAAAATAAAATGTTTTCATGTGACAGAGAAGAAATGAGCTGGTTTAAGTGCTGCCCAATCAGACAGTCTCCCTTGGCAGGTTGTGAGGAGGACAGGCAAAGACGAATATGCAAAGAAATCTTACAGTCATTCCTGTCTTAAAAGAGACTGGCCCTTCCCCAGTTGAGGTAGGCTACCACCATGAACTCAGAGAATCACATGTAATGATTCCACAGGAACAAAAACAGTCTCCCAAGAGAAGAAACACTTCTTGCACAATGAAATGTGAAAACAAGAAAGCAAGCCAAGCCAAAAAGGCAGCTAGTGGGTTCTCATGCTCACCTGGACAGATACCTCTGAGAGCCTCCCTGCCCATAGGTTCCCAGGGATCGAGGCCCCATGGCAGTTCCCCTTGCTCCAGCTGGGAGACCAGAACAGGCGTGGTGAATGGGAATGCTGCCCAGGGAGAAAGAAACAGGAAAAGGTAAGGGGAATCAGGAACCAGGATCCTCTTGCAGCCCCCTTTATCTTTATCTGCTGAGCCAGGTAGTGAGAGACAAGGTGAGTCAGGGAGAAACTTAATCTATGCTGCTGGAGGACAGAAATTTCCCACAAAGTGGCACAGAGTCCCAGAATAATCCCACGCTCACATAAGGGAATCTCAAGTTTTCTTCAGAGAACTTGGAAGACACAAGGGGCTTTGCTGTGCTCCCAAGAGCTCCTTTCCCCCCCATGTTTTGGGTACAGCCCCTCCCAGGGTTGGAGGGACAGGTGATTTCAAAACCTGGGAACGCAGGGCTCTCTCCACCCAGAAACTTCCAGGCAGCTCAGCCTTCAGGGCAACAGAGAGTTATTAGAAACCCCACAAAGTTCTCCTGCCAGGAGCGGTGGCTCACACATGTCTTCCCAGCACTTTGGGAGGCTGAGGCAGGAGGATCGCTTGAGGCCAGGAGTTCGAGACCAGCCTGGCCAACATGGAGAAACCCCATCTCTACTAAAAATACAATAATTAGCCGGGTGTGGTGGCGCCCACCTGTAATCCCAGCTACTTTGGAGGCTGAGGCAGAAGAATCGCTTGAACCTGGGAGGTGGAGGTTGTAGTGAGCCGAGATTGCGCCATTGCACTCCAGCCTGGGCGACAGAGGGAGACTCTTGTCTCAAAAAAAAAAGAAAAAAAGAAAAAAACCCCACAAAGTTCTAAGGAATAAAGAAGCCAGGATGCTTAAAGGGCAGAGGCCAAAAACAAGAAGAAATGTCTTACCCAGGGAAGCCACATTTGCATAATTCTCCAGCATCACTTCCCTGTACAGGGCCCTCTGCACAGAGTCCAGGCTGGCCCATTCATTCTGGGTGAAGTACACAGCCACATCCTCAAAGGTCACTGGTTCCTAAAACAACAAGTTCCTGCTCAAACCCTGTGTGAGGGCAGAGGATCAGGCTAAGTAGTGGGGCAGAGATCTACTGGGTCTAGTGGTATTGCCAAGGACAGTTATCCAGCACTCCACCATGAGGCCAGCCCTCAGCCATCTTTGCCCGCACCAACAGGGGAGTCCAAGGGTCATTGCACCCCTTTGTGGTCATCCCCAGCAAACAGCTCTATTTTCATCTGCTGATCTCTGCTTGCCTCCACTGTGCCCTGCTCTGTGTGCCCATCTGTTCCTCTGGGCTCCTTTCCCCAGTGTGGGTTTTGTGTGCACATGCACAGGGGACATCTGTATAAACACAGTGAATAACACTTTTGTACTGATCTTCACTCTCTCCCTAACCCCATTAAAGTGATAGTAACATAATAGCCCAAGAGAAGAGTCAAAGCAGGCTGGGCACAGTGGCTCACGCCTGTAATCCTAGCACTTTGGGAGGCCAAGGCAGGCGGATGGCTTGAGACCAGCCTGGCGATGTTGCCAACAGGGTGAAATCCCGTCTCTACAAAAAATACAAAAATTCGCCAAGTGTGGTGGTGCATGCCTGTAGTCCCAGCTACCTGGGAGGTTGAGATGGGAGGATCACCTGAGCTCGGGGAGGTCGAGGCTGCAGTGAGCTGTGTTTGCACCACTGTACGCCAGCCTGGGTGACAGAGTGAGACCCTGTCTCAAAAAAAAGAGAGAGAGAGAAGAATCAAAGCCAACTAGAGGTATAAACAGAATTTTAGAAGGCAGAAAGAGAATGAATGATAACTAGACTAGAAAAGCAGACAAAGATGAAACTCAACTTCTGGCAGAAGGGGAAGCAAACAAAAAGGGGCCCAATTCACACCACAGAACTAAGGATGAGCTAAGGATTTTGTAAATGTGCACTGTTGTTTATAACTTGGTAAAATATTCTATCTCCTTAAAAGCAACATAGAGAAGGAAGGACCAACAAAGTATTTAGGACAATGAATGAAAAATATCTACACATAGGCATGTAACTGAGACATCTCAGAAAAATGAGAATACACAACAGATCCTACAGGCTTTCAGAGAAGGAAAAACAACACACACGAAGACTGGGAAGTCGAGATGGCAACAGACTAAACACCAAAAGTAAAAGGGTAATGTTTTTGAAAATGCAGGGATTACAGATTACACCTGTAATCCCAGCCCCTTGGGAGGCCAAGGTGAGAAGATTGCTTCAGCTCAGAAGTTCGAGACCAGCCTGGGCAACATGGTGAAACCCCGTCTCTACAAAATATGCAAAAATTAGCCATGCAAGGTGGTGCTCCCAGCTACTCGGGAGACTGAGGTGGGAGGATCACCTGAGCCTAGGGGAGGTTGAGGCTACAGTGAGCCGTGATCGTGCTACTGTACTCTGGCATGGGTGACAGTGGGACTGTCTCAAAAAAAAAAAAATGCTAAGGGAAAACTTCCAGTTCTTATCTAGGTGGAATCACAGGGGCTGGATTTCCCCTCCTGCCTGAAACAAAATAACCAGACAAATTATATAAAACAATTTTCAAGATATCATGCAAAAAACGACAACAATCCCTGAGAAACAGGAAAGAAAAGAAGTGAGCCCTATAATTCCCTAAGCTACTACCCTGAGGAATTTCCAGGCTGCAACACAGGAAGGGGGAACTGAGGCAGAACCTGGCATATTTCCTTGTAGAGTCTGAAGAGACCAAGGCAGCTTGAGTTTATAGGACAGAATGCCAGAGAGGAGAGGGCTGCATAGAGATGGAATCTCAATTATCAGCAGAAGGTCCCTTTAGAGTATTCAACAAAATACAGATCAGTACATGGGTGTGGGAAAACTAACCAAGGCCAGAGAAAGGATCATTTGGAAAGACTGAAAAGAACGATGCCTGATATTTACACACCATTAATCCTATGGAAAATAGGAAAAAAAAGAGCCAGGCACGGTGGCTCATGCATGTAATCCCAGCCCTTTGAGAAGCTGAGGTGGGCAGATCACTCGAGGCCAAGAGTTCGAGACCAGCCTGGCCAACATGATGAAACTCCATCTCTACTAAAAATACAAAAAATGTGCCAGGCATGGTGGTGTGTGCCTATAATCCCAGCTACGTGGGAGGCTGGACACAAGAATCGCTTGAACCCAGAAAGCAGAAATTGCAATGAGCCGAGATCATACCATTGCACTCCAGCCTGGGTGACACAGTGACTCTGTCTCAAACAAAAGAAAAAAAAGAAAAGAAAGAAAATAGAAAAAGAGAATAAAAGGAAACAAAGAACAGATGGGACCATTACAAAACAAGTAGAAAGATGACAGGCCCAGATCCAGCCATATCAATAATGGTATCAAATGTAAATAATCTAAACATCCCAAAAGGCAAACATTGTCATATTGGACTTTTAAGCAAATAAGAACCTACTATCTGCTTAAGATAGTACATTGCTTGAAGAACCTTCAAGAAATGTACGTTAAATATAAAGACAGGGATAAATTAAAAGCAAAAGAATAGAAAAAGACATACCATGACAACATTAGCCAAAGAAAACTGTAAGGCCAGGCATGGTGGCTCATGCCTGTAATCCCAGCACTTTGGGAGGTGGAGGCGGGAGGATGGCTTGCATCTAGGAGTTTGAGAAGAGCCTAGGCAACCTTGTCTCTAGGAAAAAGAAGAGAGCCAAGCACAGTGGTCTGTACCTGTAGTCTCAACTTAGTCTCAACTCCTTGGGAGGATCACTTAGGCCTGGGAGGTGGAGGCTGCAGTGAGCTGTGATTGCACCACTGCACTCAGCCTGGGAGACAGAGTAAGATTGTCTCTAAGGAAAAAAGAAAAAAAAAAAAGCTGCAGTGGCTAAATTCATATAAGACAATGTAGATAGGTAGACAGTCCATATTCTGGGCCATAAAAGAAAGCTCAATAAAATCAAAATGATTCAAGTCATACAAAGTATGTTTTCTGACTGTAATGCAATTAAATTTGATATCACAGAAAGACTCCTGGAAAATCCCCAAATATTTGTAAAGTCAGTAACACACTTCCATAAGAGAATGTACAAAGTATTTTGAACTGAATGAAAATGAAAACACCATGTACTAGAATTTGCGGGATAATGCTAAAGCGGTACTTGGGAGGAAATGTATAGCACTAAATGCCTATTTTACAAAACAAAAAAAAAAGAAAGATCTCAAATCTGTGACTTCAGCTTCCCCCTTAAAACTAAAAAAAGAATAGCAAATTTAACACAAAATAAATATAAAAAAGACATTAAAGATCAAAGTGAAAACTAATGACATAAAACAGAAAAGTAATGAAACCAGAAGCTAGTTCTTAAAGAAAAATTAATAAAATTCATAAACCTCTAGCCAGTGACCAGAAAAAAAGAGAGAATACACAAATCATTAATATTAGTAATAAAAGAAGTGACATCACTGCAGGTAATAAAAGATAAGCACATATTATGAACAACTTTATGTGAATAATTTCTACAACTTAGATAAAATGGATAAGTTCCTTGAAAGGCACAAGTTACCAAAACTCATTTAAGCTGGGCGTAGTGATGCATGCCTGTAGTCCCAGGTACCTGGGAGGCTGAGCGGGGAGGATTGCTTGAGCCCAATTTGAGGTCAGCCTGGGCAACATAGAGAAAACCGTTGTCAAAAAATAAAAATAAATAAATAAAAAGAGATAACCAGAGTAGCCCCTGTATCTACCAAAGGACTCAAAACTGTACTTAAAAACCTTATCAGAAAGAAAACCCCATGCCTAGATAGCTTCACTGTTGAATTCTACCAAACATTTAAGGAAGAAATGCAGTCAACTCTACATAAATTCTTCCAAAATATTAAAGAGGAGGGAATATTTCTCATTCTATGGAACAAAGACATCACAAGAAAAGAAAACTGCAAATCAATACCTCATAAACATAGATACAGAAATTCTAAATAAAATTTTAACAAATTAAATTCAATATATAGTACTAATAAAATAATAATACACCATGACGAAGTCGGTTTTATCCCACCGCAGAGTTGGTTTAATATTTGAAAGAAAAATCATGTAATTCACCACATTAACAAAGAGAGGCTGGGCACGGTGGCTCACGCCTGTAATCCCAGCACTTTGGGAAGCCAAGGTGGGGGAATCACGAGGTCAAGGGATCGAGACCATCCTGGCCAACATGGTGAAACCTGGTCTCTACTAAAAATACAAAAATTAGCTGGGTGTGGTGGCGCGTGCTTGTAGTCCCAGCTACTCGGGAGGCTGAGGCAGGAGAATCGCTTGAACCCCAGAGGTGGAGGGTGCAGTGAACCAGGATCGCGCCACTGCACTCCAGCCTGTCGATAGAGCAAGACTCCATCTCAAAAAAAAAAAAAAAAAAAAACCATATGGTCATCTAAATAGACACAGAAAAAGCAATTGT
Organism: Homo sapiens; assembly: GCF_000001405.40. Classification (NCBI taxonomy): domain Eukaryota; kingdom Metazoa; phylum Chordata; class Mammalia; order Primates; family Hominidae; genus Homo; species Homo sapiens. Next base: position 40,507,050 of record NC_000003.12, on the reverse strand, counting down.
CAAAATCCAACATCCATTCCTATAAAAACTCTCACCAAAGTAGTACTAGAAGAGAATGCCTGATAAAGGACATTTACAAAACAAAACAAAACAAAAAAGCAAGAAACCTACAGTGAACATCAGTCTTCAGTGTGAAAGATTGAATGCTTTCACTTTAAAAGCATAAATAAGACAAAGATATCTGCTCTCACCACTTCTGTTCAATATTGAAATAATGCTTCTAGCCAGTGCAGTAAGGCAAGACAAAATAAAATAAAAGGCATCCAGACTGGAAAGAAAGGAGTAAAACTATCTTTACTCATAGATGACCTATGTAGAAAATACAATGGAATCTACAAAACAGTTACTAGAATTGCTATACTGAAGAAGTAAGTACTTCTCCAAGCCTGCGGACTAGGGTGAAAGGGGTCTTTATTGGATGTAATAATGCAGATTTCCACATTTCATAATTTTTATTTTTAAGCTGGCTTCAAATGCCAAATCCCAACCAATCCCCCCACACTCACTAGTTTTCTAGTCTTAATTTGGGCATTCTCACCTCTCCATCCCTCTCATAGTGACAGATGCACAATGGAAGCCACTGGCCTACACAACTCAAGATCTGAATGCAGAGGTGACACCTGCTCTCTCTTGACATCTAAAGGGTGGGAGGGAGGGAGAGGATGCTCACTCACCTGGCGCCAAGCGGTCTGGAACATGGCTGGCGTCCCAGCTTCACACACTGCCTCAGGGTTCGGAGAAGTGAAACTGAAGAGAAAATAAAGAAGCACCGGTGAGATTGATGCTGCCTCGCACCCCGCAAATGCCCTCTGTGCTACTTGGGCCCCTCTCCTTTCCGCCAACTCCTCACCCCAAAAAGCAAAGGGGTTGCAAAACCAGGCAGAACAAGCCCCAGGAAAACCAATCAGTTACCCGGACCGCGAACCTCTTCAGCTCGGACCGCGAATCCCGCGCGGCGCAGGCGCAGATAAAGCGTGGAAATTCCACCTGCCGCCGACACCGGGGAAAGCTTGAGACCCTCCGCCGGAAGTGCGTTTTCCATGCCCCTCCTCTCTAGGAACCTGGGAAGTTGCCAGTCTCTGTGGTTTCCTACCCCCGCCGTCAGCGCCAGTGTCCCTACTGCCTGAGACAACACGGGCCCGAGCGGGCGGCCCCAGGCAGGGGTCCTGCAGCGCCCACACCTGGTAGCTCCTTCGGGGCATGACGTCTGGCCAGCTCAGGCCACAGAATGGTTACTATCCTGGGTATTATTCGTGGTTATCTGGCATTTGCCACTCTGGGTGTCCTTCCAGATAATGAAGGGACCATCGCGCCCTTCACATGCGCCAAAACTGTCTGGATTGTGTGGGTGCGCTGCAGTGGGAAAAGTGGGTGTGGGGAAAGGCGAACCCATTACTCAGAAGGCCGAATGTGTATGGACTACGTAGGTCCAGAAACCCAGCTGCACCACTTGCTAGTTGTGTGACCTGCAGCAAGTTTCTTTGCCCCGGTTTCCTTGTCTATTAAATGGGTATTATGATGGTGGTACCAACCTCTTGAGGCTGTTCAGGGTTAATTCATTAAATTAGTTAATTGATAGGTAAATTATTTACAGTTGTGCCTGGCACATAGTATGTACTCGTGAGTTTGTATTGTTTTGTTTTCCAATTGTGTTTTTTGAAGACACAAAATAGGTGCTGCTGGGACTCCAATATGTGGCGTGCTTTAGGGAAATAGATTTTTTTAAGGACAATTTTCGAAGTTTAGCGAAAGAGCTATTAACATTTGGCTTAGAGCCCTTTCCTGCCCTGTACTGGGATGTGTGTCCCGGCCCAGCCTGGAAACAGATTTTAGTTATTCCTTCCACAGGAATTAGATTTATCCACCACTTTCAAAACAAGTCCTGCCATGGAGAGTATATTATGTATCTACTGCTGGATAATAAACTACTCTAATGCTTTGTGGCTAAAAACAATAAACATTGTTATCTTTTGACAGTTTCTGTGGACCCAGAATTCAAGAGCAGCTTGGCTGGGTGGTACTGGCTGAGGGTCTCTGCTGAGGTTGCAGTCAGGTGTCATGTGGGGCTGAAGTCATCTGAAGCTTGACTGAGTTTGGAGGATCCACCTCCAAGGTGGTTTACTCACATGGCTGTCAAGTGGGTGCTGGTTGTTGGCAGGAAGCGTCAGTTCCTTCCCATGTGAGGGTTTTCACAACATGGCATGTAGCTTTCTCCCAAAGTGAGCAATCCAAGAGGCCAAGGCCAAAGCTTTTATGACCTAGTTTTGGAAATCATGCATCATGATTTCCTCAATACATTCTCCTCAGATTAGTCATGATTCAGTGTGGGAAGAGATACACAAGGTTTGAATGCCAGGATATGAGAACCATTGGGAGCCATTGTGGGGCCACCTAGCACAGAGATTTTAACTGTCACAGAAACAGTTCATTTTATAAAATCTATAGTATTTTCACTTTAAAGTTTATGCACAGCACTTGTTTTAAATAATTAGATTTCCAGAAACAATGGCATGACAAGGACATACATGTGCATACTGTCCCTTCGCTAAACCTATTAAAATGAACATTTACCATGAGTGGGTGCACATAAACGTACATACATATACACCACAAATTCTAAACAGTATTAGCCAGTGGAAAAAAACATGATAAATTGGACTTAATCAAAGTTAAATCTTCTGCTTTTCAGAAGATACTTTTAGAGAATGAAAAGACAAGCCACAGACTGGGAGAAAATACCAAAAATATTTGATAAAAGACTTGTTTCCAAAATATATAAAGGACTCTCAAAACTCACTCATAAGAAAATAAACCAATTTTTAAAAATAGGCAAAAGATTTGAACAGATACTTCACCAAAGAAGATATATGGAAAGCAATTAAATATTTGAAAAGATGCTCAACATTGTTAGTCATTAGAGAAATGCAAATTAAAACCGCAGTGAAACAGTATTACACACTTACTAGAAAAGCTAAAAGTAGAGACAACATCAAGTGTAGGCAAAGATGTATCAGAAGTGGAACCCATACAATACTGATGGAAATGTACAATGGCACAGTCTCTTTGGAAAAACTTTGCAGATTCTTTAAAAATTAAATATACACCTACCTTATTATCTAGCCATTTCACTCTTGTTATTTACCCAAGAGAAATGAAAACATATGTCCTTACATTACAAAGACTTGCATACAAATTTTCATAACAGCTTAATTTATAATAGCCAAAAACTGGAAACAATTCAAATGGCCATCATTTGAGTTAAGTTGTGGCATATCCATACAGTGGAATACTACTCAGTAATAACAAGGAATGAACTACTGATATATATGCAACAACATGGGTGAATCTCAAAATAATTCTGTGTTGTGAAAGACATCACACCAAAAAAAATAATAACTTTAAAAAGAGTACATACTGTGTGATAGCATTTATATAAAATTCTAGAAAAGGAAAACTATAGTAAAAGAAAACAGATTGGTGGTTTCTTGGGGCTGGAGGCAGGAGAGGAGCAGGCTGGAATGGAGAGATTATAAAAGGGCATAAGGAAACTTTTTGGGGTATGATTATGTTTGTTATCTTGATTGTGTTATTTTTTGAGAGACATATACATATGGCAAAACTTATCAAATCATACACTTTATGCATGGCTTATTGTATGTCAGTGATACCTCAATTTAAAAAATATATACATACTAGAAAGACAACATAATCTTAAAATGGGTTGTGTCCTTAAATCTAACCCTAGTTCTAATCCTGATAGGACAAACTTGAAGGAAAAAGCCATTCATCAGGGAGGAGAATCTGCAGGCTGAAAATGCTCTCTAAATTCTAGGAAATTTTAATGGGGAAAAACCAGCAACAAGACATATCCTAGTGAAATTACGAAAATTTAAGATTTAAAGTTCTGCAAATTTCCAGACTGAAAAGGAAGCAAAATCAGGCTGCCTCAGACTTCTTCTTGGCAATATTAGATGCCAAGACACACACATGGAGCAGGGTCTGGAGTAATGCTTCTCAAACCTTAGTGTGTCCACGAAGTCACCTGGTAGCATTGTCAAAGAGTAGAGTTTGATTCAGTGAGCTTGTAGTTCTGATAAATCTCCCAGGTGATGCCAATGCTGCTGGTCTTCAGGTGACAATTTGAGTAGCAAAGGTCTACAGAAGTGGTTATTTGGCTGGGCGCGGTGGCTAACACCTGTAATCCCAGCACTCTGGGAGGCTGAGGCAGGCAGATCACCTGAGGTCAGGAGTTTGAGACCAGCCTAGCCAATATGGTGAAACCCTGTCTCTACTAAAAATACAAAAAAAATTTAGCTGGGCATGGTGGCACATGCCTGTGATCCCAGCTACTCAGGAGGGTAAGGCAGGAGAATTGCTTGAACCTGGGAGGTGGAGGTTGCAGTGAGCCAAGATCGCGCCACTGCACTCCAGCCTGGGTGACAGAGCAAGACTCCATCTCAAAAAAAAAAAAAAAAAAAAAAAAAAAGTGGTTCTTTGTAGCATCACCTTATAATTACCTAGGGAATTAAAAAAAAAATACTGATACCTGGGACCTGCTCCCAGAGATTCTGAAATAATTGGTCTAGGATTCAGCCTAGGCATTGGTATTAAAAAACAAAAACAAAAACACAACATCCCAAGTGGTTCTAATGGGCAGTTGGGTTAAGAGCCTCTGGCATGGAGTGTTGAGGGAAATGAACTTAGTCTAGGAAGTATATGCTCAACATGGTACGGTCTTTGTAGAGTATCTATCAGCATACAACAGCCCCTTTAACTGCCCTCCTCACCAACAGCAGTGAGTCCCAGATAGCTGTGTAAATACTGTGTAATTCTGCTCCCCCACCCATAGTTGAATTAATCAAGAATGAATATATGATCTGAGTGGGGCCAGACCACACTCTTTCCCTGTAATTAGGAGGTGAGATAACGAACAGTCATTCCTTAGCAGGGTCTAACTGTGGACAGCCCTACTCTTGAACAAGTGCCTTTTTTTTTCTTTTTGAGACAGAGTCTTGCTCTGTCACCCAGGGTGGAGTGCAGTGGTGCGATCTTGGCTCACTGCAACCTCCACCTTTGGGATCAAGTGATTCTCCTGCCTCAGCCTCCCAAGTAGCTGGGATTACAGGCACCCGCCACCACACCTGGCTAATTTTTGTATTTTTAGGAGAGAGGGGGTTTCATCATGTTGGCCAGGTTGGTCTTGAACTCCAGGTGTGAGCCACTGTGCCTGGCCTTGAACAATTGTCTTCTGAATGTTTAGTTTCTGGTACAGAATGAATCAGAATTCAAGGCAATCTTGGAGCTTAAGTTTTTTTCCGCACTCCATCCATTTATACAGCTGCCATCACCGTGGAGTTTTCTGATGCTAAAGAAGGTGGGTGTTCTGGCCGGGCAGGTGTTTCATGCCTGTAATCCCAGCACTTTGGGAGGCAGAGGACGGGCCAATCACTTGAAGCCAGGAGTTCGAGACTGGCCTGGCCAACATGGCGAAACCCCGTCTCTATTAAAAATACAAAAATTAGGATGGGTGAGGTGGCTCACGCCTGTAATCCCAGCACTTTGGGAGGCCAAGACGGGTGGATCACAAGGTCAGGAGTTTGAGACCAGCCTGGCCAATATGGTGAAACCCCATCTCTGCTAAAAATATAAAAATTAGACGGGCATGGTGGCGGGCACCTATAGTCCCAGCTACTTGGGAGGCTGAGGTAGGAGAATCGCTTGAACCTGGGAGGTGGAGGTTGCAGCGAGCTGAGCTCGTGCCATTGCACTACAGCCTGGGCGACAGAGTGAGACTCTGTCACAAAAAAAAAAAAAAAAAAAAAAAAAAAAAAAAAAAAAAAAAAATACAAAAATTAGCCAGGTGTGGTGTGGTGACACGCACTGTAATCCCAGCTACTCGGGAAGCTGAGGCAGGAGAATTGCTTGAACCCGGGAAGCAGAGGTTGCAGTGAGCCAAGATTGCACCACTACACTTCAGCCTGGGTGACAGCACGAGACTCCATCTCAAGAAAAAAAAAAAAAAAAGAAGGTGGGTGTTCTGATTAAAAGCTTGTCCATTCCCTACATGGCGTACCGTTTCTCCCTATGTGGATTTTCTGGTGCTGTGAAAGTTCTGACCTATATTTAAAGGCTTTTCTACATTCTTTACAATTGTATGATATCTTCCCAGGGTAAATTCTCTGATGTTGGTGAAAGACTGACCTTAGTTTGAAACATCAGCTTCACTCACCACATTCATTAGATCTGTTCTGTGTGAACTCTCAGATTTGTAACAAGGTGCATGCTGTCACTAATGATTTTACCTAATTTCTTAAACTTCTCTTCTGAACAGTGGAGGGACCTATATTGCCTGACTGATACATCTATGAAACCTCTCTTCTTTGTCTTTTTCTTCCTTGTGCAATGACCCTGCTGCCACTCTAAGCTGCCCTAATGGTCAGAGTGCTAGACTGCATCCCTTGCTGATGTCAGTCCTTGGGGTTCTATTTCTTCAGAAGTTGGCAACTGTGGATTAGTCCCTTAATGACAATTCTGGTCTTATATGGTGACATAACAAAAAGAAAAGACAAGGCCAGACATGGTGGCTCGCACCTGTAATCCCAGTACTTTGGGAGGCCGAGACAGGCAGATCACTTGAGGTCAGGAGTTTGAGACCAGCCTGGCCAACATGGCAAAACCCCATCTCTACTAAAATACAAAAACTAACTGGGCATGGAGGTATGTGCCTGTGGTTTCAGCTACTTGGGAGGCTGAGGCACAAGAATCGCTTGAACCCAGGAGGCAGAGATTGCAGTGTGCCAAGATTGTACCACTGCACTCCAGCCAGGGTGACAGCAAGACTCAGAAAGAAAGAAAGAGGGAGGGAGGGAGGGAGAGAGGGAGGAAGGAAGGAAGGAAAAGGAAAGGAAGGAGGGAAGGAAGGGTCAAATTTCAATCATTAGCTGGGCTGGAGGAGAAAGTCAATCAAGTGTTACTAGGTTACTTTCTGAGTATATGGTTTCTTCCCAACAGACTAAAATGGCTGCATAAGGGCCAGAGGAAACAAGGACAGAGACCTAATGGGATCCCACAGAAAACTGAAGATGCTGGTAATTAACAGGATGGGTCAAAAGAGGAGCTATTTTGTTTCCAGAAGCAGGGCGACAAGAATTAAAGAGTGTAGAGGGAGATGAACAGGTCCCTTCAAGATGGGAAGGAGGTTAGAGAAAAGAGTGAGGTGGAAGAGGGAGAAGCAGCAGCAAGAGCATGGGAAGAAGAAACAGGATGTGCCTGGGTCTGGAGGAGAGGGCTAGGTGAGCAGCTGCAGCACCACACCAGATCCAGCAGGTTGAGAAGCACAGACCAGGAACCGAGGGTTCCAACACCCAACCAACGACTCTTACTTCCAGAAAATTCTATGTTCAAATATTACCCATGAAATATTCTGTGATAAGAGAGAAAATCTTCATCAGAAAGTTGGCTGATACCGAAAGCAGATAAGAAAGCTACTGGCTGCATAAGGAATATTCTTAGTTAATCTACAATTTTAGAAGGCTATTCTTTTCATTAATGAAGGCCATTAGTGGACTAATCAGATGACCTATAGCTGCAGCAAAGAGGATTCACAAGTAGATGCAGAAGGACTGTTGGGAAGTTTTCTTACTGAAATAGCCTTAAGTCCTAGGGCAGGGTCATTACTGGGAAGGGAGTGCTTCAAGGTAATGGTGGGGCTGGATTGAAAGGCACTATGCTATAAAAGGATTCTGTATAGCTTGATTTGAAATTGGAACAGGCTGAAAATAAGAAGAAAAGCCAAAATATATGTCTCTGGATTTTTTTTATCTTGTTCAATTAATTTATTTCAAATGAAGAAAGCCAGTTTCCATCCAGTTACAATCATGAATTCCTCAGAGTTTATTGTTAGGTCAATATTTAGAAACAGCATTACATTTTCTCACAGAAACAATGAACAATAATGATTATGTTTGCTTCCAGGCTAGCTCACAGAAGCCTATATTCCTCTAATTGTAATGAAAACACATCTTTGTATTGAAAATAGTAGAAAATTATACTCTGGCTTCTCTTCAGATCATATAAATCTTTCACCTTTTACTAAAGATTTCCATGGAGAGGAACACCTCTGAGTCTTAAGATACCATCTCATGCCAGTTAGAATGGCGATCATTAAAAAGTCAGGAAACAACAGATGTTGGAGAGGTTGTGGAAAAATAGGAATGCTTTACATCGTTGATGGGAGTGTAAATTAGTTCAACCATTGTGGAAGACAGTGTGGTGATTCCTCAAGGATCTAGAACTAGAAATACCATTTGACCCAGCAATCTCATTACTGGGCATATACCCAAAGTATTATAAATCATTCTACGATAAAAAACACCTGCACACGTATGTTTATGGCAGCACTGTTCACAACAGCAAAGACTTGGCACCAACCCAAATGTCCATCAATGATAGACTGGATTAAGAAAATGTGGCACATATACACCATGGAATACTATGCAGCCATAAAAGAGGATGAGTTCACGTCCTTTACAGGGACATGGATGAAGCTGGAAACCATCATTCTCAGCAAACTATCACAAGATCAGAAAACCAAACACGCCTGTTCTCACTCATAAGTGAGAGTTGAACAATGAGAACACATGGACACAGGGAGAGGAACATCACACACCAGGGCCTGTAGCTGGGATTATAGGCGCCTGCCACCACACCTAGCTAATTTTTGTACTTTTAGTAGAGACCGGGTTTCACCATGTTGGCCAGGCTGGTCTCAAACTCCTGACCTCAAGTGATGCACCCACCTCAGCCTTCCAAAGTGCTGGGATTACAGGCATGAGCCACCGTGCCCAGTGACCCTATCTCTTAAAACAAGCAAACAGACAAACACAAAAACAAAGAGGAAAAGCAGGAAGGGAAGCTCACAGGTTCTCTCACTCCCCAGAACAGACACCTCTCAGGGCCTCTCTGCCAAGCAGCACCCAGGGATCTGGGCCCCATGGTATTTCCCCTTGCTCCAGCAGAGATATCAGAACTTGTTTTGGGAATAAAATGTTTCTCAAGGAGAAAAAAAAGGAATAGGAAAATGTGGGGAGTCAACCAGAATTGATATCTGGAACTCTTTTCAGCCCATCTTCTGCCTTTAGCAAGTGGAGGAAGAACTGGAACACCCCGGAGAACAAGTGAGGCGGGATCTCAGGGAAAGTGGAGCACTCTACAGAAGGAGCCCAACTGTCTTACTCAGGAAGGAGCGTAACACATCTGGCCCTGTGAGAGTGTGGGCTGAAATAGTGGTAGTATCCCACCCACATGGTAGGAGGCTAAGATCTCAAGAAAACAGGGATGGTGTAGGGACAGAGGGCTCAATTAGGGCATCAAAAAAATTTTCATTTCCCATTGTGCCCAAAGCAGAGCCTCTACTAGGGAACTGGGGACATCTGTTTCAATACTACAGAGAATCTAGGGCTCTCCCTGGCCAGCAGTCCCTGAGGCGGGTGAGTTGGGTAACTCAGCTCATGGAATTCTGAAAATGAGCTTATGAGAGATACCTCAGCCTATAAGAGGAAAGAAGCCAGGAAGCTAAGTACAAAGGCTAAGTCCTAGAGAGGGCGTCATCTGGAGAAGCAACAGAACTGTATCTCCCATACCATCTCTGTACAAGGTCTTTTGAGCAGGCATCAGGCTGGCCCATTGTTTGTAGGTGAAATAGAAAGTTGTATCCTTGATGGTCACTAGTTCCTGAAACAAAAGATTCCTACTCAAGCCCTGGGTGGGAACGTGGGAAGGAAGCAGATGCGCTGTAGATAATTAGATGGCCAGATGAAGACCAACATAGAAAATCAATAGTATACCCCAAAATTCAGTTGGAAGATGGACAAGACCTATAGCGCACACATGCACGTGTGCACGCATGCGCGCGCACGCACGCGCGCGCGCGCACACACACACACACACACACACACACACCCCTTCACTGAAAAACATAAAAGAAGAACTGAATAAATAACAAGAGAGAACATGTTCATAAGTGGAAAGCATTATTTTTCTAAAACTGTCATTTCTCATTTAATCTATAAGTCACTGCAATCCCAAAGGAAATAATTTTTTATTCTAAAGTTCTAAAGAATCTGGATTATGAAGCTTATACAGAGGGACAGATGAAAAGACTAGTGAGAATATTTTTTGGGGAAAAAGGAAATTTGCTGTACCCATATATCAATCCATACTATAACATTACAGTAATCATTTCCTGACTGTCAGGAGATCAAGACCATCCTGGCTAACATGGTGAAACCCTGTCTCTAATAAAAAATACAAAAAAAGTAGCCGGGTGTGGTGGCGGGTGCCTGTAGTCCCAGCTACTGGGGAGGCTGAGGCAGGAGAATGGTGTGAATCAGGGAGGTGGAGCTTGCAGTGAGCCGAGATCATGCCACTGCACTCTAGCCTGGGGAAGAGAGCAAGACTCCGTCTCAAAAAAAAAAAAAAAACTAGCCAAGCATGATGGTGCATGCCTGTAGTCCCAGCTACTTGGGGGACTGAGGCAGGAGGATGGCTTGAGCCCAGGAGGTTGAGGTGGCTGCAGTGAGCCAAGATCTCCCCACTCCACTCCAGCCTGGGTGACAAAGTGAGACCCTGTCAAGAAAAAAAAAAAAAAGAGGAGAGGAGGATTTGGCCTCCAGGGCATGGCATCATATAGGGAAATATTAATAGCTGTTTGTGTCTCTTTATAAGCCCTCACCATTCCTAGGACCTTGTCCAGGGGGGCTGGACTGGTAAAGATGAATCTAACCATCTCCAGTCTGTGCTCCATCGCCATTCCCTCTAAAGTCCTTGTTAACACAGCAAGCTTTGACATACTGAGTGTTACCCTCCCCCAAGGGGAAGCCTACAAACTAGAGAAGTAGCCCAATTTCATACTCTCAAGTGCAGAGGTGTATTAGCCAAGCTTATTATAATTTGGACTGAACTGTAAGAGGCAGAGTTCTTCCCCCACAGCTTGTTAACTGCTGTTAAGATATAAAGAACAGGCCGGGCGCAGTGGCTCATGCCTGTAATCCTAACACTTTGAGAGGCTGAGGCGGGGGCATCACGAGGTCAGGAGTTCGAGACCAGCCTGGCCAACTGGCAAAACCTCATCTCTACTAAAAATACAAAAATTAGCTGGGCATGGTGGCACATGCGTGTAATCCCAGCTACTCGGGAGGCTGAGGAAGGAGAATCACTTGAACCCGGGGGGTGGAGGCTGCAGTGAGCCAAGATCACACCACTGCACTCCGGCTATGGGAGCAAGGACCCTTCTTGGAGAAAAAAAAAAAATATATATATATATATAGAGAGAGAGAACGGGGAGTTTATGGAATGAGATGTGTCTGAAGGTGCTACTAAGAAATCTCAGCTTGGGAAGATGACGGCTAGGGGCAGGGGCATTCAAGGAGAGGCAGGAAATACCCTACCAGAGACCTATTCTGGTAGAATAGGAGATTCCAGAGACTTATTAGGAGGAATGGCAGTAGTGACAGAATTAAAGGAGAGATCATGCAGCCACACAGTTGTTGTTACCACCAAGACAGCTTCCATATTGGAGTGGATATGAAAATACAAAAAAAAAAAAGAAGGAGAGGAGTGAGGAGGGGAGGGGAGGGGAGGGGAGGGATAACCAGAACTGAATCAAATGGAGAGCTATAGCCAGAGAGCCAGCCTTGCTACTGTTGAGTTGCTTGCACACATATATCCCAAACAGAAAGACCCAACTCACTCAGCTATGGCCAGAGGTGGCTGTTTACCCCAAAGACAGAGCCCCAAGGAAATCAGAGGAGACTATATCCCCATTTCCCTAACCCCACCAGCTCTTCCACCCACTGGCCAGTCACAAACTGTCATCAGAGGAAGATGTGAATGCAGTCTGAGAGATCACTGAGAGCCAAAAAACGTTAATAGAGTATAATCAACACCAAGGCAGAATGAATTGTCAAAAATAAATTTATGAAAGCTTCCAGGCAGAAGAGAAAAAAAAAAATCCTGAGGCTTCTCAGTTATCTTAGTTGTCAGGAGACATGAAGCAATAGAAATGAGGGAAAAGACTGTGATCTAATTAGCAACAGGCATCTTTTGGGTGTCTCATCAGCCCGGTTAACCACCCCCTCCCAAAGGATGGGGCCCTGGAAGCTTCATTTACATCACATGACCCAGCCCCCTGGGCCATAGGATCAGACCAGAAGTGAACAACCAACCCAAACTAAGCAAATCCGATTCTCTCTGCCAAGAATTAGGAATTAAGTCTGAGAGATTCTAACTGAATTTGGGCTGGTCTCTGAAATGGAGTTGTAAACTTAGGACCTCTGGCAATTTCTGCCCTATGCCTAGGATCAGAGAAAGCAGGAAAGCAAAGAGCAAAAAAGGGATCAGAAGTGAGGAAAGAGCTGAGATTGAACCTGAGTGTGCTGCCTGTTGTTCCTGATTGCTTGGATTTTCCACGCTCCAGAACTTCTAGTTGCATTCTTGCCTTTGGGTGCCAGGGTGCATGCAGAAATCCTCATAATAAATTAAGTGTATTTAAGTTAATTCAAGTAGGTTTCTGCTATTTTTAAACAGAATCCTAAATAGCACACTTAGCTAACTCACTGTTAAAGGCAAAAGTCTGAAAACAGCACAACTTAGTTAATAGCCATCCGTCTTTCCTGAAGAAAGTGGACATTCCTTACGCAAATCTTGAACTAGCAAGTAGAGGGGAGTATGAACGGTTTCTGCTCAAATTCTCACATAAGTATTTGGGTTTCTTCCCACACCAACAACCAGTTCTTCAGCTCTCTGGACACCAGCTAGGTGTCTAACAATTCAACTCTGGCACTAACTACCCAGAGTTAGCATCAAACCATACAGGTTAAAGGCTCAGTCCCACAAGACTGTCCCCACTTCAGATGCCAATCATAAGTTCTGGGCCACTGTACTTCTGTTCCCGTAACCCTCTTCTCATGTTTGATAATGTGCTAGAATGGCTCACAGAAATCAGGAAGGCACTTTACTTCCTATTACTGATTTATTATAAAGGACACAACTCAGGAACAGCCAAATGGAAGAGATACAAAGGGCAAGGTATGGAGGGAGGGGCATGGACCTTCCATGCACCACCCTTCAAGCACCTCCATGTGTTCACAAACCTGGAAGCTCTCTGAATCTCCTTGTTTAGGGTTTGTATGGAGGTTTCATTACATAGGGATGATTGATTACATTATTAGCCATTGATGATTAGCTCAGCCTCCAGCCCCTCTCCCCTTCCCAGAGGTTGGAGGTTGGGGTTGAATGTTCCAGCCCTCTAATTATTCCTTGATCTTTCTGCCACCAGACCCCATCCCTAAGCTATCTCAGGGACCTCAGCTACCAGTCATCTCATTAGCATACAAAAGACACACCACTCTGGAGGTTGTAAGGGTCTCAGAAGTTCACGTGCCAAGAACTAAGACTGAATATTATAACAAAAGATGCTCTTATTACTAGGAAACTACAAGGATTTTAGCAGCTTTATGCCAGAAACTGGGGAAAAGGACAAATATATCTTTCTTATTGTATTACAGTATCACAAGGGGAAAAGTCAGTATGTTTAGCTATAACCATTTCACTTTCCGAAGAAATAGAAGGCCAGGTGCGGTGGTTCATGCCTGTAATCAGAGCATGTTGGGAGGCCGAGGCAGACGGATCACCTGAGGTCAGGAGTTCGAGACCAGCCTGGCAAACATGGTGAAACCCTGTCTCTAGTAAAAATACAAAAATTAGCCAGACGTGGTGGCTCATGCCTGTAATCCCAGCTACTCAGGAGACTGAGGCAGGAGAATCGCTTGAACCCGTGAGGCGGAGAGTGCAGTGAGCCGAGATCACGCCGTTGCACTCCAGCCTGGGTGACAGAGTGAAATTCCATCTCAAAAAAAAAAGAAAAAGAAGAAATGGAAACTCCTTGGGGCCGGGCGCGGTGGCTCACACCTGTAATCCCAGCACTTTGGGAGGCTGAGGCGGGCGGATCACAAGGTCAGGAGATCGAGACCATCCTGGCTAACACGGTGAAACCCCGTCTCTACTAAAAATACAAAAAATTAGCTGGTCATGGTGGTGGGCGCCTGTAGTCCCAGCTACTCGGGAGGCTGAGGCAGGAGAATGGCGTGAACCTGGGAGGCGGAGCTTGCAATGAGCCGAGGTTGCCCCACAGCACTCCAGCCTGGGCGAGAGTGAGACTCTGTCTGTGTATAATATATACACACACACACTATATATATACACACGCATACCCACATACACACACACACACATATATGTGTGTGTGTATATATATATATTTCTTATTTATTTATTTATTTTATTTATTTTTTCAGATATGTCGCCCAGGCTGGAGTGCAGTGGCAAGATCTTGGCTCACTGCAACCTCCGCCTCCCAGGTTCAAGCGATTCTCCTGCCTCAGCCTCCCAAGTAGCTGGGATTTCAGGCGCCCACCACCATGCCCGGCTAATTTTTGTGTTTTTAGTAGAGACGGGGTTTCACCATATTGGCCAGGCTGGTCTCGAACTACTAAACTCAGGTGATCCACCCACCTCGGCCTCCCAAAGTGCTGGGATTACAGGCATGAGCCACTGCGCCCAGCCTATATTATATATATTTTATAAAATATATATATAGTGGCTTGGTCTCACAACTCAACTCTAGCATAGCATCATATGATGCGTAACATTATCCTTTTTTAAATTAAATTAAATTTTAAAAAATTATTTTTAGTAGAAACACAGTTTTCCTATGTTGCCCAGGCTGGTCTTGAACTCCTGATTTCAAGTGATACTCCTACCTTGGCCTCCCAAAGTATTGGGATTACAGGTGTGAGCCACCACACCTGGCTACAAACTTCCTTAACTTAAACATTCCTTTCTGGTAACTCCAAGTTCTTAGACCACACTTTGTTCTTCTAAACAATTACAAATTAAATAATCTCTGGCCCCGCACGGTGGCTCACGCATGTAATCTTAGCACACGCCTGTAATCCCAGCACTTTGGGAGGCTGGGGCGGGTGGATCACTTGAGTTCGGGAGTTCAAGACAGGCCCGGCCAACATGGTGAAACGCCGTCTCAACTCAATTGCACCACTGCATTCCAGCCTGGGCAACAAAGCAAGACTCTGTCTCAAAAAAAGAAAAAAAAGACTCTCTGAACCCACCTATGACCTGTATTCCTCTGCTTCAAGATATCTTGCCTTTTGGGACCAAACCAATGTATAACCTCCATGTATTGATTGATGGCTTTTTGTGTAGCTTCTGCTTCCCTGAAATGCATAAAACAGAGTTACATTCTGACTGCCTCAGGACTACTTACTCAAGGTTTCCTGGGTTTGTGTTTTCTCCAGGCCACGGTCACTTCACATTGGCTCAGGTTAAACGTCTCTGAAATATTTTTCACAGTTTGTTTTTTTACATTAAGTGCTGGGATTACAGGCATGAGCCACCGCGCCCGGCCACAAAGGTTTTTTTAAAAATGTAGTTTTTTAAAAAACAAAGGTTTTTTTAAAAAACCTTTGTGGCCGGGCGCGGTGGCTCATGCCTGTAATCCCAGCACTTTGGGAGGCTGAGGCGGGCAGCTTACCTGACGTCAGGAGTTTGAGACCAGCCTGACCAACATGGAGAAACCCCATCTCTACTAAAAATACAAAATTAGCCAGGCATGGTGGCGCATGCCTGTAGTCCCAGCTACTCGGGAGGCTGAGGCAGGAGAATTACTTGAACCTGGGAGGCAAAGGTTGTGGTGAGC
Organism: Homo sapiens; assembly: GCF_000001405.40. Classification (NCBI taxonomy): domain Eukaryota; kingdom Metazoa; phylum Chordata; class Mammalia; order Primates; family Hominidae; genus Homo; species Homo sapiens. The sequence goes on along the minus strand of NC_000003.12, from coordinate 40,491,278 downwards.
CAAGATCGCGCCATTGCACTCCAGCCTGGGCAACAAGAGTGAAACTTCGTCTCAAAAAATAATAAATAAATAAATAAACCTTTGCATGTTGTTATACTGCCCTGAAGCAGTGATTCTGAGAAGGGTCAGTCTCTAGGCAGTAGGCCAAACCAGTGAGATCATAATGTCTGGTAAGATCAGTGTCAGTCTGTTTTCTGTTACTATAACAGAATATCACAGATTGGGTAATTTATAAAGAAAAGAAGTTTATTTAGCTCATGGTTCCGAGGGCTGGGAACTGTGGAGGGGCCGTATCTGGCCTTCTTGCTGTGTCATAACATGATGGAAAGCATCACATGGCAAGATGGCAAGAGCATGCATGTCAGCTCAGGTCTCCCTTCCTCTTCTTATAAAGCCATCAGTCCCATCATATGGGCACCAACCCCCATGCCATGTATAACTTTTAACTCCCCAAAAATGTAACTACTAATAGTCTACTGTTGACCAGAGCCTTACTGAAACAGTCGATTAACACATATTTTTTATGTTATACATATTAGACACTATATTCTTATAATAAAGCTAGAGAAAATATTAAGAAAATCATAAGAGAAATTATATTTAGTAAATATAATTCACTATATTATATGGATCATCATAAAGGTCTGTATCCTTGTCATTTTGTTAAGCAGGCTGAGAAGGGGAGAGGAGGGAGACTGGTCTTGCCATCTCAGGGGTGACAGAGGCAGAAGAAAGTCCATAAGTGGACCCACACAGTTGAAACCCAAGTTGTTCAAGGACCTCCTGTAATCTCTAAGAAGGTTCAGACTTTCCCTAGTCTTCTCTTCTAAGCCTTGGCCAAAATCACCCTTAATGCTCCATTAGATAATACAGGCTTTGTCTGACCTGATCTTCCAGATTTTTCAAGCCTCTACCCATTACTCAGTTCCAAAGCCACTTCTACATTTTTATGTAAATGTCAGAGCAGCAAACCTACTTATGGCTATCAATATTCTGTCTTGTTACATTTTGTGTGGCTCTAACTGAATACCATAGACTGGGTAATTTATACAGAATAGAGGTTTATTTAGTTCACAGTTCTGAAGGCTAAGAAGTCCAATATAAAGGTGCAGGCATCTGGTAAGGGCTTACTTGCTGCATCATGACATGGCAGGAGGCATCAAAAGGCAAGACAGAGCAAGCATGTGTCCCAGTTCCAGTTGCTCTTCCTCTCCTCATAAAGCCACCAGTCCCATCATGGAGGCTCCACCCTGATGAACTTGGCTAATCCTGATCACCTCTTAAAGACCCCCCACCCAGTACTGTTACAATGGGGATTAAGTTTCAACAAGAATTTTGCTGGGGATATTCAAACAATAGCAATCTGCACACTGAAAACATTTCTTGGTGTCATCAAAACAGTTCTTTATAAAACTAATTTAAAAGTGCCACCAATAAAATTCAGATTTAATCATAGGGAAATCTGGAGTAGGTGTGAGGACATATCCAAGGGCCTGCATAGTAACTCATCAGGAATGGACTCACTTCTGAGAAACTACAGCAAGTCATGGTCAGGTTTCTCTTCTTTGCCTCTGGTGCTCACCAGTGTGATGCCAACAAGTTCCATCCATGTACAGCTTTAGAGATTACTATACTCAGGCATCTACCCTAAAGGGTACAAGTCCAAGTCACTTTTTGTACCTACATATATGAGTGGGTACTGAAATTCAACAGATATGAAAAGGAATAGAGGCTGGACATGGTGGCTCAAGCCTGTAATCCCAGCACTTTGGGAGGCTGAAGTGGGAGGATCATTTGAGTCCAGGAGTTTTGAGACCAGCCTGGGCAACATGGCAAAACTCTGTCTCTACAAAAAATACAAAAATTAGCTGGGTGTGGTGGTGTATGCCCCCAGGGCTCAAGCAATCCTCCCACCTCAGCCCTCTGAGAAACTGGGAGGCTGCACTACCTCCCAGCTTCTTGGGAAGCTGAGGTGGGAGGATTGCTTGAGCCTGGAAGGTCAACACACTGCAGTGATCCATGATCGCACTACTGCAATCCAGCCTGGATGACAGAACAAGAACCTGTCTCAAAAAAAAAAGGAAAATGAAAATAGAGAAGGAACCCAAATTGAAAAACCATATCCCCTTCCAATAAAGCTCAAAGACATAATTTTACATTATTGCTATCAATGCCAACTCATCACTTCATTTTCTTTTTGCATAAAAGGACCCTCATAATTTTTTATACTATCAAGGTAATAAAAAATTCCAAGTCTTACATTCTTTCAGTGAGCCTTGCCCCTGGTCCACCAAATGGCCCTCCTTAACTCCTGAAAGCAGGCCAGATGCAGTGGCTCATGCCTGTAATCCCAGCACTTGGGAGACTGAGGCAGGTGAATCACCTGAGGTCAGGATTTTGAGACCAGCCTGGCCAACATGGTGAAACCCTGTCTCTACTAAAAATACAAAATTAGCGGGGCGTGGTGGTGCATGCCTGTGGTCCCAGCTACTCGGGAGGCTGAGGCATGAGAATCACTTGAACCCTGGAGGCAGAGGTTGCAGTGAGCCAAGATCACACCACTGCAAACAGCCTGGGTGACAAGAGTGAAACTCCGGCACCACCCCCCACCCCCTAAAAAAAAAAAAGCTCTTGAAAGCAATCATTGGACACTTTATCTGATTATGTTCTCCCATAGGCTTTGCATTTCTCCTAGTCTCTAATTATAATGCCCCATCTCATCATAATCATAATGCCATATGCCCTAAACCCCAAAATGTTCTGCAAACTCTTCCAACTCCAGTAGCCCCAGAAGAGAGATGCAGACTGATAATACAGCCCAAATGTGGACACGATAAAGAATAAGTACTGCCATTTCCTACCGGGGGATAAAAGAAACTAATCAAACATGGTCCTTAAGCGTGAGAATTTAAAATGAAGTTAGGAAAACAGTAACAACTTATACAAGACAAGACCAGAGGAATATCAATAGACACAATCAGGAGACCAGTGGAATCCCTAACTTGAGGTGCAAAGGATTTTGAGAACGTGACGGGGCTTACAGGGAGTGAGACAAAGGATTCGGGCTCTGAAGGGATGACTTCCCAGGAAAAGCGAGATCCTGAAAAAAATGTGCTATTTGGACAGGTGAAGGGTTGGCCTTTTCAGATGAGGGAAGCAGCAGGAAGAAAGGCACAGAGGGAGGAAGTACCACTGCATGTGAAGAAGATAAGGGAGGCCCTGGTGGGGCTAGGGCAGAGCAGGTATGTTGGGGAGGCAGAGGAGAGAGGATGGCGCAGGGACAGTAGGGCTTAACTGCGGATAGCCCTGTTCCATTGATGAGTTTCTTCCTAGTATGCCACTTCTGATGCTGGATGAAACTTGCATTCCATCTGAAGGCTTTCCCGCACTCCTTACACTCATAAGGTTTCTCCCCAGTGTGAACTCGCTGATGCTGAACCAGAGTGATCTTTTGACTGAATGTCTTCCCACATTCCTGGCATTCATAGGGTTTCTCCCCATTGTGGATTCTCTGATGCACTATGAAGCGGGAGCTACAGCTGAAAGTTTTCCAACATTCATTACATTTGTAGAGTTGTTCCCCAGTGTGGAACCTCTGGTGCTGAAGAAATACCGAACTGCGGTGGAAGGCCTTGCCACACTCTTTACATTCATAAGGTTTCTCCCCAGTGTGGATTCTCTGATGCTGAATCAGAACTGAATTAGAACTCAAACTCTTCCCACACTCCTTACATTCATAGGGCTTCTCCCCATTGTGAATTCGTTCATGGATGATGCAGTCATAGCTACAACTGAAGGCTTTCCCACATTCCTTACATTTAAAGGGCTTCTCCCCAGTATGGATTCTCTGATGCCGAATCAGTTTTGAATTATAACTGAAGGTTTTACCACAGTCAGTACATTCATAGGGCCTCTGTCCACCATGGAGCTTCTGATGCTGAAGAAGGTGGGAATTTTGACTGAAGGCTTGTCCACATTCCTCACATGAGTATGGTTTCTCTCCAGTGTGGATTTTCTGATGCCGTGACAGTTTTGAGTTATATCTGAAGGTTTTCCCACATTCTTTGCATGTGTAGGGCTTCTCATTAGTGTGAACTCTCTGATGCAGGTGAAAGTCTGAATGTGGGTTGTAGTAACTGCCACACTCACCACATTTATAAAACACCTGTTCTTTGGCAAAACCCTGCTTTGTAATGAGATGTGTGCTGACACTACTTTCTTCCAATTTCCTGGCTATCTCCTCCCTTTCAGTGGTGGAAGATTCATGATCCTGGACTGTCAAATCTGTGCAATCCCCTATCTTTGTTTTATTCCCTGTATCATGTAGCTGTGACTTCTCTAACCTGTCCTTGAAGTCAGGGTGCTGGGGAACGTCCATCAGCAGTCCCTCCACTATCAGTCTGTGGGACTCTGATTCTTTAGAAATGTTTAGCTGTGCAGTTTTTTCCTCATTCTCAGTCTTGGTTTTACCACCTAGCATGATAAAAAGAAAACATAAAAGTCCCTTATTTATTCCAGAAGGGAAAAGGGTTAATCAGTAACAGCTTGCCCTAGACACATGAATTTTTTTTTTTTTTTGAGTGGAGTTTCACTCTTGTTGCCCAGGCTGGAGTGCAATGGCATGATCTCGGCTCACCACAACCTCCGCATCCCAGGTTCAAGTGATTCTCCTACCTCAGCCTCCCAAGTAGCTGGGATTACAGGCATGTGCCACCACACCCGGCTAATTTTTTGTATTTTTCATAGAGACAGGGTTTCTCCATGTTGTTCAGACTGGTCACGAACTCCTGACCTCTGGTCAGCCTCAGGTCAGCCTGCCCAGCTCAGCCTCCCAAAGTGCTGGGATTACAGGTGTGAGCCACCACGCCCACTAGACACATGAATTTTTTGAGAGAGACACAGCCATCTGATGGTACCTCAAGGGGAAAGTAAACAAACTGGAGTTTGAGAAGGTAAGCAATCCCACATGGATGACAAAAACAGTGTGGATGGCAGAAGCTATTAATTGAGGCAAATGGTTAAAGAAAAATGGGAATGGGGTGAAGTTGCAGGAAGGGGAAGCAATGAAGAAAAGTAGAGGAAACCAAAGGTGAGAAAAGCAATCTCTAAACCAGAGAAGAGAAAGATGGGTAGGCAGCTCTAGCACCACATAGTATCCAGAGGGCTGGGAGGTACTGTCTACAACAGTGGATCTCAAAGTCCAATCAAGGCATAAAACCTGTCAAAATACTTTAAAATATTCTGTAATTTTTAAAGAAATGCTCTCTAGTTCTCTATCACAAGCCTGGCTGGACAGAAAGCAGTTTGTAACACTGCTGCTTATAAAGGGTTCATGAGAAGACCACAATTTTAAAACCCAAGTGCTGTCCTTTGGGAGACTGACCTTTGAAAGGAAAAAAGGCCCAGCCAAGAACCTGCCCATAATGGAGATGGCAATTGGAGCGGGGGTATGGGGATCATGCTTTCACTGGTAGCACCACAACATAGAAACCTTTTTTGCCTGTCAAGCACCAAAGATCTGACAAATGAAACTTTCATCTTAGTGTTTTTTGAGGCTTGTTGACCATGACTCACATTTTGGATCCTAAAACAATACAGACATGTGCACACACACACACACACACACACAGCTGAAACCGAAACAAAACAATGTCCTTATTAAGAGTGATGTATTCATGCCGGGCACAGTGGCTCATGCCTGTAATCCCAGCACTTTGGGAGGCCGAGGCAGGTGGATCACCTGATTTCAGGAGTTCGAGATCAGCCTGGCCAACATGGCAAAACCCCATCTCTACTAAAAATACAAAAAATTAGCCGGATGTGGTGGCGGGCACCTGTAATCCCAGCTACTCATGAGGCTGAGGCATGAGAATTGGTTGAACCTAGGAGGCAGAGATTGCAGTGAGCCAACATTGCGCCACTGCGCTCCAGCCTGGGGGATAGACCAAGACTCTGTTTCCAAAAAAAAAAAAAAAATGATGCATTCACAATAGACTTTATACTACTTTAGTCTTTATCTACACCTAATACAATGTAGTCTAATTTTTAAATGCTGGTAACAACTCATTGATGAGTTGCAACCCAGAGTTTAAAGAATATGGTTCTAGATTGTCAAGAACAGTGGTCTCAAATGGTGGTCCCTGGACCAGTATCATCTGGGAACTTGTTAGATATGCATATTAATGGGGCTGGGTTTGGTGGTGTGTGCCAGTAGTCCCATCTAATTAGGAGGCAGAGGTGAAAGAATCACTTGAGCCCAGGAATTTGAGACTGGCCTAGGCAAAATAACAAGACCCTATCTTGAAAAAAAAGAAAAAGAAATGCACATTCTCAGCCCCACACCAGTCTTCTGAATTCGAATCTCTGGAGGTGGCACCTGGCAATCTGTGTTTTAACAAGCTCTGCAAGTAATTCTGATACATACGAGAGTTTGAAATTTACTAATCTATAAACTACAAAAAACAGATTGAGGCTGCTGTTTTCATTGTTTAAGGCTGCACTTTCCCAAAAGGTGGCCACTAGCCACATGTGGCTATTTAAATGTAAATTAATTAAAATGGAATAAAATTAAAAACTCAGTTCCTCAGCTGCACTAGACACACTTCAGGTGTTCATGTGATTCATCTGGCAGGCTAAATAGAAAATGTACACCTGTGGCAAGGGGAAACACTAACAACTGCAGGAAGGATACTGGGAAAGCCCCTACATGATCTGAAATGCTGAAATCAATTTAAGGTATTGATTAAGGCAAAGTGGGGAAATTAGAAAGGAGCATTTGCCTTACAGAGGCTCTGAATAGCATAAAAGATTGACAGAATATGATAACAGAGCCCATAGAATAAGGAAAGCTGTATACCAAATCTCTGATTGGTCTTTACATTTAACTCAATTCAGTATCTTTCAAAAAAGAAAACCATTCATTCCCAATACATAAACAAGCTTTCTTTCAAAAGCTAATGTAAAATTCAGTGTTTATGAACTTAGAAAAATTCCATTTACATATATAGTTTTATACACACACACACACAAAATGTTCTTATAAAAACAAGTTCTAGCTGGGCGCGGTGGCTCATGCCTGTAATCCCAGCACTTGGGGAGGCTGAGGCAGGAGAATCACTTGAGGTAAGAAGTTCAAGACGAACCTGGGCAACATGGTGAAACCCTGTCTCTACTAAAACTACAAAAATTAGCCGGGTGTGGTGGCGGGCGCCTGTAATCCCAGCTACTTGGGAGGCTGAGGCAGGAGAATCGCTTGAACCTGGGAGGCAGAGGTTGCAGTGAGCCGAAATAGTGCCACTGCACTCTAGCCTGAGTGACAGAGCAAGACTCTGACTCAAAAAATAAATAAATAGGCCAAGTGCAGTAGCTCACACCTATAATCCCAGCACTTTGGGAGGCTGAGGTGGGCAGATCAACTGAGGTTGGGAGTTCGAGACCAGCCTGACCAACATGGCGAAACCCCATCTCTACTAAAAATACAAAGTTAGCTGGGTGTGGTGACACATGCCTATAATCCCAGCTACTTGGGAGGTTGAGGCAGGAGAATCGCTTGTACCTGGAAGGCAGAGGTTGCGGTGAGTGAAGATCACGCCATTGCACTCCAGCCTGGGCAACAAAAGTGAAACTCTGTCTCAAAAAATAAACAAACAAATAAATAAATAAATCTATTTTTTAAAAACCAAGTGCTTGGCCAGGCATGGTGCCTCACACCTGTAATCCCAGCACTTTGGGAGGCCGAGGGTGGGGCGGACCAAGAGGGCAGGAGTTCGAGACCAGCCTGGCCAGCACAGTGAAACCCCATCTCTACTAAAAATACAAAAATTAGCCAGTCATGGTGGCACGCGCATGTAGTCCCAGCTACTCAGAAGGCTGAGGGAGGAGAAACACTTGAACCCAGGAGGCGGAGGTTGTGGTGAACCACAACTGCGCCACTGCACTCCAGCCTAGGCAACAAAGCGAGACTCCATCTCAAAAAAAAAAAAAAAACCAAAACCAAGTTCTTACTATATTGTGTTTATATTCCTGAGCTGACGAACCAACAGAAGCCTGTTTGAAATCTTTTGTTTTTTAGAGATAGGGTCTCACTCTGTCACCCAGGCTGGAGTGGAATGGTGTGATCCTAGCTTACTGCAACCTCAAACTCCTGGCTCAAGGGATCCTCCAGCCTCAGCCTCCTGAGTAGCTGGCACTATAGGCACATGCCACCATGCCCAGCTAATTTATTTATTTATTGTAGTGACAGGGTCTTGCTATGTTGTTCGGGCTGGTCTTGAACTCTTGGCCTCAAGCACCCTCCCACCTTGGCCTCCCAAAGTGCTCGGATATAGGTGTAAGCCACCACATCCAGCCTGAAATCCTTTAGCTTTACAAAGAAAAATGGCAGAAATAAAATGGCGGGACTCGTCTTTTCTAGTTCGGGGATGAAGTTCTGGTAAGCAACACTTCTTTGAATAAGAGTGACTATTTTAATCCCCACAACCATCATATGACAAGGAAAAACCTTTTTCATGCTAAATTGTTAAAAGAAAGGAGGAGGCAAAGCTGGAAAGGAGGATGGTAGGCTCTCCTGCTCACCTGTGCACATGCCTCTCAGGGCCTCTCCCCCAGCAAGTGTCCAGGGATCTGGGCCCCATGCTGCTTCTCCTTGCTCCAGCTGGAATATCAGATCTGGTTTGGGGAATGGAAATGCTGCTACAGGAGAAAGAAAAGGAACATGAAGCTGAGGAGAATCAACACTGACCTCCCTCAGACTACACTCTGCTTTGCCAGATGAAAATAGAAGAGGATGGCCCAGGAGACTAAGTGAAGTCAGGGAGGAGTGAATCTGCAGAATCTAAGGAAGGGCTTGAAGCTTACTCTGGCCTCTAAGAGGACAGAATGCTCCCAGAGTCACTGGGGGGTGTGTACACGAGGGCCCTAGGGGACTCACACATAGGCAATAGGGCCAAGATCAGCTCCAGGGAACTGGAAGATGGAAGGAATGAAGACAGTGCACCAGGAACCTTCTCAGTTCTCTCTGTATCCAGAGGAAAGCCCCCTGCAGTTGGGTCTCCATTAGGAACCAGGGAAGAGAAAAGTCCTGTTAAACACCAAAGTGAACCGAGCTCTTTCTCCATCCAGCTACCCCTGGCACTGGGGATTAGGGAGCTCAGCCCATAGGGCATCAATTCTGATGGTATTAAAGAGATCCTAGTTCTGCTAAGGAGGAATCTAGGAGCTCCCAAGGGCAGAAGCTGAGTTTCAGAGAGGAAGGAGGACTTACACAAGGAAGTCACATTTGCATAATTCTCCAGCATCACCTCCCTGTATAGGGCCCTCTGCGTAGGGTGCAGGCTGGCCCATTCATTCTGGGTGAAGTACACAGCCACATCCTCAAAGGTTACTGGCTCCTGAAACAACAGGTTCCTGCCCAAGCCCTGCACAAGAACAGAGGGAGAGGCCTGAATTCCAGGAAAGGGATAAATTTACTGGAATCCATGGCACTGAGCCCCATGGAAGGTTTGTACTGGCAAGGAGAGCCACACAGGACCCCAGCAGGGGCAGCCCCGAGCCAGCATTCCAACTTTCCATGTGCATACCTCTGGGGCCCTAATATTATCATCCTAAGTACACAGCCCAGCACCTGTTGTTCTCTGCCTGGTGATCATGTCAACCCATGTCTGGTTCCACAGGCCAGGTATATTTTTCTGGCATGCTTTCTAAATCGACCACAGCAGGTAACCGTCTTTCACCCTGCCTCCATCCATCCTGAAGCACGTATCAGGGCCCTCCACCCAGCTTCTTTCTGGTCTTCCTCCTCTACATCTTCTGCTACAGACAGAGGAGTGATTTCATGAGGATAAAGTTCCTTTCATCCTGGATATTTCTCCCCTTTCTATCATCTTGCCTTATCAGAAGCTATTAATAGTTCTCCCTTGAAGGTGATGTGCAGTGTTACTTCTTTGTCTCCTAACACACTTCACTCCAGGACAGGATGGCAATCTCCCATCCTTCTGCAGAAATCTGCCCACTGATCACCTAAGCTCTGTCTGACCTGCCAATGCTGTCCTCTTCATTATGTGTCTCTCTCTTTCTGCTTCCCACTAAAACCACCTCCAGCTTCTCAGGGAAGAAGGACACCATCACAGGTTGTTTAAAGCTTTGTCCTGTGTCAGTTACTTTTAAATCAATTTGCTCAATCATTATAGCACATCTGTGAAATAAGAATTATTATTTCCATTTTCAGATGATGGGAATGAGCAATATTAAGCACTTTGAAATAGACTAAAAGGAGTCCTCTTTGAGTATTTATTACAAGGTTGTATAAGGAAGCAAAAAGTTCAAAATGAACTGACCACTTTTATATAAATTAGTCCCATTAAAACATCTATCTCTGACTCACACTGTAGTCTTTCTCAATTCATCATGTCAACAACCTTCTCTTTGTACTTAAGTCTCTTCTGAGTGAAGAAATCTAACATAGAAGTACTAGAAGATTTGGGCTGGGCACAGTGGCTCATGCCTGTAATCCCAGCACTTTGGGAGGCCGAGGCGGGCAGATCGCGAGGTCAGGAGATCAAGACCATCCTGGCTAACATGCTGAAACCTCATCTCTACTAAAAATACACAAAAAATTAGCCGGGCGTGGTGGCAGGCACCTGTAGTCCCAGCTACTCGGGAGGCTGAGGCTGGAGAATGGCGTGAACCCCGGAGGCAGAGCTTGGAGTGAGCCGAGATTGCACCACTGCACCCCAGCCTGGGCGACAGAGCAAGACTCCGTCTCAAAAAAAAAAAAAAAAAGTACTATGCAGTCATCATTGTAAAGATTGGTTTGGGCAAAAATCATCAATGGATGCTAAATCTAGGAGGAAATTTTGATGAGAAGCAGAATATTTGCATGATCTTAAATGTCTCCTCATAGATTGCTTATTAGTTACAAGAGGAAAACAGTAACTATACAGTAATCAGAATACCCCTTAGCCAGAAAGTTCAAAGGTGGCCGGCATGACTGAGGAACTTTAATTGATTTCAATTTAAATAGGCACATGTAGCTAGGGGGTACCTTCCTGGACAGTGCAGAATAGATACATCTGTTAATACTCTTCTCTTACTTCCTTCAGAGTCAACAACTAGCTGGGAATATGGACCTCAACTTTTCTTGACATTATGCTCTACCTCTCCATACCTCTGAAACATCACTCTAATTATCAGCACATTCTTTGGTTCCTTGTTTTCTGAAACACTTAGCTTCTCCAGATCTTCTCTATCTGTGATCACTCTTCTGTCCTTTACTTGCACTTACTCTTTCTCCATTAAGTGGGGCTATTGACTCCCTTCTATAGGAAGTGGGTTACAGGGGCAGCACAACATAGTGGCAAATGGCACAGATGTTAAGGCTATGGCTCTCAACATGGGGGCAATTCTGTCCCCCAGAGACTATGTGGCAATATCTGGAGACATTTTTAGTTGTCAGAACTGCAGTGTGGTGGTAATGGTAGTGCTACTGGCATCTAGTAGATAGTGGGCCAGGGCCATTTCTGAATATCCTATAATGAACAGGACATCCCCCAAACAAAGAATTATCTGGCCCAAATGTAAATGATGCCAAGGTTGAAAAACCCTGCTCTAAGCTAGACTCCCTAAGTTCAAATAGTATCTCTAATACTCATTAGCTGTTAACTTTGGATGAGACAATTAAACTTTCTGTGCCTCAGTTGCCCCCATTTGTAAAACTGGGATAACAATAGTAATTATCTGAAAGGACTCTTACAAGAATGGCATTAAGTTATTATCTGTAACGCACGAAGATATCACCTGGCACATGATATCATCTAAATCTCAGCACTTACTACAACCACAGATGAGATTGGGGGAACTTCCTAGAAGATTCTAAATGACAAATGTTCCTCTTAGAGATTGTAGCAAAGACTGACAGGTGTGTGTGTACCCCCTTTCTTTCTTAGTATTGGAATCCTAATTTTACTTGAGGTTGCACTCAACCCGGGCAACCAAGTGGGGCCAATGAAATGCAAGTATAAATATTGTTGGGGACTTATGGGAAGGTTCCTAAAAGAGAGAGGTTCATCTTTTTTTGGGCAGCTCCTCTTCTAGCTGGAATGCACACATGATGGCTAGAGATCAAGCAGCCACCTTGGACAATAAAGTGGCCTAGAGCAGGTGAGACACTGCTAGGATGGTAGAGCAGAAAGACAGAGCCTGAGAGCATAATAGGGGAGCTGCCACACTAGCCCTGTATTGACTCTTGATACTTTTGTATGAGAGAGAAGCCTTTACCTCGTTTAATCCACTGTCATTTGGGGTCCTCTTTGGGGAATCTAATCCTAAGTGATTTCTGTACTTCAGGCAAAGCACCAGGAGAGCACAGCATACCCCCACAGCACACTTCCTGACTTGTAGGAATGAATTTTTGCTGAAGTTCTCGAACAGAAGTGGATGGTCCAATATCCACCAAAAGGACACACACATTGTTTTTAAGTCCTTGGGATGGAGCTTTCTCATTACAAGATACATCCATTACATGATAAACTCAGCTTTCTCATTCCATGATCTAGGACACTGGAGAAAAATCCAGTAAAACCATCATCTACCACCAAGAAAACTGGAGGGAAAAGTCCTCCCAATGCTACATGAATTTGTAGCCAAGAAAGGATATAGACTCTCACAGAGGTTAGACTGACGTCTTCGCATTGAGCTAAAGGCACTGGCTTCAGCTCCAAACTCATCATTCCTCCAAAAATACATCTCCCTCATCAATCTACATTTTCCACATGTTTCCAGTTCTGGCTTCACTGTACCTTAACTGAGTGGTCTGCAGGGTAAACTCCTCCCTTGGAAGTGTCTATTTAACCTCAGAAATGGCTTTTCTTTGTGTACTGTGAACGCAGACTAGCACTCCTCAAATTTTAATCTGCCCTTTAATTTTCCAGATCTTGTAAAAATGTAGATTCTGATTTAGGAGATCTGGGGAGGGGGCCTGACATTTTGCCTAACAAGAGCCCTCTGTAATGCAAAAGCTGCTCATCTCCAGGCCACACTTTCAGTTCTCATGAATGCAGATTCCCACTTTCTAGGATAATTCATTCCTTCTTTTCCAACCTACCTGACTCTCCCAAATTCACCTACTCTCGTTCGTCAACTCCCCTCGCATACTGTTTTTACATACTTTATTGAAGGATGTAAAACTAAGCATGAGACTGGCCAAGTCAGGCTACTGGGGCTGTACTGACCTTCCATATCTGTTCTGAGTATGGAAAGCTGAAAGAAAGCTCTGCTCACCTGGAACCACACTGTCTGGAGCATGGCTGATGACCCCTGGCTTCATGCACTGCCCTCTAGGTTTGAAAAAGTAAGAACCTGCGGAGCTAAGAGAGAACCACAATGAGACTGATCTGTCTCGTCTCCTACACTTGCCGCCTCTTCCCCTCTGTCTCCTGCCACTAGCATTGCAGATATTCTTGGCACACTAGCTGCTGTCATTCACCCTCTCCACTGATTCATGGGATGTTGCAAATGCTCCCTCTGCATATTCTCCTATAGATCTGCTTGGTGACACTGGAAACTCTAGAAAGAATATCTGTAAAGTAAGAGTCAAGAACTGCAGTGGATTCGTGGCTGTTTTTTAAAAAAAATTCTTGGCCCCACTATGAATGCATTACTAAACAGTTTGTATTGAATGCTTCTAGTGTTCATGGCAAAAACCCAAAACAAGTCTCTGGAGAGAAAGTAGGATATAACGGGGACCCCTAAACAAACCACAGGCTGCAGGACAAAATATAAGTGGTGACCCAGCCCCGGGTGACAAGGGTAAGACGCTTAATGTCCCAGCGGGTGATGCTGACCGAAGACCTAACCGGGATCTGAACGCTCCACCCTGGGAAGCAGGAGACCCTATAGTCACGGCTCCCATCCTCCCCATGAATACCGCGACCCGAGGACATCAGGCCAGCTCCTCGGAGCAGGAAGGTCGAGGGCGTCTCTGAAGACTGGGGACTGGGCCCAGGCTCTGGCGGCGGCGCGGGCCCCTCGGCGACCTCTGCAAGGGCCCAAAGCCTGACCTCCAGAACAGGTAGCCGAGTCAGGGAAGCCCGGGAAACTCAACCCGAGCGCTCGCAAGGTGGCCAAGACGGAAGCATTAGCTGGCCGGCCGTCGGTCCCTACAGCCTCTCTAGGAAGCCGGGAGGCTGGCCCTTCTCTATGGTTCCCACGAAACGAAACTCCAACCCTTCGCTTCCCTTCTCCACAACCGCTCTGCGCCTGGTTTGTTTGTTTTTTAATTTTAATTTTTTCGTGTGTTTTTTGAAACGGGGGTCTCGCTATGTTGCGCAGGCTGTTCTCGAACTCCTGAGCTCAAGCTGTCCGCCCGCCTCGGCCTCCCAAAGTGCTGGGAATACAGGCGTGAGCCACCGCGCCCGGCCGCTCCTGTTTTTCTTTATTATTTTCTCTTATGTCTTAGTACCCCAACTACATGATAAATTCCTCCATATTTAACAATTTGTAACTTAATTAACTGAATTCCTAATTCCTTACCTAATTACTTAATTCCTAACTTAACCTTCTAATGAATTTATAGCCCCTGTCTCCCACTGAATGACTGTGACCTAAGACCATGGGGTATGGTGTCTCATTGTCTGCGTTCCTGGCTCCACTCTATATGGACTTGCTCAAGTTATACTTAAATCGTTGCCTCAATTTATCAGTTGAGAATGGTAAAAGTTTGTAATTTATAAATTCAGTGAATTAACTGAGTCAATTCATGCAACAGTTTTGTAAACCAAAAATAAAATTCTAAGTCCCCCAACCAACTGAATGGACCACTTCTCTCAGCCAAAACATTCCAAAGAAAACCTGGCAATCTAGTTCAGGCCATGATGGGAAGCAGGGGATCGGACTTGCCTCGTTATGCCCTTGGAATTCAGGCACTACGGACCAGCATTAACATTAAAACAGAGATCTTGAGACTGACTAAAACTTTTTTTTTTTTTTTCCGAGATGGAGTCTTACTCTGTAGCCCAGGCTGGAGTACAGTTTCCCGATCTCGGCTCACTGCAACCTCCGCCTCCCGGGTTCAAGCAATTCTCCTGCCTCAGCCTCCTGAGTAGCTGGGATTACAGGAACGTGCCAACACGCCCGGCTAATTTTTGTATTCTTAGTAGAGACGGGATTTCACCATGTTGACCAGGCTGGTCTTGAACTAGACCTCGTGATCGCCCGCCTCGGCCTCCCAAAGTGCTGGGATTACAGGCGTGAGCCACCACGCCCAGCCCAAAACAAACTCTTTATAGCAATAAGACATCAAATTCTAACCTGACTCTAGTATAGTCTCATGTGACAGATAACAGGCCCTGAAATAAACTGAAGTATTTTACCCTAAAATGTATTTCTTTGACATATTTTGAAATGACCCTGTAAAGCTGTCTTTTGTGAAGAAAATCTACATCCTGTAAAGAATCCCCTTCACTTTCAAAGTGTTTTCCTTGATCCAGTAGAGAATTAACTAAGAGTTTGGCACCTTTTGAAGTCTGGTAAGAAACATTTACAATCGTTTCTCTCTGAAGCCTGCTACCTGGAGGTTTCATCTGCATAATAAGAACATTGGTCTCCAAAACCCCTTATCTTAACTCAGACATTCCCTTCAATTGATTCCAGGTCTTTAGCTAATAACTTTTTTTTTTTTTTTTTTTTTTTGAGACAGAGTCTTGCTCTGTCGCCCAGGCTGCAGTGCAGTGGCGCGATCTCGGCTCACTGCAAGCTCTGCCTCCCGGGCTCATGCCATTCTCCTGCCTCAGCCTCCTGAGTAGCTGGAACTACAGGCGCCCGCCACCATGCCCAGCTAATTTTTTGTATTTTTAGTAGAGACGGGGTTTCACCGTGTTAGCCAGGATGGTCTCGATCTCCTGACCTCGTGATCCGCCCGCCTCGGCCTCCCAAAGTGCTGGGATTACAGGCGTGAGCCACCGTGCCCAGTCCATAACTCTTTCAACTAATTGCCAGTTAGAAATCTTCAAAAGAAAAGAAAGGAAAGGAAAGGAAAGGAAAGGAAAGGAAAGGAAAAAGGAAAGGAAAGGAAAGGAAATCTTTGAATCCACCTACGCCCTGGAAGGTGCCCCCACACTCCCCACTTCGAGTTGTCCCTCCTTTCCGGATGGAGCTAATGTACATCCTACATTTATTGATTGATATCTTATATCTTCCTAAAACATGTAAAACCAAGCTGTAGCCCGACCACCTTGAGCACAAGATCTCAGGACCCCCTGGGGCTGTGTCGTGGGTCACTGGTCCTCATATTTAGTTTAGAATAAATCTCTTTAAATATTTTACTGAGTTTGACTCTTTTTATGGACAGAGTCCAGTTCTGTACTGAACTAAGTCAAAATAAGTGCTATATTATTGCTGACATTATTATTATTCGTGCGTATCTCACCACTCTCCTGTAAGACACTCCCGTATCTCTTTCTGCAGTCCAGATTTAATAACACTCATGGCAATAGTGCTTCCTATTGGCCAGGCAGTGTGCAGATAGCTTGGAGTTAGAGGTCTGGGTTTGAAACTGCCTGTTGATTTCTAATTATTCTACAAAAGCCTAAAATTCAAAATGTTCCAAACTAATCTCATCATCCTTCCCTCATCCCCCTGTTCCTCCTCCAGGGTTCCCCCACCTCAGTGAATGCACCAGTTTGCATCCAACCAAGAAACTCATTACACTACTGAACTCCAGCCTGGGCAACAGAGTGAGACCATGTCTATAGAAGGTATATATACAGTTTCATATTATTTAGGAAAGCATAACTTAGGGCCAAAATGTCCTATAAAGGTATGAAAATTTCACCTGTTATAAGTCATTCTGGACCCAACACCTTTTTATATTTGACAACTTTTCCGTCTCTTGTGTGGTTATTAGTCCATTCAGGTTTTTAATGCCTTTAACCAATTTTGGTACTTTCTTCCATAGAAAATAATTTGGCATAGGCTGTCAAATTTACTGATACAAAATCATCTTACTTTTTATATGTCCATGTCTGAAGGGATTTGTCCCTTTTCTTGTATCAATTACTGTTTACCTATACTTTTTCTCTTTTATTGAATTTTTCACAGAACCAACTTTTAGTTTTTTCATATTTCATTGCTTTTTCTATATCATTGATTTTTAGTATCATTTTTCTTTTTCATGAACACGTCTAATACCATATCGTGTTTCATTTTATCATTATTGATTTATTTCTTAAAATCTGAAAGACGTATATTCTTTTTCTAGTTTTTGAATAGCATGCCTAATTTTTTATAGCTTTTTGGTTCTCTCATACTTGTATTTATGTCTATAAGCTTTCTTCTGAGTCTGTTTTAGTCATACTTCATGTTTGATTATTCTTATTTTTCTGATTTCTTTTTTTTTTTGAGACAGAATCTCCCTCTGTCACCCAGGCTGGAGTGCAGTGGCGCGGTCTCGGCTCACTGCAACTTCCCCCTCCTGGGTTCAAACGATTCTCCTGCCCATGATAGGGTGGGATCATATACTATGATCATCCAGAGATGCAAGAATGTTTCAACATATGTAAATCGATCAGTGTGATATACCACATTAACAAAATGAAAAATAAAAATCATATGATCATCTCAATGGATACAGAAAAAGCATTTGACAAAGTTCAACATACTTTCATGATAAAAAAAAAACTCTCACCAAATTAGACATAGAAGGAATGTACATCTGGGCATGGTGGCTCAGGCCAGGCGCGGTGGCTCACACCTGTAATCCCAGCACTTTGGGAGGCTGAGGTGGGTGGATCATCTGAGGTCAGGAGTTCGAGACCAGCATGGCCAACATGACAAAACCCAGTCTCTACTAAAAATAGAAAAATTAGCCAGGCATGGTAGTGCACGCCTGTAATCCCAACTACTGTAGAGGGCTGAGGCAGGAGAATTGCTTGAACCTGGGAGGCAGAGGTTGCAGTGAGCTGAAACTGTGCCACTGCACTCCAGCCTGGGCAGCAGAGCTAGACTCTGTCTCAAAAAAATAAAAAAGAAGGAATGTACCTCAGCTGGGCATGGTGGCTCACGCCTGTAATCCCATCACTTTGGGAGGCTGAAGCAGGCAGATCACTTGAAGTCAGGAGTTCGAGATCAGCCATGAGCAATATGGCAAAACCTCATCTCTACTAAAAATACAAAAATTAGCAAGGTGTGGTGGCACGTGCTTGTAATCCCAGCCACTTGGGAGGCTGAGGCACCAGGGTCACTTGAACCCAGGAGGCGGAGGTTGCAGTGAGCCAAGATTGCACCACTGCACTCCAGCCTGGGCAAGAGTGAGACGCTGTGTAAAAAAAAAAAAAAAAAAAAAAAAAGAAAAGAAAATATATATGAAACTCAACTCTATAGCAAGAATACAAATAACTAGATTAAAAAATGGGCAAAGTACCTGAATAGACATTTCTCCAAAGAAGACATACGAATGACCAACAGAAAGATGAAAAAATGCTCAACATCACTCATCATCAGAGAAATGCAAATGTGATAATCACCATAATCCTCTTAGAATGGCTGTATTATTATTATTATTACTTTTTGAGACAGAGTCTCGCTGTTGCTCAGACTGAAGTGATCTCAGCTCACTGTAACCTCTGCTTCCCAGGCTCAAGCAATTATCATGCCTCCGCTTCCCAAGTAGCTGGGATTACGGATGCACGCCACCAAACTCGAGTAATTTTTGTATTTTTAGTAGAGACCGGGTTTTGCCATGTTGACCAGGCTGATCTCGAACTCCTGGCCTCAAGTGATCCACCCACCTCGACCTCCCAAAGTGCTGGGATTACAGGCGTGAGACATCATGCCCAACCAGAATGGCTGTTATCAAAAAGAAACAGATGGCTGGGTGCAGTGGTTCAAGCCTGTAATCCCAGCACTTTGGGAGGCCGAGGCAGGTGGATCGCTTGAGCTCAGGAGTTAGAGACCAGCCTGGCCAACATGGCAAAAACCCGTCTCTACTAAAATACAAAAATCAGACGACGGGGGTTGTGGTGGGCACCCATAATCCCAGCTATTCGGGAGGCTGAGGCAGGAGAATCACTTGAACCAGGGAGGCGGAGGTTGAAGTGAGCTGAGATCATGCCACTGCAGTCCAGCCTGGGTGACAGAGTGAGACTTCGTCTCAAAATAAAAAATAACATAACATAACATAACATAACATAACATAACATAACATAACATAACATAACATAACATGACAACAGATAACATGTAGGTGGTGGAGAAAATGGAACCCTTGTACACTGTTGATGGGAATGCAAATTTGTCCAACCATCATGGAAAACAGTACGGAAGTTTCTAAAAAAAATTAAAAATAGAAATACCATATGATTCAGCAATCCTATTACATGGATACATTTCCAAAGAAAATAAAATCAGTATGTCAAAGAGGTATCTGTACTTCCATGTTAATTGCAGCATTATTCACAACAGCTGAGACATGGAACAACCTATGTGTCCATCAATGGATGAATGGTAAAGAAAATGTGTATACACACACACACACACAAAATGACATATTATTCCTCCTTTAAAAGGAAAAAATCCTGTCATTGTCACAACATGGATGAAACTGGAGGATATTAAGCTTAGTGAATAAGGCATAGAAAGACAAATACTGTATGATCTCACTTATATGTAGAACCTAAAAAAGTTGGCCAGGCACGGTGGCTCACACCTGTAATCCCAGCACTTTGGGAGGCCAAGGCAGGCAGATCACTAGGTCAAGAGATCGAGACCATCCTGGCCAACATGGTGAAAACACGTCTCTACTAAAAATACAAAAAAAAATTAGCTGGGCGTGGTGGTGCATGCCTGTAATCCCAGCTAGTCAGGAGGCTGAGGCGGGAGAATCACTTGAACCCAGGAGGCAGAGGTTGCAGTGAGCCAAGGTTGCGCCATTGCACTCCAGCTTGGGCGACGAAGCAAGACTCTCTCTCTCTCTCAAAAAAGTTAAACTTACAGAAGCAGAGAGTAAAATGGTGGTTGCCAGCAGCTGAGATGGGTAAATGGTGACATGCTGGTCAAAGGGTACAAAGTTTCAGTTGGACAGGACGAAGAAATCAGAACAAAAAAGCAAAAATAAAAATAAATTTAAAAAAATGTAGCAGATATAGGAAACAGAATTATCATTATTTGTAGATCACATAATTATTATTATAGAAAAGACCACAGACTCAGAATTTAACGATAAGACTTCATTATTATAAAATGTTCACTGGAGGAAAGGAGGAATTTTCACTAACCAGGGGCTGGGTAAACACTTCTATTCCTTAGCACATCACAGTTACAGGATTTGTTTTATAAAGATATAAAATCAGGCAGTCGTTTTCCAAGAATTGCCTTGGGGCCTTGTGACATGAAGGAATGGGAGATAAGACAGTGTGGTACTCATCCGGGAGGGCAATGTTCCAAACAGTTATTTGAAAGGAGTGGCAATAATATAGATTTGAAAAGAGTTGCATGTTTATCCATTAAAATAGCTAAGAATATATCATTTTATTGAGATTTTCTATACCTGACGTGTAATACAATTTTTTAATGGAGAAGTTGTTTTCATCATTATCCTCACAGAAAATCCAAGAAATCCAGCCAGGCGCAGTAGCTCACACCTGTAATCCTAGCACCTTGGGAGGCCAAGGCAGGTGGACTGTATGCATTCAGAAGTTCGAAATCAGCCTAGGCAACATAGTGAGACTCTGTCTCTACAAAGCATTAAAAAAGGCCGGGCACTGTGGCTCACGCCTGTAATCCCAGCACTTTGTGAGGCCGAGGCAGGTAGATTACCTGAGATCAGGAGTTTGAGAACAACCTGGCCAACATGGTGAAACTCCATCTTTACTAAAGATACAAAAAAACTAGCAGGCACGGTGGTGGTGGTGGGAGGGGCGGGGGTGGCACCTGTAATCCCAGCTACTCGGGAGGCTGAGGCAGGAGAATCGCTTGAAGCTGGGAGGCAGAGGTTGCAATGAGCCAAGATTGCACCATTGCACTCCAGCCTGGGCAAAAAAAGCAAAACTCCATCTCAAAAATAAATAAATAAATAAAATAAAAATAAATTAGCTGGGCATGGTGGCACATACCTGTAGTCCCAGCTACTTGGGAGGCTGAGACAGGAGGATCACTTGAGCCTAGGAGGTCAAGGCTGCAGTGAGCCATGATCATACCACTGCACTCAGCCTGGGTGACAGAGCAAGACATTGTCTCAAGGGGGGCAAAAAAAGGAAAAAAAAAAAAGAAAATTAAAAAAAATCAACTAAAAAATTATATTAAAACAATAAGAGAGTTTAGCAATGTGGACACACATAAGATGTTAAATACAAAAATCCTCAGCCCCTTTACATCCATCAACGTCCAGTTAGAAAAGATACTAGGGGCCAGGCACGGTGGCTTATGCCTGTAATCCCAGACTTTGGGAGGCCGAGGCGGGTGGATCACTTGAGGTCAGGAGTTCAAGGCCAACCTGGCCAACACAGTGAAACCCCATCTCTACTAAAAATACAAAAATTAGCCAGGCATGGTGGTGGACACCTGTAATCCCAGCTACTTGGGAGGCTGAGGCACGAGAACTGCTTGAACCTGGGAGGCGGAGGTTGCAGTGAGCCAAGATCTTGCCACTGCACTCCAGCCTGGGCGATGGAGTAAGACTCGGCCTCAAAAATTAGCCAGGCGTGGTGGCGGGCGCCTGTAGTCCCAGCTACTCAGGAGGCTGAGGCAGGAGAATGGCGTGAACCCAGAAGGCGGAGCTTGCAGTGAGCCGAGATCGCGCCACTGCCCTCCAGCCTGGGCGACAGAGCGAGACTCTTGTCTCAGAAAAAAAAAAAAAAAATACTAGGAACTGATACTAGTTCAAAATCACTAGGAATATGGCCTGCGTGGTGGCTCACACCTGTAATTTCAGCATTTTGGGAGGTTCAGGCAGGTGCATCATGTGAGGTCAGGAGTTCGAGATCAGCCTGGCCAACATAGTGAAACTCCATCTCTACTAAAAATGCAAAAATTAGCCAGTGTGGTGGTGCGCACCTGTAATCCCAGCTACTGGGGAGGCTGTGGGGGGAGAATCACTTGAACCCAGGAGGCAGAGGTTGCAATGGGCTGAGATCATACCACTGCACGCCAGCCTGGGCAACAGAGACTCGTCTCAAAAACAAACAGAGGCTGGGCGTGGTGGCTTACACCTGTAATCCCAGCACTTTGGGAGGCCAAAGCGGGAGGATCACTAGGTCAGGAGATCAAAACCATCCTGGCTAACATGGTGAAACCCCGTCTCTACTAAAAATACAAAAAAAAAATAAAAATAAAAAAAATAAAATTAGCCAGGAGTGGTGGCGGGCGCCTGTAGTCCCAGCTACTCAGGAGGCTGAGGCAGGAGAATGGCGTGAACCCAGGAGGCAGAGCTTGCAGTGAGCTGAGATTGCGCCACTGCACTCCAGCCTGGGCAACAAAGCGAGACTCCATCTCAAACAAACAAACAAAAAATCACCAGGAATAAGCCAAGATACAGTTTTTTTTTGTTTTTTTGTTTTAATTTTGAAAAGAATGACGGCCCAAGTAGTTGGAAATATACCATGCTCCTGGATCGAAGACGTAGTATTATGAAGACGGTGAGTTTGTTCTATCTAACATATCTATAAATTCAATGCAATCTCAAAAATCACAATATGACAACTTACTTGACAAGCTAATTCTAAATTTTATTTGAAAATGTGGTTGGAAACTAAAGGAAAACATTTAAAATAACTCTATGAGTGGACTTAATGGCTATCTAATGGCTATCCAAATAGAATAAATACAGAACTCGGGCATTTAGTGCACTATTGGACCAGGAAAATACAAGTTAAAGTAAGATACTACTTTTCACACACTGGCAAAAATTTAAGAGATAATAGCAGGAGTTCAAGACTGCCAGGCAGGAATGTCTTTGTTTACTGCTGATGGAAATCTAAATTGGTAGAGCAAGTCTAAATTGGTACAGCCTACTGAAAGAGTGATACAAACACTCACATTCTTCAATCCAGCAAGTGCACTGATTGGCAATGTGCATCAGATAAACATCATTGTGTACAGAAGGAGGTGTACACAAGGACATTCACGGAAGCACTGTTTAAATAGAAAAAGAGGGCCTGGTGCCGTGGCTCACGCCTGTAATCCCAGTACTTTGGGAGACTGGGGAGTGGATCACGAGGTCAGGATCACTCAGTCTACCCATTCAAATGCCCATCCACCATCCTGGCTAACAGGGTGAAACCCTGTATCTACTAACAATACAAACATTAGCCAGGTGTGGTGGCACACTCCTGTAATCCCAGCTACTCAGGAGGTTGAGGCAGGAGAACTGCTTGAACCCGGGAGGCAGAGGTTGCAGTGAGCCGAGATCACCCCACCCACTGCACTCCAGCCTGGGCGAGAGCAAGACCTCGTCTCAAAAAAAAAAAAAACACACACACACAAAAAACAAAAACCAGAAAAAGAAATTGGCATCATCCGAAATGTCTATCAATAGAGGTCAAACGTGAACATTCATGTTGTGGATTATTATGCAGAAGATAAAAAAGAATGAGGTAGATTAGTAAGAATTGTTATGGTTATGTGTGCACTTGACTGGGCTAAGGATTGTTCAGCTAGCTGGCGAAACATTTCTAAATCTGTGAGATTACCTCTGGAAGAGATTGGCATTTGAATGGGTAGACTGAGTAAAGATGACCTTCACCAATGCAGGTGGGCATCATCCTATCCACGGAAGGTTCAAATAGAACAAAATGGGGGAGGAAGCGTGAATTTGCTTTTTTAATCTGGGAAACCCATCCTCTCCTGCCCTCGGTTGTTGATGCTCTTGATTCTTGATCAAGCCTTTGGTCTCAGACCAGGACTTACACCACTGGCCCTTCCAGTTCTCAGGCCTCTGGACCCAGTTTGAATTATCCCAATCAGCTTTCCTGGTTCTCCAGCTTGCAGATGGTATTTTGTGGGACTTCTTGGTTTCCACAATCTCTTGAGTCCATTCATCCA
Source organism: Homo sapiens (assembly GCF_000001405.40). Taxonomy (NCBI): domain Eukaryota; kingdom Metazoa; phylum Chordata; class Mammalia; order Primates; family Hominidae; genus Homo; species Homo sapiens. Next base: position 40,467,251 of record NC_000003.12, on the reverse strand, counting down.
TCCCATTGGTTTTCTGAAGAACTCTAATTTAGAGGCTGACTAGATAAGATCTCCAGAACGTATTAAGAAAAAAGGCAAGTTGCAGAGTATGAAATTTGCTTAAAACAAGCACATATATTTTTATGTACCTATATTACAAACACATTAAAAAATGTCTGCAAGATGTATATGTTTTCCTTTACACAGGGTACTGGAATTGGAAGTGGAGATAATGAAAGGACCCTTTACTTTCAACTGTAATATTTTATTTAAATGTAAATGTATTCATGATTTAGCCTAGATTAAAAAAAAAAATCAGCTAGCTAGAAGAATGAGGTAACTTTTAATTTTAGTACTAAAGGATAAACAGTATTTCACCCAACAGATGAGGGGGGAAAATATGAATTAGAGGACATGCCAATTACTTAGAGATAAGAGGAAGTCAAGACTTTCTGAAAACCAAACTTCCAAATTTTGCCTATACCGCCAGGTTAGTTCAACACAATTCAACCCAAATTACTAAGTACCTAATGTGTAAAAAGAATTGCACTAGGTGTTGAGGATAGATCCTGTCCTCACTTTCACAAGCATCTTATTTGACTCATTTGATCCTTGCCACAATATGAGGCAGGTATCAGGATCCTTGCTTTTTAGATGAGGTTCCCATAAGTAACATAAAGTAATGAGTTTGGGCTGAATGACAGAATTTAAACCTGAATATGACTCTGAAATCAGCCATTTTTTTTTTTTTTTTTTTGATTTTTAGTAGAGACAGGGTTTCACCACATTGGCCAGGCTGGTCTTGAACCCCTGATTCACCTGCCTCAGCCTCCCAAAGTGCTGGGATTAAAGGCATGAGCCACCGTGCCCAGCCTGAAATCAGCATTCTTTTCGTATGCCATCCCCCGTCTCCAATGAGGGTGACTGAACAAGTGTGTAGTTCTCCATAATCAAAGTAGACTTTTATGCACCTGGATATTTCAATAATTTTCTGCTCTCCTTCCCCATCCCCCAACCCAATCCACACTATGCTACCAGACTGACCTTCCTGAAGATTACGCCCTTGCTCAAGTCTTTTTTTTGAGACAGAGTCTCCCTCTGTCGCCCAAGCTGGAGTGCTATGGCGTAATGTCAGCTCACTGCAACCTCCACCTCCTGGGTTCAAGCGATTCTCCCGCCTCAGCCTCCCAAGTAGCTGGGATTACAGGCATGCTCCACCATGCCTGTCTAATTTTTGTATTTTTAGTAAAGACGGGGTTTCACCATGTTGGCCAAGCTGGTCTCGGACCCCTGACCTCAGGTGATCCGCCTGCCTCAGCCTCCCATAGTGCTGGGATTACAGGTGTGAGCCACAGTGCCCGGCCTCAAATCTCTTATCATATGGTCCCACCTTATTAATTTTATTTTCTACTCCTTTTCAGGCATCGTATGCCTCAGTTACTTTCCTAGAGATTCCAAGATTGGAATTTCCAATTTCCACTGTTCTGTATTGCACTGTTTTCTAGGTGCAGCTTGAATACTGCTTCTACCCTGAAGCTTTCTCATCCTCTGAGCACCTCATGGACTGTAGCCAAAGGGCTCTCAAAGCCACAGGCAGTCTGACAAAAGTGCTCTCCCCTTTCCTCCATAAGGAATTACAACCTGTATGTCTGCAAATCTACACTGCCTCATCCCTCCTTCTCAGTGTATGACCTTGCCTTGCTAACTCCAGAGAAATTTCAGAGATAAAGGTGAAAAGTCCTTAATTTCCTAACAGCAAACCTACAGATTTAGTATCTAAACCCACCTTTTCTTCCTTTTCCTCACGTAAAGGACATCTTTCCTCTAAAGCCAATCCTTCCTCCTCTCCCCTAGGATCCATCCCTTCCTGTTTTTCGAAGGGCTAAGTTTCTCTCCTATTAGCTCCTTTCCCAGAAGCATTTGAACATGCCCATCACTCCAGATTTACAAACACAAAACCTCCGAACCCCATATAACATTTCTCCTTTGCTTACTACCCTCTTCCCCTCACTTTGACGATCTCAAGCAAAATTCTTTCCCTAGCTTCCATGTGCCCCTGCTAGTTTCCCACCCCTCATGACTCCTTTCCAACCTCTATTCGTCTCTTGATTGTTGTCATCCTACCCCTGGGGAATCAGTGACCACTTACATATTCATGAATCCCAAGTCTGTCCTGAAACCTCTCCTCCTTGTGTCATTATCACAGCTCTTACCAAGGGAACCAGTCACTGGACTACATATCATGATTAACTACTCTGAAGCGTACCACATAGATGAGGAAACTGGATTTTGACTATGTGCCTAAACTACATAGCTTTCAAGAGGCAGAGCCAGGATTTTAGTATAGATTGTCTGCAGTCTTTGCATATACACCCAGATAGTCTACATGAAAACTAACTCATTTTACCTAGATAAACTTTACCCTGCCTCATGTTCCCTCACAACCAATGAACCAGAGGTACAAACCAGAAACCCTGACACATTGTTTTCTCCCTTATTTCTGCAGTCCAATGCATGATCAAGACCACCTAAATGGCATTACCACTGTCACTTCCTTGGATTACTGCCAAACTTCATACTGCCAACCCGAGCATTCCCAGTCTTGATCCCATAAGATTCAGTCTTAACAGTTCAATGATCTAAATCTGAGATATCACGCCATTTTAAAAAACCCTCAGTAGCTTCCCGTGTTCCCCTACACGATCTAACCACTAACCTACTTCCTTGATGTGGTCCCGAGCCAGTCCTCTACACTATCAGTTCGTTTATTTCCTATCTCGTGTCATTCTTCCCCTTACACCACCTTCTTCTTATTTTAGGTATAGATGCCACTTTCTCTAGACAATTCTCTACCTCCCAGAGTAGAACAGGTAATCCGAAATCATCCATATTTTCCTTATTACACCATACCACTTGCCTATTATCAAGCAAATCAATGTGCTTTTTCCTTTACCCCAGTGACGCCTGAAGCTAGCTTTTGGTTAGGAAACAAATTTATTTAAAATGTATTCCTGGCCAGAAGCGGTGGCTCACGCCTGTAATCCCAGCACTTTGGGAGGCCAAGGCGGACAGATCACCTGAGGTCAGGAGTTCAAGACCAGTCTGGCTGACATGGCAAAACCCCATCTCTAATACAATATTAGAGGGGCATGGTGGTACACGCATTTAACCCCTGCTACTTGGGAGGCTGAGGCAGAACAACTTGAACCTGGGAGGTGGAGGTCGCAGTGAGCTGAGATCGTGCCACTACATTCCAGCCTGGGCAAGAGTAAGGCTCTGTCTCAAAAAAAAAAAAAAAAGTAATCCTGTTTCATGTACAGCTTTGTAGTATTTTTAAATCTATCCAGGATCTTTTACTGCCCCAAATTACCTGTATCTTGTGGTAGAGAGAAACAGAAGTCCAACCTACTATACACAGGATAAGTATCTCTTATCTGAAACACTTAGGACGAGATGTGTTCTGATGTTGGAGTTAAGTGCATATACATGACACTTTGGGGATGGGACCTAGGTCTATACAGGAAATTCATTTATGCTTCATATACATGTACCCTGAAGGTTAACTATTTCTTCCTCAGGGACACTGAATAGTGCTGTGTACCTGTATTTTGACCATAACCCACCATGCGGGTAGGCTAGGGATTTTTAAATTGTAGTGTCATAGCTCAGTTTCAGAGGTTAGAGCTTTTTGGATTAGAAATATGCTCAACCTGCAATTTTTATACTTGCCCTATTTTCCTAGTTTACTTTTTATAAGAAAATTTGCAGGCCGGGCACAGTGGCTCACACCTGTAATTCCAGCACTTTGGGAGGCCAAGGCGGGTGTATCACCTGAGGTCAGGAGCTCGAGACCAGCATGGCCAACATGGTGAAACCCCATCTCCACTAAAAATACAAAAACTAGCCAGACGTGGTGGCACACACCTATAGTCCCAACTACTCAGAAGGCTGAGCAGGAGAACCGCTTGAGCCCAGGAGGCAGAGGTTGCGCTGAGCCAAGATCGTGCCACTGCACTCCAGCCTGGGTGATAAGATCAAGACTCTGTCTCAAAAAAACAAAAAAAGGCCAAGTGCAGTGGCCCATGCCTATAATCCCCCGCTCTGGGAGGCCGAGACAGGCGGATCACGAGGTCAGGAGTTCAAAACCAGCCTGGCCAACATAGTGAAACCCAGTCTCTACAAAAAAAATTAGCTGGGCATGGTGGTGGGCGCCTGTAGTCCCAGCTACCTGGGAAGCCAAGGCAGGAGAATCACTTGAACCCGGAAGGTGGAGGGAGCTGAGATCGCACCACTGCACTCCAGCCTGGGCAACACAGCAAGACTCTGTCTCCAAAAAAAAAAAATAAATAAATAAAATAAATCTGCTAGACTCTTGAGCATCAAGAGGCTGTCACTTTACCTATTTATGGCAAACATATTTGTACAAGGAAAAAAGATGTTCTGAAGCCAAGGTGACCATAAGAAAAAAATGTCACTTGTGTCACTTGGTGTTCTAAGTTATCATGATTTCTCATGACATGATCAATTATGACTGCAATGATTTTGCACTACCTATCCAAGTATGGGCAGAGAGTGAGATTAAAGAACTGATTATTTAGGCCAGGCGCGGCGGCTCATGCCTGCAATCCTAGCACTTTGGGAGGCCGAGGCGGGCGGATCACGAGGTCAGGAGAGCGAGACCATCCTGGCTAACACGGTGAAACCCCGTCTCTACTAAAAATACAAAAAATTAGCCAGGCGCGGTGGCGGGCACCTGTAGTCCCAGCTGCTCAGGAGGCTGAGGCAGGAGAATGGCATGAACCCGGGAGGTGGAACTTACAGTGAGCCGAGATAGCGCCACTGCAGTCCGGCCTGAGCAACAGAACGAGACTCCATCTCAAAAAAAAAAAAAAAAAAAAAGGAACTGATTATTTAATGTTTATTATAATCCTACTATCAATCTGCCTCCTAACTCCAGCCTCAACAGGCTTTAAATCCAAAGGCTTAAATACATTTGTCAACAGGTCAAAAAGAACCTTTATTACTTTTTATGATTGCCACTTATGCTTTCTTGCCAGATGCCTTTGGAGCAGGTGCTTTCTGGGCTGGAGCTTTTTGACCCTTCTGAGCTTTTGGAGCAGGCGCTGCTTTCTGGCCTGTGGCTTTCTGGGCAGGAACCTTCTGGGCTGGAGCCTTTTTACTCGCGGCGGTGATCTTTTTTGCTGGAACTTTAGCAGCAGCAGCAGCAGCAGCAGCAGCAGCAGTACCCTTAGTACCAGGTGCTTTTTTGGGAGAAGCTTTCAGGAGAGCTGCCTTTTGAAGCTTCTTAACTTCATTCTTGATTATTCTGTTCCTCTGAAAATTATCAATGTAAGAAAGCACTTATTGTGTATACATACAATAAAATCCAATTTATGCTGGTTTTAGAAAGGGCATTAAGTAGTCTGTTTCCCTACAACTACATCTGAAGAAAGGTAACAATTCCATAGGGACATCATGAAATACAAATGAAGATAAATTCTCCTTTTTTACAGAAAGCTTCCAAGAAGCTGGCAGCCTGAAATGGGATTTGGCTACTGCTCCCTTATTATTTAAAGCTAAGTTACACAAAAATACAGATCTTAAATCTTACCATTTTCTTTGCCTTCATAACTTTAAAACGATCAAAATCTGTCATCTTGGCTTTCTGTTAAAAAAAAAACAACAAATAAAAATTATCCCTCTCACACTATCTTGAACCCTCCAAAAAAAGAAAGGACCAGAATTCAAATGACCCTAAGTTATTACCCTTTCTCTGGCTTCAATCTTCTTGGCCCATCGTGTGGCTGCCCATTTTGTATTGATGTCTGCCTTCTGCCAGGCTTGTCGGACATACTTCTGGTGGGCACTAGAACGAGCCAAGACCACAGATTAAGAAATCAGCTTTGAAGTCACTCATTATCAAAGACACTTTCTTTGTTCCTTGAAAAGCACTCTTCCTGTTACACAACACCTGGTACACTATGTATTTTACTTATTTTTGTGTTCAGTAAGCCAGAATAGGTTATTAACTTCAAGCATATTTTAATCAAAACTGTAATCCAGTCCCTTTTTTTTTTTGAGAGAGGATCTTGCTTGCCACCCAGGCTGGAATGCAATAGTATGATCATGGCTCACTGTAGCCTCAACCTTCTAGGCTCAAGCCATCCTCCTGCCTCAGCCTCCCAAGTAGCTGGGACTACAGGTGCATACCAGCACACCCAGCTAATTTTTATATTTTTTGTAGAGACAGGGTCTTGCTACGTTGCCCAGGCTGGTCTCCAACTCCTGGGCTCAAGCAACCCTCCACCTTGGCCTCCTGAAGTGCTGGGATTACAGGTATGAGCCACTGCACCCAGCCCAGCCCATTTTATGAATTTAAAAACTACCTCTTGACCAGGCGCAGTGGCTCACACCTGTAATCCCAGCACTTTGGGAGGTCAAGATGGGTGGATCACCTGAGGTCAGGAGTTCAAGACCAGGTTGGCCAACATAGTGAAACCCCATCTCTACTAAAAACACAAAAATTAGCTGGGCGTGGTTGCAGGTGCCTATAATCCCAGCTACTTGGGAGCCTGAGGTTGCAGTGAGTCAAGATTGCGTCACTGCACTCTAGCCTGGGTGACAAAGTGAGACTCCGTGTCAAAAGAAAAAAAAAACCCTCAAAAAAAACACAAAAAACCCACCTCTGACTATATATAATTCCACTCGGGCAGTGGACGTGTTGAAAACCATTCTTTTTTTTTTTCTTTTTTTGAGACAGGGTCTTGCTCTGTAACCCAGGATGGAGAATGCACTGGCGCAACGTTGGCTCACTGTGACCTCTGCTTCCTAGGTTCTAGCAATTCTTCTGTTCCATCCACCCAAATAGCTGGGGCTACAGGAGTACACTACCACACTGGGCTAATTTTTGGACTTTTAGTGGAGACGGGGTTGGCTAGGCTGGTCTCAAATTCCTGACCTCAAGTTATCTACCTGCCTTGGCCTCCCAGAGTGCTGAGATTACAGGTATGAGCCACTGCACACATCCGAGCCATTCATTCTCGTAACAAACAAGGTAATTAATATTAACTGTTAGGCTTTTTTTTAAAAAAAAATTTACAGTAACAATTTGTGGCCAAACATCCTAAAAATAAAATCCAGGGTGTCCAGGGATCCAAGGCAGAATTACAAGAGTACCTAGTGAAAAATCTAAGTTACCAAGTATTTTCTACTGCTTTGAACTTTGACAAGTATCCTCAAGCTTCACCCCTAATTGGTATGTCACAGTAGTAGCAGCATGGCTATGTTCACTCGAGGTTGTTCAAGTGGCATGTTTTCAACTACCAGTACTTCAAAATCCATTATGTGTTAATACACGTCCCACAGTGCCTGTAGTGCTCAGCATACAGTAAGTTTTTTTTTTTTTTTTTTTTTTGAAACGGAGTCTCGCTCTGTCACCCAGGCTGGAGTGCAGTGTTGCGATCTCGGCTCACTGCAAGCTCCGCCTCCCGGGCTCACGCCATTCTCCTGCCTCAGCCTCTGAAGTAGCTGGGACTACAGGTGTCCGCCACCATGCCCGGAATATTTTTTTTTTGTATTTTTAGTAGAGACGGGGTTTCACCGTGTTAGCCAGGACGGTCTCCATCTCCTGACCTCGTGATCCACCCGCCTCGGCCTTCCAAAGTGCTGGGATTATAGGCGTGAGCCACCGCGCCCGGCCAACATACAGCAAGTTTTTGACTATTTTTTAAAGCATGCAAAATTACATGTTCCACTGCAACCATCATTGTGGGTTGAATTAACTGTATAGCAACACACTAAAGTGTTTTAATTTTCATGTCAAAAAAGAACTGCTATTCACTGCCTCACTTAAATGTAAGCTAGGGATAAAACCTCTTATATTAAATACTGTGTAACTGACACACACTGAGAGCTTATCTAATGATAGCTAGTAGCAATAAACACAAGACTTAGTATTGTTGTTTACTTTAAGCTAAAAATTTGGCAGAAACCAGAAGAAAAGAAGATGGCAAATCTAAACAAAGGCAAAGCCCTAAACTACCAGGATAGAAAAGTGACCTCAAGGCATTTATTTTATTTATTTATTTTTGAGACAGGGTCTCACTCTGTCATCCAGGCTGGAGTGCAGTGGCATGATCACGGCTCTCTGCAGCCTCGACCTCGCTAAAACGATCCTCCCAACTCAGCACCCCCAAGGCCCCCCTACCTGGGATTACAGGCGCGTGCCACCATGCCCAACGAATTTTTTTTTTATTTTTTGTAGAGATGGGGGTTTTCGCCATGTTGCCCATGCTGGTCTTGAAACTTGGGCTCAAGAGACCCTCCCACCGTGGCCTCCCAAAGTACTGGGATTACAGGCATGAGCTATCACGCGCAGGCAAGACATTTTAAAAGTAAATAATCCCTGTCTACTTCTATGATGCAAATCCCTCTTCAGGATGGCTCTGAATCTTCCGTATTGTTTACTCCAAAACAAACTTTTACTAGCATAAACAAATCTGGGGATGGGAGGGAGGAGTGATTAGTGGACAGTTACCTGTGCGGAAACTTGAGGATGAAATCAGTGAGCTGCATGCACTTGAAAGGCATGGCCTGTCTCCTCACTTGAGTGCAAGGTCCATCGACCAAAGCCTAGAACACAAACATCAAGAACTTCAGTGCAAAATCTAACAGCAATTAAAATGGTCAGATGGTTCTGTAACATTACTTATCCGTTCAGGGCCATCAAACCCACACTACTATTTTAATAAATTGCTCAGAAAAGACAAGGATTGTCCTATCTGGGTTATATATATGTATGTCTTTTGCTCAACACAAACATTTCTCCACATCATTAAATGCTCCTTCTTAAACTATATAGTACCCCATAGAAACCAACCACATGTAATTTACAGGCAACTTTAGGACTCTGATCCCTGCTGATTTATAGTCAGTGGTCAACTCCTTAGTTTGCTTGTTTCAAATACACAGCAGTAAATACAAAAGTGCTTTCTACGTGCTGGATCTGTTCTAAACTCACTTTACGTATAGTAACTCATTTAAAACTAACCAACGTTTCAGCCTATAACTGGCTCTAGCTTAAGTGGCTAATACTGAAATTCAATACTAATAGCTAACTTCAGGCTGTGCTTAAAACCCGTACCATTACCTGTTTCCTCAATGGTAAAATAAAGCGACTACCCATAGCATCCTCATCTTACACAGCCATCGAGACAATTCATTATTGCCATCTGCAGGGCACATGTCCACTGCCATGTTTAGTAAAAAGTTGTGACACTTACCCTGTTCTGATCAATAACATCTACAATCGCGACCAATTTTCCGGCATGAGGTCCAAAGGAGACATAGGCCACCCGGCCAACCTCCACGAAGCGCCTGAACACCTAAAATTGGAGGAGAAAGGACAGTGAAACTTACTTAGAAATACTCGCTACATATGTCACCTTCTGCAGCTAAAGACAACATGGTTAAATTCAGCGAAAAAGAATGCTGCAGGGAACAAACGCCCGAGAGCCAGGCGCCAACCTGGATGGACGAAATCAGCAAACGCCTCAGTAGCTTAAGCCCGGTTCCCAACGCCCGCCAGCTCCCAGGTCCGCAAGGCCCACACGGCAGGACAAGGCTCTCGGACCACGAGCCGCATCAGCCATCCAGCTCCAGCGGCGGAGGCGCGCACGCGTGGCCCAAGGCGCGCCAGGCCTGCCGGGCCCTCCACGCGCTCGCCAGCGGCGAGTCCGGGAAGGGCGCGAGTCCGGGAAGGGCCCGATTCCGCTGCACAGCCGGCCCGGGGACCCTCACCATGCGCTTCCCGGGACCCTCTGGGAGCCGTTTGGCGCCTCAGCTTCCCAGCGGAGGTGGAGGTCGAGCGGCATGGTCGACGGCCCCGGAGCCCGCAACAGTAAGACTCACCATGTTGGCGGCGTTAGGCGAGAAGGAAGAAGACCCGCCCAACCCTGCGCATGTGTAGAAGAACGCACCGCCCCTGCGGTAACGAGTCACCGACGTGAGCACCGATTGGTTGGTGCGTGCGTGCGTGCGTGCGTACGCACGCGCTCGCAAGCTCACTGGGAAAACATGGCGGAGTCGGCTGGCGTTAAGTTGCTTTTTGGCAAAGTTGGGCGGCGAGATTGTTTTTGGTGATTTGGATTAGAAAGCTGCAGGAGGGTCATCGCTTAGTAATTTAGGGTTAAGAGTACAGAAGCTATGTCTTCCGTTGGTCGCATGCCATTTGAGTTCCTTTTTATTTCCTCGAGTTTTATTTGTTGGTTATTCATGGCTAGGTCTGTTCGCTCCTCACGTTCTCTCCTAATCTCAGTAACTTTGTTAACCTTTCATTTTCAAGTAATTCACAGTTACAGAAATATTGCTAAACTAGTACAAATAATTCCCACAAACCCTTCTAGATTCCACAAATGTTAACGTTTTGCATGTGCTATATCATTTGAAAGGAAATTGCCGACATGATGTCCTTCTATCGCTACATTTTTTTTTTTTTAAAGACGGAGTCTCGGTCTGTTGCCCAGGTTGGAGTGCAGTGGCGGGGGCTTGGCTCACCGCAACCTCCGCCTCCCGGGTTCAAGTGATTCTCCAGCCTCAGCCTCCCAAGTAGCCGGGACTACAGGCGCGCGCCACCATGGCCGGCTAATTTTTTTGCATTTTTAGTAGAGACAGGGTTTCACTATGTTGGCCAGGCTGGTCTCGAACTCCTGACCTCGTGATCTGCCTCCCTCAGCTTCCTAAAGTGCTGGGATTACAGGCGTGAGCCGCCGTGCCTGGCGTTACATTCTTTTATAGAGACAGGGTCTCCCTCAGTCGCTCAGGCTGGAGTGCAGTGGCGCGATCATGGTTCCCTGCAGCCTCTAACTTCTGAGTGAAGACGATCCTCTCGTCTCGGCCTTCCAAAGTGTTGGGATTACCGGCGTGAGCCACCATGCCCAGCCTATCTATACGTTCTTAAAATGTGTATTTCCTAACAACAGAGAGATTCTCTTATGTCATCAGTACACTTATCAAAATCAGGAAATTGATATTGCAATAGTACTATTATCTAACCTTCAGTCCTTATTCAAATTTATAAGTTGTTGCTCCTATGTTCCTTGGAGCAAATGGGAAAAAAAATTGTTTTTCCAGGCTCTTGATCTAATGGAGGATTACAAATTGCAATTATTTATCAGGTCTCTAGTCTTTAACTGATAGTTTTAGATTTAACTGTTAAATTTGTAACATGGGTTTGTTGGAGTTTTCCTCATTGGATTCAGATAGTGAATTTTTGGTAGAAATGCTATGTCCTTGGTGCATCACATCAGAATACATTCTCTCTCTCTTCACTCTCTCTCTCTCTATATATATACGCACACACAAACACTTTTTTTTTTCTTTCTTTTTTTGAGATGGACTCTCCCTCTGTCACCCAGGCTGGAGTGCAGTGGTGCGATCTCGGCTCACTGCCACCTCTGCCTCCCAGGTTCAAGCAGTTCTCTGCCTCCCGGGTTCAAGCAGTTCTCTGCCTCATCCTCCCAAGTACCTGGGATTACAGGTGCCTGCCACCACGCCCGGCTAATTTTTGTGTTTTAAGTAGAGACAGGGTTTCACCATTTTGGCCAGGCTAGTCTTGAACTCCTGACCTTGTGATTCACTTGCCTCAGCCTCCCAGAAGTGCTAGGATTACAAACGTGAGCCACTGTGCTTGGCCACACACATATACATTTTTTCGAAGAGATGGGGTCTGGCTGTGTTGCCCAGGCTGGAGTGCAGTAGCTATTCACAGGTCTGATTGTAGCCTGCTACAGCCTTGAACTCATGGGCTCAAGCAGTTCTGCTTCAGCCTCCAGAATAGTTGGGACTACAGGAATACACCACCACACATGGGTTCCCAATATTGTGGTGGTATTTTATTCTTTAGATTTTTACCCAGGCCAGTGCAGAGAGGTGTTACCTTTTATCACTTGATTAAGGTGATGATCTTTGCCATGACAGTTCCCAGATGTATTTCAAGCCTTTCCTCTAAGCTCTATGCCAGCATATCTTCCCTGAGACTGCTCTAGCAGCCTCCTAAATTCTGTCTTTAATCTGTTCTCTGCTCAGCAGTTAGAGGGATCTTTTAAGTAAGTAAATCAGATCACATTATTTCCTGTTTTTAACAGTTCGATTGCTTTTCATAATATTTGGAATAAAATCTCAACTTCTTACTCTGGCCTTGTATCATATGCTTTAATACCCAGATACACCTTATGCCATCCCTCCTTCATTGTGTTGAAGCCACACTGGTCTTGAATGGGCCAAGCTCTCTCCTCCTCCATGACCTTTATACATGGTGTCTCTCTTGCCAGGAATGGTCTACCCATTGTTAATACTCATCGTGTAGCAGTGCCAACTTATCTCTTGTATTTTTTCCTAGATATTTTTCTGAGAGTTAACCAGGCTACCACATAAAAAAAGGTTAAGTCCCCACCCTTCTTTTTCTAGCTCACCTTGTTTCCCTCAGAGTTATCACAATTGCAATTGTTTGACTTGTTTTGCTGCCCACGTAGGTGTTGTTTCGTTCCAGTTAGAATAAGTTCCATGAGGGCAGGACCTTTGCTGTCTTTTCTGTTTTATTTTCTCACCTTAGTCTGGTAAGGGGCTCAATAAATAGGTAGTGAATGAATCAGTCTTTAGGTCTTGTTGTCTTGCTTTATAATTTACAAAGCAAAAGATATGAATGAAGAAGAATGTTCATTTTAGCATTTTTTTTGCTACTATCTCCAAACTGGAAATTACCCAAAGGCCCATAAACAAGAGACTGGATAAATTGTGATAACAATCTATAGCAACGGAGTCTACAGCAACTACATGGAACAATGCGGATGAATTTCATAAATAACACTAACAAATAAGCTGACACAATATATCCTGTATGCTTTTATTTATATCAAATTCAAAACAGGCAAAACTAATCTACAGTTCTTATAAGTAATGATCATATTTACCTTTGGTGCAGGCAGCAGTGGCTAAAGGGGAAAAGGGGAGCTTCTGAGCTGCTGGCCATGTTGTTTCTTCATCTGGTGTTAACTACGGGAGTGTGTTATTATTTTTGTTTTAAATTTTTTTAGAGACGGGTCTTGCTATGTTGCCCAGGCTGATCTGGTACTCCTGGCCTCAAGCCATTCTCCTGCCTAAGCCTCCCGAGTAGCTGGGATTAGGGGCACGGGCCACCCCGCCTGGCTGAAGTGTTTGCTTGTGAAAATTCAGAGCCCTATCCATATGGTTTATGCGTTTTCTCACCAAATGTATGTTAACCTAAAAAGTTTTTTTTTAATGCAGTTTCCTGGCTGTACAACCAGAGAACTTTATTTGCAGGTCTGGTGAGGGGCAAGAATCTGCATATAAAAACAAGCTCTCAAACACACTTTGAACTTCCCCGAACACAATTTGAGAAACACTTTGGGACTCCCCCTACAGTTACAGAATTATTTTCTAAAGTACATTATCTTGTTATATCACTCCTGTTTAAAGTTGATTTTTATCCCCTATCTTACAGGATATAGTCCAAACTCCCTAGTCTGGCATTCAAGGCACTCCAAAATCTTACTCCCAAACACCTTCCTAGCTTTTTTCTCCGACCATTCTGCGTCTCTCATTCCTATTTCCCGCAGCATTTCATGCAGCTTGAGCCCCCTGTTTCCTAAAATGTGCTCCCCACAAGCATCTCGAGATCCCCATCCCAGGCAGCCCCAGGCAGTTTTTAAGTTTCTACCAAGCTCCACTATACTGGCAAGGCAACTTTCCCCAAGCAAGTCTTGTTTCCTTCGGAAGGTCGCAGGCGCCCAGGAATGAACAGGATAACTGCTAGTGGCTCCAGATGTCAGAAAACAGATGACCAGATCGAGCACGCGCAGATCTCTGGTTGGTCGGCTGTGTGCCTCCGGAAGGCCCGCCCTGCTCGTCCAATCACGGAGAGGGAGGGCACGTTGAGAGTGATGCCAGGAATCAAGATGGCCGCCTGGGACCGCTCTCAGCCCCTTCGGCCTCTACCTGAAGAGCCACGCCCCGTCTGCTACACCCAACTGATTGGTTCCTCAATCACAGAGAGGAAAGGCAACATGAGGATGACGTCAGTTACAAATATGGCGTTTTGGACGGGCTCGATAGTTTGCTTGGCCTCTACTCAAGGTGCGTCCGGACGTCCAATCACCAAGGGGCGCAGTCGGCTCTTAAATGTGGAGGCAGGGGCCTAGACACTCAGGCTTAGGGGATGTCAGCTGGTACTGTGTACGAGCTGTCCTGTAAACCGTCGCCCGTCCCCTGAAGCCGCGCCCCTCTTCTCTTGCTTGTTGCAAGGGACGGATGTGAAGGGCTGGGCGGGCGTCGAGCTTTGGGTTCTTGCAGTGGGTCATAGACCTGAGGGCACTAGTCCCGCGGCCCAGATGGGGGATGCGAGGGACAGTAGGAGCACGTCCACTTGTCCCACAGTCTCTGCGGTGTCACGAGGCCAGGACTGCCTGCCTGTAACCAGATTGGCCCCTGTATTTGTCAGCTTCAGCTGACTAGATATGTCTCAGTTTTGTTTGTTCAGACACTGGCGATGGGGGCGTCAGTTTAGCAGACAAAATATTTACCTGTAGCCCCAAAGAAAAAGAAACATAAGTCAGTACAAGAATCAAACCAAAAGCTGTGCAGAACCCTGACTTTCTTTCTTGTTCTTAATAACTAACCTTCCAGAGAAGTGACCTAACCCTAGTTATGACCAAATTGACATGGTAGCCATGTGCATAACTACCTGGCAACGTGGACAGGTGCATTTGTATTTAGGAGTGAAAAAATGTTTGTTGTATCAGTTTTTGAAATTTGCAATCTTAGGAACCCTGAAGCTGAGCAAGACTGTTCAAGCCCAGTCAGCCTAAGACCACCAGGGACAAACCTGTAGTCAGCAAAACCAGGTCTATCGATCTTTTTTAATGAGGGAGATTGCACACCAGAGACACCATGGGACATTTTACCAGGGGAAGGAAAATATAAAGTTACAGGATTTTGAGGAAGTGTAAAGTTTAGATGGAACTTAAATGAAGCAGGGTTTTAATAGCCTCAAAACAAAGCAGGACTGTGAAAAAGGGTCAACATCAGGCCTAGACTGCAGAGTGGACCCATTGTCCTGTTTTTTTGAAAACCTTTTCTGAAGCTTTGCAACTGGCTGCTTGTAAATTGAAGCTGTATCTCTGTGTTAAAGTGACTTAGGTCCTCCAAGCAAGATATTTTATTCCTACTGATAAAATTTCAAACAGCAAATTTCTGAGGGTCTTTGATTTTAGGAACAAAGTTTCTCAGTGAGAAAGTGAGAAAGCAGTAGTCACTCAAAGAGGGTTATTATGACACTAAAGATTAAGCATGTCCTTGGCAGCAATAGTCTCTTGTTAACTTTGCAGCTGTCTTTATTTGTATTTGTTTTTCCTGCCTGATGAATAACCATGCAGATTTTTCTTCTCAACTGAGCTTGTATTTACTTATTCCTTAGGAATGCTGATGGTATAGCAAGAAGGTATTCTGAGCATTATATCAATGGGGAAGTTCTAGATCTTTTGCAAAGCAGGAGGTAAGCTCACAAACCACAGGTAATGACACACTCTGGAATCAAAAATGTCCATAATGAAGAGGAACATTGGCCTATTACAGAAATCTGAGTGAGAAGCAAATGAAGGTCATCTTAGCAATTCAGTGATTGCCCACTTCCAACTTCCTGTTCCCAAAGAGGCTGATAGACTCTGGAATGGGTCAGGACACTTGGGATGCAGTGCCCAACTCCTCAGTAGTACAAGTTTGTCCAACACTCCAAATGCCTAGATAGGCTTTTGTGTGTGTGTGTGTGTGTGTGTGTGTGTGTGTGTGGTCTGTCCATTGTATTTAACAAACAAGGAGGTAGTGTTGGTTTCTGTACTTTTTTTTTTTTTTTTTGAGATAGAGTCTTGCTGTCACCCAGGCTGGAGTGCAGTCACAGCTCACTGCAGCCTTGACTTGCTGGCTTGAGCCATCCTCCCACCTCAGTCTCACAAGTAGCTGGAACTACAGGCATGTGCCACCATGCCCAGCTAATTTTTGAATTTTCTGTAGAGATGAGGGTTTCATTATGTTGTCCAGGGTGGTCTCAGACTCCTGGACTCAAGTGATCCTCTTGGCCTCTCAAAGTGTTAGGATTACAGACGTGAGCCTCTGCACCGCGCCATGTTTTGTTTTTTGTTTTTTGTTTTTTAACTGTACATATTTCGCATCAGTGGGCTGCAAAGTCAGGAGCTAGAGATCAGCAAGCAAGATCAAGATCTTTGACACTTTTCACAACAACATAAACAATAGGTGGAGTAATTTATGATAATTCAACTCTGGGAAACCAGGGTGAATCACTGGTGTATGCTAGGTGACTAAAACAGTGCCTGGAGTGGAATAGGCCCTTTATAAATATTTTGAGTGAATGAATGAAAAGGCAAAGCCTTAGAACATACTAAATGTCTATCAAAAGAGGTCTGCTTAAATAAACCTGCCTGCAGAACTGCTGAAAAGCACCAGCTAGCTATACTGATCGAGAATGCTTTCCAGGATAGGAATGGAAAGTTCTGTGTGTGTTGGAGTCTTAACAACACTAGAAATAGAACCAGGGTGCAAAGAGCTTTCTGAGAGGCCTGCTAAGTAGGTGAAAAGCTCCTGTGTCACCATGGAAACAACTCTCCCCAAAAGGAATGACTACAAGGACAGGTGCTGGATAATGCAGCATAGTGAACATAGTGGTGAACAAGGATGCAGAATGAGTGACAGGGCATTCAGGGAGAAGAGATGCTAACGTGGTGCCATCTAGAAGGAATGAGCATGTATTAATTCATTTAGCAAACACTAAATGCCTCGTGTGTGCCAGAAACTATTCAAGGCATTGAAGACATAGTAGTGAATAAAACAGGCAAAAGTTCTACTCTCATGGAACTGTCATTCTAGTGGGTAGATACAGAAAATAAACAAATAGTGTGTCATATGGTGGTAAGTGCCACAGAAAAATAAAAAGGAGGATGGAGAGTACTAGGGTGGATTTGCTTTAGGGGGAAAGGGTAGTTATTTTAAATAGGGAAGTGAGGGAAGGCCTTGAGGAAAAAGTGACACTTGAATAGAGAACTTCAGGAGATGAGTGAGCAATTCATGTGGATGTCTGGGATTCCAGGCAGAGGGAACAGCAAGTTCTCTCTCAGCATGCGTGTGGAAGAGCAGGAAGACCAATGAGGCTGAAGTGGGGTGATTGAGGGAGAGATAGTATAAGATGAAGGAGCCAGGGCATGTGGAACCTTGGAAGCCACTGGAAGGACTTGCTTTCACTCTCAAGATAGGAGCCAGTGGATGCTTTAAATGGAGCAGTGACATGATCTGACATGTTTTTAAAGATGGTACAGGCTGTTGGGTTAAGAATGCCCTCCTCATCATAGACAGTAGGAGGCAAGGTTGCAGCTGGAGACAAGTTGGATGGGTGTTACATCTTGGCTTTTTTTTTTTTTAAAGGATTACATGAGTTAACATTCATTAAAGGCAGTAGTAATATGTTAAAAGGACAATGTTGGGCCTGAAAACCTGTGTTTTGTATGTCTCCATACCAGCAGGGACACTGTCTCAGAGGTCACTGTGGTGCTAATAAATATTCAGAACCCAAGTTGTACCAAATATTTACCATGGGAAGCAGTACTAGGGCTTAAATTTCTCTTGGCATAGATCCTGGATCAAAAATGTTTCTATTATTAAGAATTTCCACATATACAAAAATAGAATAGTATGTATAATAAACTCCCATGTACACATTACACTTTCTCAAAAATTATCCACACAGGGCCAATCTTATTTCATTTCTACTCATTTACTACTCTGTCTTCTGTTTTATTTTAAAAGCCAATTCAAGAAATTTTAGCCATAAATACCTCAATATGTATCTAAACGATGATTTCTTTAAAATAAATATAACCCCAATAGTATTATCACACCTGAAAATTAACAAAAATTCCCTAATATCTTCAAGTATTTATTCCAGTTTTGGAGGGGTTCTTGCGCCTTTGTCCATATTTTCTGAGAGCCTGTAGTTGATCAAAAGCCTTCCAAGAGACAACATCAGTTTTGGGAAGACCAGTATTTAAATTTTTATCAAGTGACTCCAGAATTGTGGCTGAGAACCAGTCACACACACACACTCACATAGAACATTTGTGTAGCTAGTCCTTATAGCACTTCTAACAAACACTAGGCACCATTCTGAGTGCCTTACAAATATTAAATTGTTTAATCCTTGCAAAAGCCCAAGATGTAACCTCTAGAATAGAGGTGATATTATTATCCTTACGTTGCAGGTGAGGAAACGGATAGGGAGGCTAAATAACTTGTGCCCCCTCAGATGGCTAGTCAGTGCATGGTTCAGACCCAGAGTCCATACTCTTAACCGTGCAGAATCCATTGAGGGTGTAAAGTTGTTAGGTGGATCCAATTAGATTGAGGAAATTAGCAGCGATCCTAGTCGAGGAATAAAATTGCATCTACTCAAACCTGAGTTGAAAGAAGTTATGATAAAAATTAAAGAGAACTTGAAGGACAGCTCAAGGACTTGTGATATACTTAGTTGTCAGATCATGATCTCAAACTTTTTTTATTTTTAATTTTATTTTTAATTTTTTTGTATTTTTAATTTTCATGGCTACATAGCAGGTGTATATATTTGTGGGGTACATGAGATATTTCGGTACAGGCATGTAATGCGTAATAATCATGTCATGGAAAATCGGGTATCCATCTCCTTAAGCATTTATCCTTTGTGTTACAAACAACCCAATTATAGTCTTAGGTTTTTTGTTTGTTTGTTTGTTTTTTGAGACGGAGTCTCGCTCTGTTGCCCAGGCTGGAGTGCAGTGGCACAATCTCAGCTCACTGCAAGCTCCGCTTCCCGGGTTCAAGTCATTCTCCTGCCTCAGCCTCCCGAGTAGCTGGGACTACAGGCGCTTGCAACCATGCCCAGCTAATTTTTTGTATTTTTAGTAGAGATGGGTTTTCACTGTGTTAGCCAGGATGGTCTCGATCTCCTGACCTCGTGATCCGCCCACCTCAGCCTCCCAAAGTGCTGGGATTACAGGCATGAGCCACCGCGCCCGGCCTCTTTTAGGTATTTTTAAGTGTACAATTAAATTATTGACTATAGTCCCATTGTTGTGCTATCAAATACTAGTCTTAGTCATTCTTTCTAAATTTCTTGTGTATGCGTTCACCATCCCCACCTCCCCCCACCACACCACTCACTACCCTTCCCAGCCTCTGGTAACCATCTTCTATTCTCTATCCCTATGAGTTCAATTGTTTTGACTTTTAGATCTCACAAGTAAGTGAGAACATGTGATGTTTGTCTTTCTGTACCTGGCTTATTTTCACTTAACGTGATGATCTCCAGTTCCATCCATGCTATTGCAAATGACAGAATCTCATTCTTTTGATGGCTGAATAGCAGTCTATTGTGTATAAGTACCACATTTTCTTTATCCATTCATCTGTTGGTGATCTCAAACTTAACATACCAACATAGAGCTCCTGATCTTCAGCAACCCCTCCCTATTAATCCACTAAACCTTACTGTTTAGTTTTCTCCATCTGTGTCAATGGCAACTCCATCCTTCCAGTTGTTCAGAGCAGATACCCTGAAGTCACCCTCAATCCTTCGCTTTTTTTTTTGTTTGTTTTTTTGTTTGTTTGTTTGTTTGTTTTTTTGAGACGTAGTCTCTCTCCATCACCCAGGCTGGAGTGCAATGGTGCGATCTTGGCTCACTGCAACCTCTGCCTCCTGGGTTCAAGTGATTCTCCTGCCTCAGCCTCCCGAGTAGCTGGGATTACAGGCGCCCGCCACCTCACCTGGCTAATTTTTTTGTATTTTTAGTAGAGATGGGGTTTCACTGTGTTGGCCAGGCTGGTTTTGAACTCCTGACCTCAAGTGATCCTCCACCTTGGCCTCCCAAAGTGATAGGATTACAGGTGTGAGACACCTTGCCCAGCTGATGTTTCACTTTCACACCCCATATCCAGTCAGACAAAAAATCTTGTTGGCTCTACCTTTAAAATTTTATTAAGAACCTGACTACTCTCCTCCTCTGTTATAATAAACCTTGTGCAAGCCACCACTATCTCTTGTTTGGATAACTGCAGTAGCCTCTGTGGTGGACACTTCTAAAATGGCCCCCAGTGATTTCTGCCTTCTGGTATTCACACCTTTGCATAATCCCTTCCCTTTCAGAAACAGCTGGACTTAGTGACTTTCTTCTAAGGCATAGACTATGACAAAAGTTGTGGGATGTACTTCTGAGATTAGAGTATAAAAGACTGTGACACCTCTGTTTGTCTCTCTGTTTTTCTTTCTCTTTCTCTGCCTCCCTCTCTTTTCTGTTTGCTTGCTGTGATGAAGCAAGCTGCCCTGTTGTGAGCTCTCCGGTGGAGAGCCCCACATGGCAAGAAAATGAGAAGCCCCCTGAACAGACAAGAGCTGAGGCCCAGGATACAATATCCTGAAAAAAACTGAATCCTGCTGACAGTTGCCCAAGTGAAGCTGGAAGTGGATCTTTCTGCAGTGGATCCTTGAGATGACTGTAGCCCTGGCTGACAACTTGATTGCTGCCTGTGAAGGACCCTGAACCAGAGGACTCAGCGAAATTGTGCCCAGATTCCTGACCTACAGAGGCAGTGAGATAATAAATGCTGTTGAGGTCACAAAGTTTTGAGGTATTTGTTAATACAGCAATGGATACTTAATACAGCTTCCTACATGGTCTCCCTCCTTCGACCTTTACACTACAATCTGTCGTCCACACAGCAGTCAGAGATCCTTTTAAAACATAAGTCAGATCATCATGACACTCACCTCCCTGCTAAGTGTCCTGCAAGGCCTTTCACGGTCTGATCCCCTATCCTTTCTCTTTCCTCATCTCCTATCACTCTTGCCCTTGCAAATTTTCTTCCAGCACTCTGGCCTCCTTGCTGTTCTTCAGTATGGCAAGCAACCTGCTGCCCGGAGCCCACACACTGACTGTCCCCTCTCCTAGGACACTCTTCCCTCAAGGGCTCCCATATCTTGCCTGCTGGCTCCTGCATCTTCTTCAAGTCTGCTCAAATGTCACCTTCTCAGTGAGGCCCATCCTGGCTATCCTCTTTCAGTTCTGACAGAAAATAATTTATTGCTTTATTACATCATTATTTTGTTGTCTTCCCTCCGTCTGTTCCTACTAAAATTTAATCTCTGAGAAAGCAGAAAACGTTGTCTTGTTCTTTCCTGTAACCCAAGTGCCTTGAACATTGCCTCATTAATTGCTTGCGCTCAGTAATATGTGTTGAATAAATGGGTTAAGTAGTTTATTAATTGTGAAACTAAATCCTGTCTGAAAGGTTTGGAGCAGCTTGTTGAAATAGCAAATGGAGATTCTGTGTTTTAAGTTGTGGCTAAGGTAGAATCATCCATGATGTATGTGGAGCCAGCTCCTGTGTCCTGGACTTAAACATCTGTATCTGACGTGTGGGTAATTATATTGCTATCCTACACCTTTGACCCATTCATCTCGGCTCACCTGTGATCCAGGCTATGCTACTAAAGTTGGGTGAGAGAGTCTGCAACACAAGGAAAACATAGAGCCATCATTTAGTAAATCAAACCCATAATAATACATTTTGTTGTTAAATGTAGCCAATCTCTGAGTATTTTTTATTAAAGTATCTCTAATGTTTAAAAACATCTAACACATTCATCATGTTTCAACTGTCCTCAGCCCCTGCTTGGCTTCCCTCCTGTATGTGTCAGTGCCCAAAGTCCGGAAGGGGCCAAGGTGGCAGGGGTCTGGCGTGTCAGTGCCAACCTCAGTGTGTGCCCACCTGGCTGGGCTGTGACAGTGCCCGGGTTCGGCCCCAACCTTGCTTCATGATTGGAGCGGGCACTGGGAGCAGGGAGAGGCCAGGCAGTGGGAGCAGACACTTCGCAGGGGGGCCTTCCTGGGCCCCCAAGAGCACAGAGATGCCTGGGTTTGCAGCCGGGCCTGGGCAGCTGCAGTGGCACCTGGGGAGGGCAGGGCTTCTGCCTGTTCCATGGAGTGTACAACCCCAGCCGTGCCTCCCTGCTGCAGCCGATGTCTTGGCAGTGGCCACTCTAGATGGGTCACTGCTGCCACCAATATGACATTAATGAAGTAGACTTAAAGTTTTCAGGGGATTTAATTAATCATGATTTTAAGTGGTGCTAATGTTTCTGGAAATTTAATCTCTTAGACTTGACTTATTTGAACATTCA
Organism: Homo sapiens; assembly: GCF_000001405.40. NCBI lineage: Eukaryota > Metazoa > Chordata > Mammalia > Primates > Hominidae > Homo > Homo sapiens. The sequence goes on along the minus strand of NC_000003.12, from coordinate 40,444,981 downwards.
TCATAGAGCAAGCTAAAGTTATTGTTTCTAATTTACATAAAAATTACTACCTATAAAACAGAATAATAACTTTACAAGTTGAAATAAAAGGTTTAAGAAAATCTAGGTTTTTAAACATAAGACTTTAAAAATTAAATATTATTTTAATGGCTAGTAACTGTTGATAGTCCATTTGTGCACAACAACCCCCCTTGGGCATTTGAAAATAAAAATCTCTACTGACCATTTTGAAAGAATGAGTTTGAGGATACATCCACAGGTTGGAGCTTCAGCATGAGCAGGACATGGAGAGCCCAGGAAACTTGAGCGAAATCATAGGGTCACATCTGAAGAAGAAGTTGATTACATTCAATTCTGGTCACCTGGCCCATTAGTGGTGGCATCAGACCCAGAAGAGGCATCTGGAGGGGAGTTAGTGTGCATCAATTTTAGCAATGAGTTATAGAGTCTCTCAATAACTGTGGCTTAAACATTTATTTTCCTCTTTTGTGGGGGTCCTGAGCTGGCCTGGTCCCTCAGCTCAGGGACCCAGCTTACTCTCCCTACATCCCTAACATCCATGAGGTGGCTCTTATTCTCATTACTTCAGGCCTACAGATCCTGCCCTTACACTTTGCAGCAGGATAAAGGAAAAGGGCAAAAGATGGGTGTCCACTGTTCTCTCAGGAAGAGTCTTGGTTGCCATATCAGGACACTTCTGCTTCCTTTCCGTTGGCCAGAACTCAGCCTCATTACCAAACCTACAAGCAATGCTGGGAAATTGAGTCTCCACTTCTGGTGGCTATGAGCCTTGCTAAAAATCAGATATTCTAGAACTATTACTATGGAAAAAAGCAAAAGTAAATATCAGGAAATGGGTACTTACTACTTACACATGTTATGTGGGCAGCAGCAAGCTATAGGATGTGAAATTTTAAATCTTAAGACTTTATATGGAAATGGCACAGTTGAAATAGGATGGAAATGATAGTCATAAGTAGTCACTGAAATCTATACAGGAAAACATAGGCTTGTTCCTGCAATGTCACAAAACACCAGCTGGGGATTTTGTTCAAAACCCCAAAAATGTCATTTTAGGGCAGATAAGTGTTCTTTTAGAAACAGCATTTTAGAAACAATCAAAAAACCGCCAAACTGAGGAACAAATTAGCCTATGAGGAGGTATACATGGAAAGTATAAATTGGGTCTAAACCTTTTTCTCTCTTTCTGTTTCTTTCTTTGTTTCTTTGTTTGTTCTTTCTTTCTTTCTTTCTTTTCCTTTCTTTCCTTTTCTTTCTTTCTCTTTCTTTCTTTCCTTCCTTCCTTCCTTCCTTCCTTCCTTCCTTCCTTCCTTTCCTTTCCTTTCCTTTCTTTCTTTCTTTCTTCCTTTCTTTTCTTGCGATTTTCCTGCCTCAGCCTCCCGAGTAGCTGCTATTACGGGGGCCTGCCACCATGCCTGGCTAATTTTTTTTTTTTTTTTTGTATTTTTTAGTTGAGACAGGGTTTCAGTACGTTGGCCAGGCTGGTCTCGAACTCCTGACCTTGTGATCCGCCTGCCTCGGCCTCCCAAAGTGCTGGGATTAGAGACATGAGCCACCATGCCCGGCCCTAAAACTTTTTCATATGCATACATATTTTTTGAGATGGAGTCTCACTCTGTCACCCAGGCTGGAGTGCAGTGGCACAGTCTTGGCTCGCTGCAACCTCTGCCTCCTGGGTTCAAGCGATTCTCCTGCTGGGATTACAGGCGTGCACCACCATGCTTGGGTAGTTTTTGCATTTTTAGTAGAGTCGGGGTTTCACCATGTTGGCTAGGCTGGTCTCAAACTCCTGACCTCAAGTGATCTGCCCACCTCAGCCTCCCAAAGTGCTGGGATTACAGGCATGAGCCACTGCACCCAGCCAAGTATCTTTTTTTTTCTTTTTCTCTTCTTTTCTTTTTTTCTGATGGAGTCTCACTCTGTTGCCCAGGCTGGAGTACAGTGGCTTGATCTCAGTTCACTGCAACCTCCCCCTCCCAGGTTCAAGCGATGCCCCTGCCTCAGCCTCCCAAGTAACTGGGATTACAGGAAGCCACCACCACCCCAGCTAATTTTTGGATTTTTAGTAGAGTCTGGGTTTTGCCATGTTGGCCAGGCTGATCTTGAGCTCCTGACCTCAGGTGATCTGCCCGTCTTGACCTCCCAAAGTGCTGGGATTACAGGCGTGAGCCACCGTGCTCCGCCTAAAGCTTTTTCATAATTTAATCAATGGCATATTCCTAGGAGAAACCATAAAACGTTAAAATAAACTGCTTTGCTTACACAGAAAACAGCCTTCTTGTATAAAATCCTGGGCTGGAAGTTCTTGTCAACAGGTTACCCTTCTATTTTTTATTTTTTATTTTTTTTTGAGACAGAGGCTCACTCTGTCACCAGGCTGGAGTGCAGTGGCATGATCTCAGCTCACTGCAACCTCCACCTCCCAGGCTCAAGGTATCCTCCCACCTCAGCCTCACAAGTAGCTGGGACTACAGGTACAGCCACCATGCCTGGCTAATTTTTTTGGGGGTATTTTTTTGTAGAGACGAGGTCTTGCCATGTTGCCTAGGCTGGTTTCAAATTCCTGGGCTCAAGCAATCTGCCTGCCTAAGCCTCCCAAAGTGCTAAGATTACAGGCATGAACCACTTCGTAACCACCATCCAGACCAAAATACAGAACATTTCTGTGGCCGAATTAAGTTCCCTCTTTCTTCTTAACTTCATTTCCTGGAGTCTACCACTATTGTGCCTCTATATCACCATAGATTCCTCTTGTTTATTCTTGGCCTTCATATAAATTGTATCATACAGTATGTATTCTTTTGGGTCTGATTTTTTCAGCTCAACATTATGTCTGTGAGAGTCATCCATGTTATTCTAGGTATTAGGAGTTCAATCCTTTTTATTGCTCAGTAGTATTCCATTGCATGAGTGTAACACAATTTTTTTTTTTTTGAGATGGGTTCTCACTCTGTCCTCCAGGCTGGAGTGCAGTGGTGCAATCATGGATCACTACAGCCTCGACCTCCTGGGCTCCAAGTAACCCTCCTGCCTCAGCCTTCCAAGGAGCTGGGACTACAGGCACACATCACCACACCTGGCCATTTTTTTTTTTTTTTTTGGTAGAGCGGGGGTCTCACTAGGTTGCCTCCCCAAGTGCTGGGATTACAGATATGAGCCACCACGCATGGCCCAGATGTAAAGTTCTATCAACTTCATCATCATCTTTTTTTTTTAATTATACTTTAAGTTCTAGGGTACATGTGCACAACGTGTAGGTTTATTACATATGTATACATGTGCCATGTTGGTGTGCTACACCCATTAACTCGTCATTTACATTAGGTATATCTCCTAATGCTATCCCTCCCCACTCCCCCCACCCCACAACAGGCCCCGGTGTGTGATGTTCCCCTTCCTGTGTCCAAGTGTTCTCATTGTTCAATTCCCACCTATGAGTGAGAACACGCGGTGTCTGGTTTTCTGTCCTTGCGATAGTTTGCTGAGAATGATGGTTTCCAGCTTCATCCATATCCCTACAAAGGACATGAACTCATCCTTTTTATGGCTGCATAGTATTCCATAGTGTATATGTGCCACATTTTCTTAATCCAGTCCATCATTGATGGACATTTGGGTTGGTTCCAAGTCTTTGGCTATTGTGAATAGTGCCACAATAAACATACGTGTGCATGTGTTTTTATAGCAGCATGATTTATAATCCTTTGGGTATATACCCAGTAATGGGATGGCTGGGTTAAATGGTATTTCTAGTTCTAGATCCTTGAGGAATTGCCACACTGTCTTCCACAATGGTTGAACTAGTTTGCAGTCCCACCAACAGTGTAAAAGTGTTCCTATTTCTCCACATCCTCTCCAGCACCTGTTGTTTCCTGACTTTTTAATGATCGCCATTGTAACTGGTGTGAAATAGTATCTCATTGTGGTTTTGATTTGCATTTGTCTGATGGCCAGTGATGATGAGCATTTTTTCATGTGTCTATTGGCTATTTCCTTTAGAGGCTACTGAGTCACTTCATTCTGGCTGGTCCCCTCTACACCTTCATCACCATCCTGGAGATTTCCTTCCCATTTTCTCCCATATTGGATCTCCTTTTTTTCTGGAGTCGATGCCTTTTGTTTCCTTGGTTTAGTCTCTTCTTTTGGTGGAACACACCTTCCAGTTAGCTCCCTGTAAAAGGAAGCTGTCAGAAAATGTCTCTCTTCTATTCTCATACCTAATTGATCATTTTTGGCTGGATACAGAACTCTAGCTCAAACATGATTTTCCCTCAGAATTTTGAAGGCATTACTCCATTGGCTTCTTGCTTCCAGAGTTATTGTTGAGAAAACTAAATCCATTCTCATCTTGATCATTTGTATGTGGCCTGTTTTTTTTTTCTCCCTCTCTGAAAGTTTATAAGGGGTATTCTTTTTCTTTTTAATGTTCTGAACTTTTATAGCATTGTACATTGGTGTAAAGTAATTTTTATTTATTGGGCTGGGCCCTTTCAATCATGTCCATATCCTTCTGGTCAGGGTAAAATTTTCCATGTATTTCATGGGTGATTCTTCTTTTTGAAACTTGTGTTATTCAGATGGGGGTTTTGGTGGGCTAGTCTTAGAATTTTGTCTTCTTACTCTTTTTCCCATTTCTTTGTGTTTTTTCTTTCCTTTCTGAGGGTTTGCCTCAATGCTATCTTTCAACCCTTCTAGCGAGTTCTTAATGTCTGCTATCATGTTTTAAATTTCCAAGAACTGTTTCTTTGTTCTGAATATCTCATCTTTCCTTTAAAAAAAATTGTTTCTGAGCTAGATGTGGTGGGGTGTGCCTGTAGTTCCAGCTACTTGGGAGGCTGAAGTGGGAGGCTTGGGCCCAGGTTTTCAAGGCCAGCATGAGCAACATAGCAAGATCCTGTCTTAAAAAAAAAAAAAAAGAAAAAGAAAAAAATTGTTTCTATTTCATTGATGCAGTGTCCCTTATTTTTCTTATAATATTAATGAGTTTCTTTTTTTTGTTTAAAATATTTTTTTCCTTGCATAGTTTCTGTTTCTGCCAATTCATTTTTTCTTTTAGTTTGTTAGGCTCTTTATCCATATAATCTAGCTAATGGGTTTTGGCAGGCTAATGAATATATAAATTTGGAGTCAAGGGAAGAGGTTGGAGAATAAAAATTTTATCCAACTCAGAGAGCTGTTATAAAAATTAAGTGATGTAATGCATATAATTTGCTTAGCACAGGTCTGGAATATAGTAAGCATTCAAATGTTAGATGTTATTTTTTATTTTATTATTTAATGGCTGCATCATACTCTTTTAGCATAGCATATAGATGAACATAATTCACCTCGCCATTCCTCTACTGCTATTGAAGATCGGGCTTACTTTTTCACTTTTTACTATTATATAAATAGGGATTGGTATTTTTCTGAAAGCAGCTTTAGTCACATATTTTTAAACTTTCATTATGTAATATATATTTTTTTGAGACAGGATTTTGATCTGTTACCCAGGCTGGAGCACAGTGGCACGATCATAGCTTACTGCAGCCTTGACTTCCCAGGCTCAATCTGTTCTCCTTCCTCAGCCTTCTGGTTAAGCTGGGACTACAGGCACGTGACCCACACCCAACTAATTAATTTTTTTTTTTTTTTTTTTTTTTTTTTTGTAGAGGTAGGGTTTCTTTATGTTGCCTAGGCTGGTCTCAAACTCCTGAGCTCAAGCAATTCTCCTGTCTTGGCCTTCCAAAGTACTGGTATTACAGGTGTGAGTTACCGTGCCCAGACTCATTATGGAATTTTCAATCATGTACAAAAGTAAAGAAAATGGTATAATAAACTCCTGCATACCCATTATTTAGTTTCAACAATAGCCATTTTTGGTCAAGTATCCAAAGATGTTCATGTTTAATGGGCCATCTTGTTTTATCTATAGTATATGGATTCTATACCAGTGCTGTCTAATAAAAATATAATGTAAACTACAAAGGAAAACCATGTTTGTAATTTAAAACCTAACTTAATGTAACCTAAAATGTTCTAGTAGCTACATTTGAAAAATATGAAAGAAAGAAGTGAAATTTATTTATTTATTTATTTAAGACAGGGTCTTACTCTATTGCCCAGGCTGGAGTGTAGTGGTGCAATCATAGTTTGTTGAAGCATCAAATTCCTGGACTCAACCGATCTTCCAGCCTCAGCCTCATGAGTAGCTAGGACTATAGGCATGTGCCAACAGGCCTGCTAATTTTTAAAGTTTTTGTACAGACAGAGTCTCCCTGTGTTGCCCAAGCTGGTCTGGAACTCCTGGCCTTAAGTGATCCTCCCATCTCACCTCAGCCTCCCAAAGTGCTGAGATTATAAGTGTGAGCCATTGTGCCTGGCCTGTGAAATTAATTTTAATAATACATTTTATTTTACTCAATGTATCCAAAATATTGTTTTAATATATAACCAGTTTCCAAGTTATTAATGACATATTTTAATTTTTTTGGTACTAAGTCTTCAAAATCTAGTGTGTACTTTACATTCATTGCATATCTCAACTGGACTAGCTCAATAGCCATATGTGCCTAGTGGCTCCCCTATGAGAAAATGTGAATATGCTCACCAAACAGGATTAATGTGAAGCAGATCCCAGACATTATATCAGTGTATCCATAAATATTTCAATATGTATCTGTAATAACAATGTCCGTATTTTTAAAAAAGGTTTCCTTAGAATTAATTTTTAGAAATACGGTTGTTGGATTGAGGAATGTGCACTTTTAAAATCTTGCAGCATATTATAGCTACTTTTTCGGAACGTTAGATTAATTTACACTCCTTTCTGGAGTGTGTGATGGAGCCCATGTCACCCTCATAGAGTGTATTTGGATCCCTGACCATGGTTCTGAAATCTACAGAAAGGCAGTAAGACTTCCTCTCTGTTGTGAGAGGTCAAATTTTGTTTTGTTTTGTTTTAATGGCTTAAAACAAGTTTTATTCTCTTACAGTTCTAAAGGTCAGAAGTCTGAATTCAGTTTTACTGGGCTAAAGTCAACGTTTTGGCTTTTAGAGGTTCCTTTTGGAGACTCTGAGGGGATAATTTGTTTCCTTGCTTTTTCAGCTTCTCATGGCCACCTATGTTCCTTGACTTGCCCCTTCCTCCATCTTTCAAGTGCATCATCCCAATCTTTACTTGTATTCATCACACCGCCTTTTCATCTGTGAGAAGTCAAGTTCTAGTGATGATTCAGAGGTGACTTTTAAGCAGATAAGAGCAAAGGGACACAAGCAGGAACCTGCCAGACATAGTGGTGTGTACATGTAGTCCCAGCTACTTGGGAGGCTGAGAAGGAAGGATTGCATGAGCCCAGGGGTTCAAGTCCAGCCTCAGCAACATAGACCCCATCTCTAAAATAAATGAATAAATAAATAAATAAAATAAAATAAAATAAAAACATGGGCTTCTTGGAACTCTACTTTTATTTAGAAAAGAAGAAAGCAGATGACAGAAGATAGAGGGAGGTAACAATAACAAGAGAGACAGACTTCTGGGTAAAAATGGCTGATAAAACACAAACTGATATCTAAGTGCATATCTTCCTGATGCCTGACTAGAACAACAGTGGGGGCTGTCCTTAAATACTTGCCTTGTTTTCTTTCTTTCTTTTCTTTTCTTTTCTTTTCTTTCTTTTTCTTTTTCTTTTCTTTTCTTTTTTTTTTGAGATGGAGTCTCCCTCTGTTGCCCAGGCTCGAGTGCAGTGGCACAATCTCGGCTCACTGCAACCTCCGCCTCCTGGATTCAAGCGATTCTCCTGCCTCAGCCTTCCGAGAAGTTGGGATTATAGGCACCTGCCATCCTGCCCAGCTAATTATTGTATTTTTAGTAGAGATGAAATTTCACCATGTTGGTCAGGCTGGTCTCGAACTGCTGAGCTCAGGTGATCCACCCGCCTTGGCCTCCCAAAATGCTGGGATTACAGGCATGAGCGAGCCACCACTCCTGGCACCTCGTTTGTTTTCTGTTTAAGGTGAGGGGATAAAAAGCTGATTGGAAGTTTTGAGTTATTGATTCAAGCTTCACTGTAGGATAATCTGACTAGCAAACTGCAAATGCCAGCACATTTGTGTCCTTTCTCCTGGACTTCTTGGATTCCTCACAAAAGAATCTTCCAAAGTCCTGACTAGAGGGTAGAGTTAACCTAGAACCTGGGAGTTGATGGGGTTAGAGGCTTGGAGTCTAAACACTGAATATGCCTTGGTTTCCTTAATCTTGTTGTTTTGGTATGACACCTCCACCTGTAACTGTGCCTTGTGCCTTCCAGTTCCTGTGCTTGGGTTAGGAAGAGGCAGTCACTCATCAGCAAAGAGTAGAAGGTATCTAGGAACCACTATTCTTTTTTTTTTTTTCTTTTCGAGAAGGAGTCTTGCTCTGTCGCCCAGGCTGGAGTGCAGTGGTGCAATCTCGGTTCACTGCAACCTCTGCCTCCCGCGTTCAAGCGATTCTCCTGCCTCAGCTGCCTCAGTCTCCTTAGTATCTGGGATGACAGGTGCTCTACCACACCTGGCTAATTTTTGTATTTTTAGTAGAGACAGAGTTTCACCATGTTGGCCAGGCTGGTCTTGAACTCCTGACCTCATGATCCACCCGCCTCAGCCTCCCAAAGTGCTGGGATTACAGGCATGAGCCACTGCACCTGGCCAGAATCACTATTCTTAAACAGCTTTAATTATCTTTATTTTGTGCTTGCCAACCCAACTTGCAGCTGTACTTGATGCCACAGATTCCTGAGCTTTTTGAGAACACTGCTGTTTACATTGGTTGATTTTTTATTTTCTCATTGTTTTAGGATTGTGCTTTCTTGGGTCTGCTAAGTCAGTTACCCCTGGTCCACCATGCCAAAATGTTTTTGTTGTTTTCTTTTCTTCTTTTCTCTCCATGCTTATGGATATGTGCTGGTATAAACAGTTTTTGTTTTTTTAAGAAAATAGTCTGGATCTTAACCTTCCTCTTACTAAACCCTCTCTCCCTGCTATATTCACATGTCATTTAATAGCAACTCTATCCTTTCAGTCACTCAGGCAAAAATATTGGAATAACTTTTAACCCCTCTTTTTCTCTCTCACTCCATGTACATTCATCAGCAAACACTGTGGGCTCTACTTTCACATATATCCGGGGTCTGACCATTGCTCACAGCCTCTACTGCTACCAACCTGATCCAAGCCATCAGCATTTCTCATCTGGATTATTAAAATCACCCACCAACTGGTTTTCCTGTTTCTGCTCTTGTCTCCTTTGTTTTTTATCACTGTAACTAGAAACAGAAGCCAGATACCCCTCCTTTGTTCAGAACTCTAAATGGGGCCCCCTTGCACCATCTACTCCGTCTTAACTCCCTTACCCTATCTCCTCCATCTTCCAGTCATTTATTCTGCTCCAATCACAATGGCCTTTGTATTTGTGGTCTCTTTTGCTTAGAATGCTCTTCCTCCAGATATTCAAATGGCCGACTCCTTCACATTTTCCAAGTGTTCGTTCAGACGTCACCTTATCTGAAAAGACTTTTCTGACCTAATGGCGTCCCCATCTCATGCTCCTGGCACTTTCCTTTCCCCTTACTTTTCTTTATATTTCTCCAGATCACTTATAATCCCCTGTACAGTGTGTATTTAGTTGGTTAGTGTCTGTCTCCCCCACTAGAACGTTGGCTCCCTGAAGGCAAGGACTTTGTCTACATTGTTAATTGGTGGAGTTATGCCACCTACACAGGATCTTACTCAGAGGATGAATTCAATCAATATTAGTTGAATGAACAAATGAACAAGCAGTTGAATTGAATGGCTGTATTAAAGGAAACTGAGGCATAGAAAACTTAAGATTTTTAGACAAAGATCACACAACAATGAACAGCAGAACTAGGATGTGTGAACCAGGTTTTTGTGATGTGAAAGCCTGAGTTCTTAATCATTTTGTTTGATATTTGGGAATAATTTTTAATGAGATCTGAAAATGCTAATGGTATAATGCTGTGAACGAAGGAAATATAAAATTGTAATTCCAGCATGATCTTAACTATGTACAAATATGTAGAGAAAAAGATTCAGAAAGAAAAATATCAAATATACAGCAGTGAGATTCTGCGTGTTTATATATATATATATATATATATATATTTTTTTTTTTTTTTTTTTTTTTTTTTTTTTGAGACAGTTTCATTCTTGTTGCCCAGGCTGGAGTGCAATGGCATGATCTCAGCTCACCACAACCTCCGCCTTCCGGGTTCAAGCAGTTCTCCTGCCTCAACCTCCCAAGTAGCTGGGATTACAGGCATGCACCACGATGCCCAGCTAATTTTGTATTTTTAGTAGAGACAGGGTTTCTCCAGGTTGGTCAGGCTGGTCTCGAACTCCTGACCTCAGGTGATCTGCCCGCCTCAGCCTCCCAAAGTGCTGGGATTATAGGCGTGAGCCTCCATGCCTGGCCTCAAAATATGTATTTTAACTTTTATTTAGAAAATTGTAAACATACACAAAGCAGATAGAATACTATAATAAACTCCTATGTCTCATCACCCCAACCTCAAGGACCATCAAAGTATGGGCCAGTTCTACCCCTACATTCTCCCTCCCCTGTAATTTTGAATCAATTCACAGATGTGGTGGTCAATTTTATGTGTCAACTTGGCTAGACTATAGCACCCAGTTATTTGTTAATCTAGGTGTAGCTGTGAAAGTATTTTGTGGGTGTGATTACTGCCCATAATTAGTAGATTTTTAAGGGGACTTATCCTAGATAATCTGGGTGAGCCTGATTAAATCAGTTGAAAATCCATAAGAGCAGAACTGGGACTTCTCTGAGAAGGAAGAAATTCTATCTGTGGACTGTAGCTTTAGTTCATGCCTGAGGGTTCCAGCCTGCTCTTCCTGATGGCCTGCCCTGTGGATTTAGGACTTGCCTAGCTAGCCCCATAGTCTCACAAGCCAATTCCTTGCAATAGATCTCTTAATACTGGCTCTATTTCTCTGGTTGAACTTTGACTGATACGCCAGACGTATCATTTCATCTGGAAACAGTTCAGCAAGTATCTAAACCAGAGGTCCCCAACCCTCAGCCAGGCAGTAGACCAGTACTGGTCCGTGGCCTGTTTAGGAACCGGGCTGCGCAGCAGGTGTTGAGCAGCGGGCAAACCAGCATTACCATCTGAGCTCCGCCTCCTGTCAGATCAGCAACAATGCGAACCCTATTGTGAACTGCGTGTGTGAGGGATCTAGGTTTGCTCCTTATGAGAATCTAATGCCTGATGATCTGAGGTGGAACAGTTTCATCCTGAAACCATCTGTGCATCCCCACCCAGCCCCACACTGTCCGTGGAAACATTGTCTCCCTTGAAACCGGTTTCTGGTGCCAAAAAGGTTGAGGACCATTGATCTAAACAGCAAGGGTTCTTGAAAAAAAAATCCAAGATACCATTATTTCATTTAGTTATTTACTTATTTTGAGACAGAGTCTTGCTCTTCTGCTCAGGCTGGAGTGCAGTGGCGTGATCTCGGCTCACTACAACTTCCACCACCTAGGTTCAAGTGATTGTCTTGGCTCAGCCTCCCGAGAAGCTGGGATTACAGGTGTGCACCACCACACCTGGCTAATTTTTGTATTTTTTGGTAGAGACGGGGTTTCACCAAGTTGGCCAGGCTGGTCTCGAACTCCTGACCTCAAGTAATCCATCTGCCTCAGCCTTTCAAAGTACTGGGATTACAGGCATGAGTCATGGCGCCAGGCCGGTTCCATTATTTTACCTAAACAAAAATTAACAGGAATTCCTTGATAATGTTCAGTGTTCAGATTTCCAATTATCTCCTTATTTTATACTATTAAAACTATTTTTGAACTAATGATTTTTTTTTCTAATACCTTTAGAGAGGTTTAAAAAAAGGGTGGGAGGCTCACCCTGGGAAGAATTTTTTCCATAGCTCCAACAGAGGGCATTCAAGTCTCATGTTTCGAGAGAAAAGACAGTTGTCTCATTTCTATTACACCCTTAGTCATTTAGCTCAGGGCTTGTCGCACAGTAGACTTTTGGTGAAAGTATCATGAGTGAATAAGTAAATGGGTGAAATAAATATGTTTTAAAACTTGTATTTATTAGCTACATCCATGTCAGGCACTGGCTAAGTGCTGTATTTTCTCTTAACTATCCCATGAGGTAGGTATTATGCCTGTTTTATATATGGAGGAAGTCAAGACTCAAGGAGACTGAAAGATATGATGAAAACCATAGAGGTAATAAGGAGAAAATTCTTGAGTTAACCCAGATCTGTCACTTTATATTGTAGTATAGGACATACAGATGATGTATAAATGGTTGAAAAAGGGAACATCTGTAACCACTACCTAGTTGTAGAATAACACTGTCACCCCAGAAGCCCTGTTGTTATGAACTGAATATTTGTGATCCCCCAAATTTATATGTTGAAGCCCTAACCCCCAGTGTAGGATTTGGAGATGGAGCCTTTGGGAGGGTAGATAACTAGGGTTAGACAAGGTTATGAAGGAGTGGCCCTCATGGTGGGATTAATGCCCTTGTCAGAAGAGATCCCAGAGTGCCCTCTCTCTCTCTCTCACTCTCTCTCCCTGAGAGCTCAGAGGAAAGGCCGTGTGGACACAGCATAAAGGCCACCATCTGCAAGCCAGGAATTGAGCCCTCACCAGGAATTAGTCAGCTGATGCCTTGATGTTGGAATTCCCAGGCTCCAAAACTGTGAGAAGATTAATTTCTGTTGTTTAAGCCACTCAATTTATAGTATTTTATTATGGCAGTTCAAGCAGCCTAAGACACCCATTTATCCTTTTCCAGATACAGCCTCCATCTCCTCCCAAATTTCAAAGTAATAATTTCCTTGCTTTTCTTTAGCGTTTAACCTTCTGTGTTTAGTTTTGCCTGTTTTTAAATTTTGTATTAGGCCAGGTGCAATGGCTCACGCCTGTAATCCCAGCACTTTGGGAGGCCGAGGCAGGGGGATCACGAGGTCAGGAGTTTGAGACCAGCCTGGCCAACATGGTGAAACCCTGTCTCTACTAAAAATACAAAAATTAGCTGGGCGTGGTGGCAGATGCCTGTAATCCCAGGAGGCTGAGGCAGGAGAATCGCTTGAACCCAGGACGTGGAGGTTGCAGCGAGCCAGGATTGAGCCACTGCACTCCAGCATGGGTGACAGAGCGAGACTCCATCTCAAAACAAAAATAAAACAAAACAAAAACAAACAAAAAACCTTTTGATTATGTAGTTCTTTTGTTTTCATTGATGTACAGTATTTTCTAGTATGGCTGTATCGCTATTTATTTATTCATTTATTCCGTAGGATAGGCATCTTGGTTGCTGCTTAAAACATTCTTAGGCATGTATCCTGGTATATCTAAGACTATATATCGCTAAGGTATATACTTTGGACTGGAATTTCTTCAACTTTATTAGACAATACCTCCATTTTCCAGAGTGGTTGCATTAATTTACATTCCTACAGCAGTATAGGAGAGTTCCAGTTCCACATCCTCACTAATTTTGGTATTGTCAGACTTCTAAGTTTTGCCAAACGAATGAGCATATTGTACTATTTCTCTGTAGTTTTAATTTGCATTATCCCAATAATGAGATTGAGCATCTTTTCCTATGTTTATTAGACACTTAGTTGTCTCCTTTTGAAAAGTGTCTTCTCAAGACTATTGCCTGTTTAGAAAAATTGAATCATCTTCCTTTTTCTTACTGATTTGTAAGTGTTGTTCATATAATTTGGAAAGTAGTCCTTTATCAGTTATATATGTTGTAAATACCTTCTTCCACTCTGTGGCTTGTCTTTTCACTCTTTTAATGATGTTTTTTGAGGAACAGAAGTTTTACATTTTAATGTATTAAATACTTTCTTATGGTTAATGCTTTTTGTGTAGTGTTTAAGAAACCCTTCCCTTACCCAGTATCCTAAAAATATTCTCCTACATTTTCTTCTAAACCTTTATAGGTTTTTCACACTTAGGTCTTTAAGCTACCTGGAAACATTTCTTGCAAGTGGAGTGAGGAAAGGGTCAAATTCATTTTTTCTCCATTAAGATATCCAATTGTCCTGCATTTTCCCACTGCTCTGATGTGACACCTCTGTTATAAATCAGGTGTCTGTATGTGAATGGGTATGTTAGACTACGGAAATATAAAGCCAAATTCCTAACTACTATATGATACTGCCTTTCTGTGTGAAAGGCAAAGTTATGCAATGGGTTTTAGACTCAACCAGGCCCAAAGCTCAAGCCCCGATCCCTATTCCCCAAATCACTCAGTGACTGAGTAATGCTGTCAGGTACTTTTACCTCTGAACCCATGCTTTTTTTACATAGCTGTGATTAGGAATAGACACTATTTGTGCTACTCATCACTTTTATCTTCACATATTTCAAATCAAAAGACTTGCTTTGGTTGGAGCTTTGGGGTTTGGGGTTCTATAGTTGTATTAGTTTACTGTGACTGTGTAACAAATTGCCACAAATTTAGTGGCTTTAAACGTCATCTTTTTGTTACTTTATAGTTTTGTAGGTCAGAAGTCAGAGTGGGCTCAACTGGGTTCTCCACTTAGGGTCTCAGTAGGCTGAAATCAAGATATGATCTGACCTGGACTCTTATCTGAAAGCTCTGGGGGAAAATATGCTTCCAAGTTCATTCAGGTTGTTGGCAGAATCCAGCTCCTTGCAGCTGTAGGGCTGAGGTTCCTGGTTTTTTGCTGATGCCGCCAGGGATTGCTGTTAGTTTCTAGAGGCTGCACTTAGGGCCTTTGCACACGGCGCCCTCCATCCCCAAGCCGGCAACTGCATGTGGAATTCTTCTCATGCTTTGAATCTCTGACTTCGTCTTCTGGAGAAAATGCTCTGCCTTTAAAGAGCTCATGTGGTGAGGTTAGACCTACCTGGATAAGCTCTCCATTTTAAGGTCAACTGATTTGTAATTACATCTGCAAAATCCTTTTGCCATGTGACAATGTAACCACATAATTGGAGTAACACCAGAGGGGGAAGGAGTATTCTGTTCACCACAGTAACAGTGCTAGATATGCCACTTGAACTGCAGATTTCACAATGGTCTATCTATAAAAATTCTTGTGTGTGTGTGTGTGTGTGTGTGTGTGTGAGAGAGAGAGAGAGAGAGAGAGAGAGAGAGATAGTTTTGCTCTGTTACCCAGGCTGGAGTGCAGCGGCATGATCTCGGCTCACTGCAACCTCCACCTCCCAGGCTCAAGCAATCCTCTTACCTCAACCTCCCAAGTAGCTGGGACTCCAGGTGTGCCCACAACTTCTGGCTAATTTTTGTATTTTTTGGAGAGAAGAGGTTTTGCCACGTTTCCCAGGCTGCTCTCGAACTTCTGGGCTCAAGGAATCCCTCCTGCCTCAGCTACTCCCAAAAGGCTGAGATTACAGGTGTGAGCTACTGCACCCAGTCAAAAATTCTTCGGTGTGTGTCAGAAAACCTGAAGTACCTCAGTTTATTCTAACTTCCCAAATGAGTTAGAAATGTTGACTAGGATTTGCCTTCATGGAGCTTTGGCTCTCTTTCTTGCACATACAAATTTTTTTTCTTGCAAACTCTTGGTGATTTGGATGCTGTTTTTTCCCTGCTATCTCTATAGTTTATTGCCCATTTCTTAGTCACTCATGGAAACAACCTCAATCAACAAATATGAATAAATACTATGTTCATAGCATATGTCCAAATCCAAAATCACACGTAAAAGGTATCAGCCATAATAGGTGTTTTTAGATGTCTGTTGAATAAATGAGGAGTGATGTACAATAGGCTTTGCCCTTAAGTAGCCTACTCTGTCTTTTAGAAATAAGCTGTACACATATGCCAAGATAAATAACAATATGAGGACTTACGTGGCTGGTTTTGAAAAAGTGGTCCAGGAGATAGAGCATAGTATGTGTGTGCAAGGAAAGCTTTGTGGAAGACTTATATGAAGGAACTGGACCTTGAGAAACATACATGATTTGGATGGGTGGGAGGAGGATCTATAATATAGTAGAGAGGATGGCGGGAGCAAAGGTACAGTTTGGGATAGGAGTAGCCGTTCTGGATGAGAACCAAGATTTGAGTGTCAGGTTGTGGACTCACAGAGGCTTAGAATTTCAAATAAGGTACAGAAATGCTTGACTCAATAATCTCAAGCAGTCAAAGGTTTATCAAAGTAAAAGCACTTTGAACTCTCTGGAATAAAGGTGATATTAATGAATGGGTTTCTTAATTTGCTAGGGAAAAAAATTTCTCTCATAAATATCACCTAGGGTCCTTAGGAGAAAGAGTACCATATGGAAGTTAACACACACACACCCCTTGCAAGTCAAAATAAAATAATAGTTCTTTATTCCATATTCAGCTAAGAAACAGCAATATGAAATAATGCTGATTTTTAGTTTGTAGCCATTGGATTTGCTGGAGTTCTTTCTCATTCGACTTTGGAGATAAATATTCCTGCAGCTTCCTTTTCTTTCCCCAAAGTCAAGACCTATGACTACTATGCAGAGAGGTCTATGATCTGGGAAAGTAATTGGTTAGTAAATCATAGAGTAGGATGTTCGTTCTATGACAACATCAAGTATACTTGTGGGAATGGTGACAAAAATATATACACCATGATAACAATGGAAAGTCAGCCCTTTGCTAAGCAAAAGCCTAGCAAAGGCAGTAAAATCTGGAATGCAATAATCTTGCTAGGGATCAATGTGTTTTTATGGGAGGGCATAGCAATACAATGGTGAGATGAGGATGATGACAAACACACAGGTTGCAATCTAGTGACCAGAGCCCTAAGTGGGAATTCCACTTGGAGAATGGTCTATAGTTTTCTGGGAGACCTTTTTTATGTCTCTGTGCTTCGGGATCTACCTGTATGACAGAAGCCTGGCTGTGGCTGCTGCCCTGAAGGAAGTAAGTCTTCTCCCCCAGATACTATATTCTACTGATCTGAGGGGGTTCACTGCTTACGAGATTGCTACAAGAAAGTCTTAGTTAAAGACCAATGGGAAAAACTATAAAATGAGATTCTGATTGGCGAAATGCTTAATGGGTATCTTGCCAGGAAGAATACTGAGGGAGGGAAATGGAAACTGAGCCCTGAGGTCAATTCTTCAACATTAAACTGATACCTTCTCAACTTACTCTTCCTCTGGGGAACTTAATATAAAGAGCCTGACCTTCGTGGCCTGTCTCTTCTCTGTTCCCCAATAGATCAGCATGTGGGTAGTGAGGTCTCTGAAGAACAATATGCACAGAATAGCCAAGGGATGCCTCAAGAGGTGCTGTGGCAGAAATCAGTATTTGAGAGGCACGTGACCTAGGTGTTTGATTTTAGTTAGTTGTATTTCCTGAAGGCAGCCACTTCACCTGCATTGCCTGGTGCCACCCAGGCTGACTCTAAGCAGCCATTGGACTCCAGGAGCTGCTTTGAAGGCTCAGTCAGAATCCACTGCATGGTCAAAGGCATGCTCGGAGTGCCTCTTTCTTCTGGTTGCTGAACACAGGTATGCAAGAAATGCCAGACACAGCAAGGCTGCCGCTGTGAAGAAAGCGAGGGTGCCCACAAAGACAGGTGGTTCTATGGGCAGACGGATCAGAGGGCTTTCAGCTGGGATCTGGTTGGTCAGGCTGAGCATGTAGCCAAGAGACCAGGCTATGCTGCTATTCCCCACCTGTGGAGTAGAGGAGATGGCTCAGCGCTCAGGGCAAGGCTCAAGGCTGCAATCACATACCGGAGTCATACTGCTATCAACCTCACAAAGCTCCCATGGGAAATTGTGGCCCAAAGAGGTCAAAGGACTTGCCCAAGTTAAGACACCACACTGTAGCCACAAAGGCTTGGGGAAATCTCACC
The DNA here is from genome assembly GCF_000001405.40 of Homo sapiens. Classification (NCBI taxonomy): domain Eukaryota; kingdom Metazoa; phylum Chordata; class Mammalia; order Primates; family Hominidae; genus Homo; species Homo sapiens. The sequence goes on along the minus strand of NC_000003.12, from coordinate 40,427,089 downwards.
TCCAGCGCTGCAGAAGAAATAGTCAAAAGAACAAATTCTCACAATCTTGTCACAGCCAAGAGTGAAGACGGCACAGTTAATAACAGTGAAAGTGTTCCTGTTGTCCAGGAGCACAGGAGTGTTTGTGGCTAGAGAAAGAGGCTAATGAGTGGTTTACTGATCCCAGGACCAGTTCCTAAGAATAGAAAATCAGCCCAAATGGGAAGCTGACTGTCAATTTATTCTGGTAGTTCTATCTATTTTTGCTTTACATGTTTTTAGGGTGTTTTATTAGGTGTATAAATGTTTCACCTTTGCAATCTTCATAGTGAATTGAACATTTTATCATTATGTTGTAACCCTCTGTGTCTAGAATGAGGCTCTTGGTCTTAAAGACTGCTTTGCCAGATACTAAATAGTTATACCAGCTTTCTTTTGGGTAGTGTTTGATAATTTAACAAAATTATCTTTCTATCTTTCCATGTCTTTATGCTTGAACCATGTTTCTCTTATAAATGGCACCTGCTTGATTTCTAAAAATTCAATTTGACATCTCTCTTTTAACTGGTAGGTTTAGTCCATTTATAATTATTGTGATTATTAATATATTTACACTTCTTTCTAATATCTTACTTTTAAATTTTCAATTAGTGCTATTTTTCTATATATATTTTTTCTTCTTTCCTGCCTTAAAAATGATATCTGTGGCCAGTCATGGTGGCTCACGCCTATAATCCCAGCACTTTGGGAGGCCGAGGCGGGATCACCTGAGGTCAGGAGTTCAAGACCAGCCTGGCCAACATGGTGAAACCCTGTCTCTACAAAAATACAAAAATTAGCCAGGCATGATGGTGGGTGCCTGTAATCCCAGCTACTCAGGAGGCTGAGGCAGGAGAATTGTTTGAGCCCAGGAGGCGGAGGCTGCAGTGAGCCAAGATCACACCATTGCACTCCAGCCTAGGCGACAGAGCGAGACTCCGTCTCAAAAAAAAAAAAAAAAAAAGAAAAGAAAAAGAAAAAGATATCTCTGTGTTTCCTTTGACAAGAAGAGAATTTTAGGTTACTCTTATGTCCCTGTATCTTATAACTCCTTACCACACCCTTATCATGTGGATATTTTCTATACTTGAGTCATATGAATGGAGTTTTTTTTAAATACTTTTCTTTAGTGTTCGTTTTCTGTTTTTTTTAATATAATTTTTTTTTTTTTTTTGAGACAGAGTCTTGCTCTTTCGCCCAGGCTAAAGTGAAATGGTGAGATCTCGGCTCACTGCAACCTCCACCTCCCAGTTTCAAGCAATTCTCCTGCCTCAGCCTCCTGAGTGGCTGGGAGTACAGGCACATGCCACCATACCCAGCTAATTTTTTGTATGTTTAGTAGAGACATGGTTTTGCCATGTTGGCCAGGCTGGTCTCGAACTCCTGACCTCAAATGATTCACCTGCCTCGGCCTCCCAAAGTGCTGGAATTACAGGCATGAGCCACAGCACCCGGCTTTTTTAATGTAAATTTTAAGCCACAACATCATTTATTCTTACTTCCAGTGTTTTTGTAACATCTCCTGGATTTATTTCTCTTCTTATTTTATTACTTCCACCAAAAATATTTTCATTGTAAGTCTTCTGTGCAGCAAATCTTCTCAAGTCTTTTTACACCTTCACATTTTTATTTATTTATTTTTATTTTTATTTTTTGAGATGGAGTTTTGCTGTTGTTGCCCAGGCTGGAGTGCAATGGCGTGATCTCGGCTCACGGCAACCTTCACCTCCCAGGTGCAAGTGATTCTCCTGCCTCAGCCTCTGAGTAGCTGGGATTACAGGCATGCACCAACATGCCCAGCTAATTTCGTATTTTTAGTAGAGACAGGGTTTCTCCATGTTGGTCAGGCTGGTCTCAAACTCCTGACCTCAGGTGATCCGCCTGCCTCGGCCTCCCAAAGCGCTGGGATTACAGGTGTGAGCCACCGTGCCCAGCCTACATCTTCACATTTAAATACTAATTTGGCTGGACACAAAATTCTTTATAATTAAAAAAAGGGAACTTTTAACTTAGAATATTATGTCAACTCAAACTGGCATTCAAATGGAAAGTCATTCTCCATTCTTATAATATACTTTACTGGTAATTAGATTTATTAGAAGCAAAGCTTAGAGAGTACATGCTACCAACAGTCCTTATGTCTCCAGACATCCTTATTTTTTTGTAGATGACTCAATTTTATTTATGTAAAAGTAGATAGTCAGAGGCCTAATGCAGGATATTGATTGGTTTAATCTAATTATTGCTGAAGCTGGTATTGAACAGGCTGACTCCAGACATCCTTCAGGCTTCATATCAGCTATTCCTGAAATGAGAAAATTCTCTGGAACCTGGGGAACATAGTGCTGGCTGAACATATTCACAAGGCTTAGCCCTGCCTAAAAACAAGGTATGGAGGTCCTTTCACCTGTCACCAGGTGACAGCTGTGATTCCAGCTTTGGACCATTCTGGTCACTTGACCATCATATATATATATGTATGTATTTATAGATATCTATAAATATACATATTTTTAAATATATTAAACCCTGAGCTAAGAATATCTTCCCCATCCCCCAAATCTTTGTCAGTAAATATAATGACTTCAGGTTCATTCAAAGAGAAAATATTTATTTAATGCTAATGCAAATCCATCAGGCCCTAAGGCCTGTATCTTACTCTGATATCTGAATAAAATGGAGAAGAATTAGTTACTATCCTCTTTAAAAAACTGTTACATTTAAAGCTTCTTTTCAGGATGAAAAGTCTCATATCCTTAACATATTTATTTATGAATTCAACCAACATTTACTAAGTACCTTCTAGGCTCTATTCCTTGTGCAGAGTGCTGGGAATATGAAGATACCAAGACAGGTCTCTGCCCTCCAGGACCGCCTAGTCCATTGGCCCTTGGCTTCCAGTCTTTTCCAGGAGAATGTATACCCATGAGCAACTCTTCTAAATTCTCCATGACCTCTTCTGGGAAACTCACAAGGGATCAGTCTGATCAGCTTCCACCCAGTGAGTTTAACTCATTAATACCCTTTTACCTTCTACATTTGTTCCACACACACATACAAACCTCTCTGTTGGGAAGAAGAAGAGAAAATGATTTGTGCTTAACTTACTTCTTTTTCAAAGTGTATTTGGGGCCAAGTCTCCTCTGTGAATTTGTAACCGTTCACAAACAAGTGGTAGATGTAGTTGGCTGAGAAGCAGTAAGAGCGGGCATATACCTCATCAAATTTGGGGAGCAGCAGTGGGAGCTGAAAGGTTTAAAACATCTGAGAGGCAGGGCAGGCAGGTATGTTTTAAAATGAACACCTTGGGTTAAAAGTCATGTTTTAAAGAATCTTATCACCCATAATTTCATAATAGAAAATACTTTATAATACAATCATATAATCACACAATATAATTATGAAAATATCCCTATATAATATCACAATATACTAATCTTTAAACTCATTGAGTGCTTATTATATGCCAAATATTGTTCTAACCATTGTGCATGTAGTTATAACATTAATTCACACCACAGGTGTGGGAGTAGATTCCCTTATTCCTTTTATTTTACAGATGTGATGGAAATAGAAGAGCATAAAGGCTAAATTCAGAATACACACACATAGAATAGATTCTACCATATTTTTTTGTACTGACATTGATCCCTTCTCTTTAAATACTGACCTGACTCCAATTCTGTGAGCAGAAATTCCAGGTGCTGGAGTTGAAGGTGTCCAGGGAAAAGCTACCTGAAAGATTTAAAGCACTGGCTGTGTAGTAGAATCCTGCAAAAGCCTGGAAATAAGTAATACAGAAGAAAATTAGTTCTCAGAATGGGGTATAATAGAAAGGTTTATGGGTGAGGAATAAGAAGGTGGCTAACAAGTCAGCAGAGGAGAAACAGAAAAGTGAGAAATGAATATTCAATGGGGAAAGGAATCTTTCAGAAGGTTTTGCTCTTACCACAAATGGCCCTTTAATCTTTGGCTGATAAACCCCATCAAAAGAACAGGTTTCTTGATCATGGCAAGCTTTGAAGTCAAATATGGAAGCCACCTTCTCCTTACACAGAGATGGGTCCCCAGTTCCTTCAAAAGTGATGACATCATTGGGGTTATAACTTTCTGGCCTCTGGTCCACAGTGCACAGGCTATCAAATACATGGCCCATGGTGAAGCTGATGCTATAATCCCGAGGGTAACAGGGATTGGTGAGATGGTTTTTGGTAGGAGAATTCTGTAGGTATAAGAGTAAGGTGTTAGACACGTATGTTTATTGCGGCACTATTCACAATAGCAAAGACTTGGAATCAACCCAAATGTCCAATAGTGATAGACTGGATTAAGAAAATATGGCACATATACACCATGGAATACTATGAAGCCATAAAACATGATGAGTTCATGTCCTTTGTAGGGACATGGATGAAATTGAAAATCATCATTCTCAGTAAACTATCGCAAGGACAAAAAACCAAACACCACATGTTCTCACTCATAGATGGGAATTGAACAATGAGAACACATGGACACAGGAAGGGGAACATCACACTCTGGGGACTGTTGTGGGGTGGGGGGAGGGGGGAAGGATAGCATTAGGAGATATACCTAATGCTAAATGACGAGTTAATGGGTGCAGCACACCAGCATGGTACATGTATACATATGTAACTAACCTGCACATTGTGCACATGTACCCTAAAACTTAAAGTATAATAATAATAATAATAATAAAATCTCTAAGTAAAAAAAAAAAAAAAAGAGTAAGGTATTAGAAACCACTTTTTTTGTGGAGAGCCAAGTATTTCCCTTTTGCAAATTCTATCACTACCCTCCAATGCCAAGAGAGAAACAAAAAATACCATTCTGTGTCAGCATGTCTTTGATCACAGGTTGTCTAGATAATTCAAGTAGGGGTGGGAAAAGGGTGTGTGTGTGTGTGTGTGTGTGTGACAATTACCTCGTACCAGGCATAGCGCTAGGCTCTCTCTCACATTATCTGATCCAGCTCTTATGATAGCCCTATGAACCAGGTTTTATGAACTTCACTTGGTGAGAAAATGGATATATATAATGTATCATTTTAAGTAGAATATCACCCATCCATCTAGCAAAATAATCCAAAAGGTACAAATAAACATATGAAAGTGAAGTCTCCTTCTCATCCACTTGCAGCCATCAGGCCTTTTTCTGGAAACAATCACTATTGCCAGTTTTTGTGTATCCTTCCAAAGATCTGGCATGCACATGCAAATATATATATTTTCTCCCATGCTTTTCTTTTTTTAAAGCCATAAATGGTAGCACTTTATATACCCCATTCTACCCGTTGCTTTTCTCACTTAAAATTATATATCTTTGAGATCTTTCCATTCATTGTACTTATACAGTGGCCTATTTTTTTAGTAGCTGCATAGTATTCCACTGTACAAATAAACCATACTTTATTTAAGGAATATCATCTAGATGAACATTGAGGTGGTTCCCAATCATTTTGCCATTACAAACAAATATCCTTGTCACATATAAATCTTTTATCCATTGAAATTTATTTGATTTAAAGACTCAGAGACTTGGCTTTACTTTTTCCATATGACTATTCAATCTTTAATCTACTGGTGCAAAATACTCTATTTTATGCTAAAGTCCTGAATGTTGTTGATTCAATTTATGAACTCTCTTTTCTAAGGAATTGGATTTGAACTATGTTCAACTTAAGCCACTAAGGCATACTGCTTCCCCTACAGTAAAATCTTTTCTTTTGGCTGGGTGTGATGGCTCACATCTGTAATCCCAGCACTTTAGGAGGCTGAGGCAGGCAGATCATTTGAGGTCAGGAGTTTGAGACCAGCCTGGGCAACATGGTGAAACCCCGTCTTTCCTAAAAATACAAAAATTAGCCAGGCGTGGTGGCACGCACCTGTAGTCCCAGCTACTCAGGAGGCTGAGGCAGGAGAACCACTTGAACCCGGGAGGCGGAGGTTGCAGCAAACCGAGATTGCACCATTACACTCCAGCCTGGGTGACAAAGCAAGACTCCGTCTCAAAAAAAAAAAAAAAATTTAAATTAATTAATTATTATTATTTTTTGTTTTGTAGAGGTGGGGTCTCCCTGTGTTACCCAGGTTGGTCTCAAACTCCTGGGCACAAGAGATTCTCCTGCCTTAGCCTCCCAAAGTGCTAGGATTACAGGTGTGAGCCACTGCACCTGGCCACCCTACAGTAAAATCTTGACTCAGACATTTAGCCCAACCCTTTCATTTTACTGATGAGGAAACTGAGGTACATATTCAAGTAATGCAATTATTTAACAAAGGTCAGTGACAAGATTCTGCAAAAATCCTATAAAAGCTTAATATTCATCAAATATAACCCAAATGAGTGTTTTCCAGAAAAATCTTCATATGACTGAGAAGGAGGCAAACAGGCCCCTTTCTGCCTCTATGGTATGAAAAAAATCTATGATTTTCAAAAATTGTTACATATAATCTATAGCATATCATACTTGGGTCACCCTATGGCTGAAATATTGGTTGAAAGAAAAAATATGCGGGGCGTGGTGGCTCACACGTGTAATTCCAGCACTTTGGGAGGCCAAGGCGGGCGGATCACGAGGTCAGGAGATCGAGGCCATCCTGGCTAACACAGTGAAACCCCATCTCTACTAAAAAAAAATAGAAAAAATTAGCTGGGCATGGTGGCGGGCACCTGTAGTCCCAGCTACTCGGGAGGCTGAGGTAGGAGAATGGCGTGAACCCGAGAGGCAGAGCTTGCAGTGAGCCAAGATCACACCACTGCACTCCAGCCTGGGTGACAGAGCAAGACTCCATCTCCAAAAAAAAAAAGAAAAAAAGAAAAAAGAAAAAAAAATCAAACTAATCAATTGGCTATTTAGTATCTACTTCCAAATCTGATTTGTACTTTTTTTCTTTTCTAGTATAGTCTGAAGGGAGATTTATACTTTTAAAATGATTAAAACTATAAATTATTTCTGGCTTGGCCCAGAGAAGAAACAAGATAACATAAATTATTTCTGACTTAGTACATAGGAAAAGCTTAGTAAGTATTAGTTCTTTTCTTTTTTTGTGTGTTTGAATTTTTGTTATGGCATTCTTTAAGTATAATTTGCCAATGTGCCAAGTTCAGGCATTCAACATTCAACAGTCTTCACCGAGCTTAGTGTTTGCAGGGCACTGTCATGAAAAAGTCAGTCAATGGGCTCGAGGGAGAAAAGTCCACTAGAAAACTACAGCATAATCTGATCTTAGAGTAAAACTGGTTAAAACTGGAAAAAACAATGATAGAAACTATTCTTGATAGTGATAGAAAGCTTAAAAAATATACACAAAGAAAATACATTTAACAACAGAGGTACAGAACCAATGATGAAAACTATACATTTTATTGAAGGATACAAGCCAAGAATTAAATAAATGGAAATACATTGTATAATTCTGGATAGAAATTGTTGATGTCACTAATAAGCACATTTTAACCAAATTAATATATGAATCAATGTGATTGCAATCACAATCTCAACAAAAAACTTCCTTTTTTGTTACTGCTTCAAATGACTTTGAAGTTCAAAATAAACCTCTGAGAGTAGAAAAATAGACTTTTGCAAGTAGAACAACATGATATTGGCCCCAAAATAGAAAAATGAATGTATAGAACAGAAAATCCAGAAACAGATCCTCATTATCTAAGTACTTATTATTAGAATGTTTTGGAATTCCTGAAGCTTATTTCAAAAAGTCATCACAACATGGGTGGTAATCTGAATGGTTCTAATTTTGTTGGAAGATTACCTATTTGTTCATTTAAATAAAAAAATACACCTGTCCTTTGAACCTGTCCTACAGAAATAAAATCGCTAAGATTATATGAGTAAGAAGGCTTATTATATTATTGTTGTAGCAACAAAACAGGACATAGCCTGATGTCCATGAGGGAGGGTATGATTGATAAATTATGGGATAGTAAATAGTAAAGAAAATAAGTTAATATACTGACCTGGAAAGTGTAGAAGAACAACATATTAAGCTTTGACCAGTGATGGCATTCAGTAAATGGGATTGGAAGGAGGATCTTTCATTTTGACTTTAACACTCTTTCTATGGTTTTAAATTTTTACAATAAGAATGTACTTTCTTTCATAATCGAATGGTCAATTTTTTTTCTTTTTAAGTTATGGCACTTGGAATATTATGCTCTCATAAAAAATCGTATTTTAAAAGGACATTAACAACACAGGAAAATGATCATAATATATGGTTAGGTAAAATAAAAGGTAAATATAAAATTATATATACCATATGAAGCCAAGTTTTTACACATTCATACATTTAAAAAATGGAAGAAAATGCAATAGTATGTTAATAGTGGTTAATTCTGTTTTTAAATAAATCCTTTATAGTTTTTGGTGTGCATCTCCTAAATGTTTTTCACTGAACATATATTACATTAAAAACAGAAGAAAAATTTCTTACTTAAAAAGGGAAAGATAGAAAGTGAATGCACATTCCTAATATCTAACATGTTGTCAGAGTGAGACTTCAGCTCTAAGGTGACTGGAGACTTATTGATAAGAAAGTAACTTGCAAAGTACATATCCAGCTATCATTCTCACCACACTACGTAGTTCCTTATATTACAGATGAGGAAACAAGATCCAGACTGATGGAATTTACTCAGTCAGTGTTTACAATGCAATAATTTGTGTGAACCTTCCAAGTCAGGGCTTGGCAATACATATTTGACCTATGAAACTGTTGGTCAGGTGAGTCTTGACATGAATTTGTCAGTAATCCTCATCTCATCTGGGTCTCTCCTCTTGCATGAGTCAGAAGCCTCTGAGGGCAGAGCCACCCTATCAGGCATCTAGAGGTTACCATGCAAATTGAAGACATGTGTCCCTGTCCCTGTGAGCTGACTGTGAGAGGCTGGGTGCTCACTTCTCCATGGCCAGTGCTGGGCTCACATTTGGAGACTGGCATTCTCAAGCCTAAATCAGACCTCAGAAAGGTGAAGTATTTACTTCTTCTCTGTGGACTGCTGGATACATAGATAATCATTCTTTAGTAAACATTGTATGAGTACAAAAACACACAGAGGCACGCAGACAGACAGAAACACACACATTCCATAGGGCCAGCCAAATTTAAAAGATTAGCCTCTCTGATCCTCACTCACCCTGGAAAAAGGAGGATTTCACCTGAGCCTCCACATTCTACCCCTGCTAGGGTCAGAGCTGGAGCAAAGGACATTAGGCATTGCTAGAGGTAAAAGGAGCTGGAGAAAAGAGGATTTTCCAGAGCTTCTCTCCCAGAAAGAAAGAAGCATGTTGGTTGAACTACTTTGATGAGCAAGTGGGGATGAGTGGTGAGTATTGAGATCCCCTGATAGGGAGGGTTGATTGAGTTACCTGTAGGGTTTGGTTTGGCTGACTGGGCAGGGAGGTGGAAGTTGGGATGGGAGCCATGGAAGGTGACATGGTTTGGCTTTGTCTCATGTAAAATTGTAATCCCAGTGTTGGAGGAGGGGCCTGGTGGGAGGTGATTGGGGCATGGGGGTGGATTTCCCCCTTGCTGTTCTCATGATAGTGAGTGAGTTGTCAGGAGATCTGGTTGTTTAAAATTGTATGGCACCTTCCGCTTCACTCTCTCTCTTCCTCCTATTCCCCCATGTAAGAAGGGCTTGCTTCCGCTTCGCCTTCTACTATGATTTTAAGTTTCCTGAAGCCTCCCTAGAAGCAGAAACCTGTACAGCTCACAGAACCATGAACCAATTAAACAAACCTCTTTTCTTTATAAATTACCCAGTTTCAGGTATTTCTTTATAGTAGTGTGAGCATGGATTACTACAGAAGGGTAGTTGAGGGCTGTCTGCAGGGTTCTCACATCTGTCCTTTCCAGGCAGTGCTCAGACTCTCCTGACAATAAATGTCCCATGCATGTGTCCTGGGGCCTCAGCCATTTCTGGGAGGATTGGGGAGATGTTTGGGGGAGGGGCCAGAACTGGAAGCTGAGTTCCCACAACCTACCCTGCATGAACACTGGGTAAATGCAGGGGTCTGAAGTTGTGAGTCCTGCTGAAGATGCACTTTTGTGATCCCTTCAACTCCTCTGCAGGATAGAGTCTGTTCCTGTCTTCAGTTATCAGAGTAGGTTGGACGAACGTGGGTTAACCTACTGAAGTTGTGTCCATTTTGTTCATAGGCTGATTCCCCTGCCTTTGAGTCCCATAAGAAGCCAGGATCTGTGGCTTCTGATTTCCTCATACCCCTCTAGGCAGTCAAGGCCCATCCTCTCAGCCACCCAGCCATGGCTAAGATTGATGTCCCCTGAGCACTGGTGTTTGGGTCTGGGGTCTCACCTGTGGAGTTAGTGCCCTCATGAACACACACTGCATAATGTTGAGTTTAATATTAGCAATAGCTTTCTAGCTGATGCCTGAATTAGCCTTCTGGGCCCTGGAACACTTATCAAATGAATTACTGATCAACATGATGGAATGTGGTTGCTCTAAAGTTCTGCCATATAAGGGTATCAAGTCTGCCTAATATAGACCCATCTAAAAGGAGGCTGAGCCTGGGAAGGGCTCTGCCCTCTCCCCCTTCAGCACACATTTCTCTTGTGACCACTAATATTATTTTGTCTACACCCAGGGGAGTCTCAAAATTCTCAGGCTTATTTAGCTCCTGGTTTAAAACAGTTTGTGTCCATAAAGGGATTCCAGGTCTTGAGTCATTTACAAAACAACTGAAGCTCTGGAACTTCCCTAGACTTCTTACTCAAATTTACTGGAAGTGGGCAACATGAGAGGGAGACGGAGGGGAAGAAAGAGACAGAGAGGAAAGGGACTTGGACCCCCAGGAGTAAATTGGAAAATGCTGTTATTTCCATCTACCTTTCAATTGAAGTGGAGAGGACAGACCCCAGAAGGCAGGGCATTCTCCCCTCAGCTCAAACCCTCAAGAGAACACCTGCCACCCCCTACCCCCGACTCAAGTACCTGCAGGAGCATTGCCAGAAACTTCTTCTCAGCCTCATTCCGGCCATAGCACTGGAAGCTGTGTGTGTAGAGCGTGTATACGTAGCCATACAGGGACACCTGCATGATGTCGCTGGTGTTCAGATCCATCTTCTCTCCTGCCACGAAGGATATTTGGGTGGAGGCACCACCTAAGTCCAGGGCACCCGTGGTTTCCACTCCATGCGGGTGCACCCACATGTGCCACAGGTTCTTCTGCACAGTGGGAAAAGGAAGTGAGAAAGAAAGCCAAAGGCACCATCTCTGTTTGCCCAGAGTTCTCCACCCAAGCCTCGTCTCCTATTACTAAGAAGTAGGACAGAGGGAGCATGTGAGGCCAATTCTTTCCTTTTCTTTTAGAGGTGGTGAATTAAAATGCTTACAGGAACTGGGCAGGTAACATAGGTAAGTAATAAATGAGTGAAGTAGATTAGGTGTATAATAGGGACTGGTGGGTCTGTGGCAAACTGGAGAGTCCATGATTTACACTCTGTTCCTGTTACCGTGCAGGAATGTGAGTCTACTGTGACCAGTTCCTCCGATTTTTGGGAGGAGTGAGGAGGTCAGAAGAAGCTAGAAGTATGGATTTTTATGTGAAATTTCCCAAATGTTAATTGTTGGTAATTATTTAAAAATTTAAAATACATTTGAAGGTGAACAAAATAGGTCTTGGGCTGGATATGCTCTGAGTAACTCCTGTTTTGTGCCCCCTGTAACATGGCAGTTGTCTCTTGGAGTCAACTTTCCTCTGCACCAAGGGAGCAGGGAGTGCAGGGATTGGACTGTGAGGAGACCTGGGAACACAGAGTGAAGACCTCCTCCTGTCTCTGGGGACTTAGGGATACAGACTTCCTGAGGGCTTTGTACATTTCAGATGGTCATGGAGCCTCTCTGAAGGGTTATTCTTCAACTGCCCTCCCAAAGACCCATAGCCTAGTGTTAAATTTAGATCCCACCCCCTTCAATTTCTTACAAGCTAGTAAAGTGACAAGATTCCCTCCCTCCCTAGCATTTAGTCCTGTTTATGACCATGTTTTCTCCCCAGCTATATATGTCTTTCTTAGCTATTGTCTCATAGGTATTTCCCTAATGCGTTACATGGTAGGAGTGATACAGGGCAGATATCCCTGATGGCATGTACCTCTACTTAGGCTATCACTCACAGGGGATAGGATAAACAGTAAGATTAAAAACCATGCATTTGTTTGCACACACCTCCAGGAAATTTCCCATTAAATAGTTGGCTGTAATCCATCCATATACCCCTTCTTCTTGCCCAGAAATGATTTGAGCACCCCTAAAGTCAAAGGGCTGGGACTTGAAGTAGCTTTGGATGCTTTCAAGGACTTCATTAGCTGCTGTTTCATTTTGCAACCTGTACAAGGCACAGAACAAACAAGTCTGAGTGCCCAGACAATACAGTCTTAAAATACATAGTCTCACTCAGGTGAAAATGCAAACTTCACCGTCTCCCTGCTGGTGGGGATGAATGATTTTCCAGATGTGTGCTGTACACCACAATCCCTTTTGCAAGTTGAAGCCTTCTGGGGCAACTGTGAAGGCAGGATGCACTTGTTACCTGTCAAACTGCCAAGCAGGAAAATTGCTTTCAGCATAAGTACAATTTGTTCTCCCCACCCATCTCATCTGTTCATGTATCAAAAGAGCCTCCTATTTAACTGCCATTGCTCTGTCTTAGATCAGCAGAGGAAAGGGGATTGATGAAGTCATAAGAGTGGCATAAATAATCTCTTGGAGGCACCATATGAAGGAACCCTCATCTGACCAGACGGAAAGGGAGCTTAGTAGGAAGGGGGAAAGGAAGAACATTGAGTTTTTAGCTGTTTTTGCTTCACTCTTTGGGAGGGCTTCAGCATGAAGGGATATGACAGTCATCATGGCTGTCACTGGATTGAAAAACCATTGGTGTGCTGACTCTTAGAGGAGTGGCAACACAGCATTCTATCCCTGGTGACAGAATGTTATGGCGTCCATCTGCTGCCATTTTACCCTATGAAAGAAAGCTCACTTGGGAGATTATTTCATCTTTCATCCATGGGTAGAAAGCCAGGGGCACTGGCTGACTCTTGGCTCAGGAAGAAGAAAGAGCAAGGCTATAAGCAGGATCCATTCCAATTCCGTGGCCAATTATCACTTCTTGGAAAATAATTCAGAGTTTTCCCAGTTTCATCAATTCTCATCCCAGCTAATTCTCATTAATTGTTTTCTTTTCTATTTTACTTGTCTAGTAATTAAAATATCAGCTAGTTTCTCAGAAGAAATAGATCATCATTAGAAAACAGTTTTACAAGAAAGAGTTAGTACTTAATTTATTCAAAGGAGACATTCATTTTTTCCTAAGAGGTGAGCTTTCTGTTCCATGGTTTTTGTCATGAGCTGTAAATTGCAGAGCCTTTTAATTATTTCTCACTGAAAGACTGGGGGAGGGAGGGGAAGCAACCAAGAAAAAGTCAGTTTCTTAAGAGCTGTTTTGTTTGTTTGTTTGTTTTGTTTTTGTTTTTAGAGTACTAGAAGTCTACTTAAGTCATAAGTTCAGAGCCAGTTCAACCAAGAAGTTTACATATGTACAAACACTACTGGTAAAGCAAAGATATTTTAGAGTAACTTTTACAGACATTTAATGGAATTGAACCAGTATTTCTCCCTGATTGTAGTCACTTATCACATTCATATTGTTGGTATTGCTCAGGTCCTGTTCTGAAACTTATTACCTGAAGTCAAGTCCCAGGGAGAGTAAACAGCATCCTAATGTATTCTGAAATAGGAAATTCAGTCTGAAAATGGGAATTGAATAGACTGAAAGCAGAAGGATTTCACAAACTAAGCTCTAAGCATTCAGTCTCCAAATTGAAAACTTCATGAGCACATCCTGCAGCTGGCTTTTCTATAAGTAGCTCCACACATGTCGTGTTAAGGAAGCATCCACTATAGCAGATGAGGATTTTAGGTCCATGGAATTAATAGCCTGTAAAGGGGCTGCCTTTCTGTGTTCTCTGAGATTACATGGTTTCAGTTCCATCCTTTTTGGAAGAACTGTTTTTATAAGAAAGAAAAAGCAAAAGGAAGGAGTTTTTAGATCATTTCTATTACACGTAAATGAAATAATTTGGAAATACACTGCAGATTCCAAGAGTGAGCAGAGAAATCTGACTTCCTTCCACATTCAATGTGGTCAACCAGGAAATCAGATTAGAAACAAGAATTATGAGACTATAAGGAAAAGGCCCAGTCTAATGGAGAGCACATCATGATTTCTTTTCATTATCATGTTAAAGGAGCTCTGTTTGTTCTTTTTTTATTAATGCTCAGACATAGATAATTTTGCGTGCTTGGAATCGTAGATAAAGTGGCTCTGAAGCAGAATGAGTGTTGTTTTCTTGTGATAAAACCTTATTCCAACACTTGGAGTAGTAGCCTTTACTCTGAGTAGATTTAAGTTTGGTGTTTCTTTTTGGAATTTTTTTTTGAAATTTCAAGGTCAAGGAAATGCTATAATGGAGAAAAAAGAGAAAAGACATTCAAAAACAATGCAACTGGGCTAAAAGCCATGACTACAAATTTAGAAGGAACTAATTTGAGTGAGTGAAATTAGATGCTTGTTTCATAACAACTCCAAAAGCTTTGACTGATTTGAGGTGCAGACATGCCATTGTTTTAAAGCAGATTTCAGTGGTATTTTGTACACAAGCGGAAGCTACATAGCTATGGGTTGTACTTACTACCAAACTTAGCTGGTTGTTCACAGGTGTCAAATGCCAACTGTCAAAACAACTACTTTTCAAAGAACTAGAGTTATATCCCATGAGCAGATTTCATATGACCTCTCTCTTTTTCAAAGTTCTCAGTAAAATCACCAAGGGAGAGGGAAACAATTTTAGAACTGTTTCTTTCTGGGTATTAAAATAAAAACTAAAAGTTTCCCAACCTTTAAAGCCCAAATTTATGGCAGAATGTGGGCTTCTTTTTGGGGGGCGAGGGTTGTTCCCAGAAATAGAGTTACATTCTTGGCAAGATTCAACATATTCTTGGTTATTTTGGTCAAATGGGCTCCTTTGTGCCACTTAGCCTTTACCTCAGCAAGCGCATCCCAGCCGTGGCTCCCAGGTGAATGGGGGTGGATCCGTGGAGGTGGGATGGAACCTGCCCCTTGACTTTTTGCATACACTCCTCAAAGGCTCTGGGGACATCTTGGGGGTTATTTCCATAGCTGGAGATTCCAGAGCCTGAAAAGCAAGCAGTCAGCATCTGTCAGCATTTCCAGGAACCAATCGCAGTGATACAACTTTTAAATAAAAAACAAATTGGCTTTGAAAATTATTGGGGTTTGGTAGGGGGTCGAAAACAGCTGGATGTGGTAAGTCCCGTATGGTCACACTGATCAGTATACTTGCAACCTCTAAAAGAATGAATTACAATTGTATAAAAAGTAAGCCAGGGCCTACTTTAAAAAAATGTTTTCATTATAAAAATTTCAAATATAAATAAAAGTAGAGAGAATAGTATATTGAAACTCATGCATCTATCTCCCAGCTTCAACAATGATCGACTCTTATTTCATCCATACAATCTTCCACTTGCTTCCCACAAAGCAAAATGCAGATGTGTCATTTAATTCCCATATTTCAGTATGTGTCACAAAAAGTAAACATTCTTTGAAAAAGCCCTAACTACAGTTGAATTATTATACCTGTACAAATTAAAAATAATTTCTTTTTCTTTTCTTTTTTTCTTTTTTTTTTTTTCTGAGACAGAGTCTTGTTCTGTCGCCCAGCCTGGAGTACAGTGGCACGATCTCGGCTCACTACAACCTCCACCTCCCAGGTTCAAGTGATTCTCCTGCCTCAGTTTCATGAGTAGCTGGAATTACAGGCGTGCACCACCACGCCTGGCTAATTTTTGGTTTTTTTATAGAGACACGGTTTCACCATGTTGTCCAGGCTGGTCTCGAACTCCTGACCTCAGGTGATCCACCTGCCTCGACCTCCCACAGTGCTGGGATTACAGGCATGAGCCACCATGCCTTGCCAAAAAAATAATTTCTTAATATCATTAACTATCCAGTCATGGTTCCCATTGCCTCCATATTCGTTCTCATTCTCATCCTCTGTGTCTCTTTCTCTTCCTACTCCTCCTCTTCATCCCTCCTTCTTCCTTCATCCATCACCCTCTTCTCATTTGTATGAGTCAGGATCCCAATAAATTCGGTACAGTGCAATCTTAAGTCTCTTTCTGTCTATTAGTTCTGCCTTCCCTTTCTATTTTTCTCCTAATTATTAAAAATTTTACTTGCAATTTCTTCGTCCTGAAGAATTTCCACAGTCTAGAGTTTGTCGATTGTACCCTCATAGTTCAATTAACATCTTACTTGGTCCCTTGTATTTCTATAAATGGTTAACTGAATGTAGAGGCTTGATCAGATCAGGTTTGAAATTTAAAAAAAATATATAGGGATTAGTGTGGACTTACAATAGGAGGCACAGTATCTGGTTGTTTCTCTTTTTGTGCTGTTATCATCAATGATAATGGTTTAGCTCCATTATTTCATTAGGGGTTGCAAATAGTGATATCTTTTTCTCTTTTTTTTTTTTTTTCTGAGATGGAGTCTCACTGTGTCACCCAGACTGCAGTGCAGTTGGTGTGATCTCGGCTCACTACAACCTCTGTCTGCCAGATTCAAGCGATTCTTGTGCCTCAGCCTCCGAAGTAGCTGGGATTACAGGCACGTGCCACCGTGCCTGGCTAATTTTTGTATTTTTTGTAGAGACAGAGTTTTGCCATGTTGGCCAGGCTGGTCTCGAACTCCTGGCCTCAAGTGATCCACCCGCTTCAGCCTCCCAAAGTGCTGGGATTACAGGTGTGAGACACCATGACTGGCCTGTTGCATTTTACTTTTGAGTTTTAGGAATTACTTTTTAAAAAACGATTTTGTTTTATAGTTACTAAAATAATTAAGTAGTTCTAAAATTAGATCTACAAAACTAGGTATATTCAGAGACATCTAGATTCTCTCCTTGTCTCCTCTTCCTGTAAGTAGTTTCTTTTTTAAAAAAAGTTTAACCAATGTTTGTTTAAAATAAGCAAATATATATTTTTAATCACCCCAACTTTTAGATAAATGGTAATTTACTATATATACTTTTCTCCACTTTTTTTTTCTTTGCATTCAACAATACTTCCTAGTGGCCACTCCATAGCAGTATATAAATATTCTTCATTTCTTTTTACAGTTGCATTGCATGCCATTGCATGAACATAACTTAATTTGTTCTCCCAGTCCAGGCTCTGAGTTTAAATAAGTCTACTTTAAGGAAGACAAAGTATAGGACAGACAAGGAAGATGGAGAGAATATGGTCCCTCTGGAAACTTCCTTCTTTGGAATTGATAGAGCCACTGCCTCCTTCAGCTGCCCTTTCTTAACCTTTCCCACCCATCTTCCAACTACCACAAACCAATAAAAAAACCTGAGCATTGTAATTACAAGTTTTGCTTGGATGTGTCCATTAAGATGCACAGACGTGGATTTCATCGACAGTGCTAGAGAAGCAAGGACAGGCTTTCTCAACCTTGGCCAAGGACAGAGCCTCTAATGTAATTTTCCCTCCTGGGGCAATGACCTCCTACAACAGACAAATGACAGCACCATAAGCCGTGGGCTTGATGAACTCAGTGGCTTGATCTCAGGAGTTCAGAACTGAAGTAGCTGTAAGAAACACTAATAACAATAACAACAATTAAATAAATATATATGTTTATATACGTATGTATATATAATTTTTTTTTTAGACGGAGTTTTTGCTCTTGTTGTCCAGGCTGGAGTGCAATGGCATGATCTCGGCTCACTACAGCCTCCGCCTCCCAGGTTCAAGTGATTCTCCTGCCTCAGCCTCCCGAGTAGCTGGGACTACAGGTATGCACCAACAGACCCGGCTAATTTTGTATTTTTAGTAGAGATGGGGTTTCACCATGTTGGCCAGGCTGGTCTCAAACTCCTGACTTCAGCTGATCCACTTGGCCTCCCAAAGTGCTGGGATTACAGGAGTGAGCCACTGCACCCAGCCTGTATGAATAATTTTTAATATAAAAATATATTAATCCTAAAAAAAGAAAAATGTTCCCCTCTGGTGGGAAGGATTATGGATGATCTTACTTCCTTTTCTACTTTTAAATAAAGATGGGGTCTTGCTATGTTGCCCAGGCTGGTCTCAAACTCCTAGGCTCAAGTGATCCTTCTGCCTTAGCCTCCTGAGTAGCTGGGAATATAGGTGCACACCATTGTGCCTGGTTCCATTTTATTTACCTGTGTTTTCTGATTTTCACACAATGAAAATATATTATTTTGTAATTAGAAAGTTATTTTTAAAAAGACACACAATTCTCTCAGTAAATAAAATGTGAGATTAAGCTCTCAGGCATATTCCTATGAGATAGGTTAGTTAACAGGTTTTTCTCTCCAAAATGCCAATAAAGCCAACAAAAACAACAAAACTATGCTGAACATCACAGGTCAGTGCTCACATTAGTCTTAATTCTTTACTGTGAAACTAGTGAAATGAATCCCCATATACTGATCATTCAGCTTCAACAGTTAATCAATACACAGCCCATCTTATTTTCATTTATATGCTTTCTTTTTTCCATCTCTAGGAATTATTGTAAAGAAAATCCCAGGCATTATGTTAATTCATCTACAAACACTTTAGTATATGTTTTTAAGAGGGAAGAACTCTGAAAAATATAACCATGATACCTAAGAAAAAAATCACTCCTAAAAAAGTTCTTAATATTATTAAAGACCTGTCAGTGTTCAAATTTCCCAGAATAACTTTTTCTTTATAGTGTGATGCAGAAACCAAAGTCCATACCTTGTATGTGCATTTGGATGTTTTTTAAGATTCTCATTCTGTAACAGTTTTCCTGCCCCCCTTTTATCTTGCCATTTATTTATTAAAGAAATCATTTTAATGGAGTAGGTCTCTTATTTTGGATTTCGCTGATTGGATCCGTGAGGTGTCCTTGAACATGTTCCTTTGTCTTCTGTGTTTTTTATAAACTGGGAGTTAATTTCTAGAAATGTGATCAGATTCAGATTTGATTTTTTGGCAAGAGCACTTCCTAGGTGTGCTAGGTTTTTCCTAGTGTACATCACCGCACTGGGGGCATATCATGTCTGTCTGACTTCTTAGATTATAAGCTCCCCATCACTTTTCACCTAATTGCGCACTTCCTCTTTCTTCAACTACCTTGGATTTGGGTTCTGACCTTCTTCTCCCCTCACTGGCTGTCATTCCTCCTAAGTTCTTTTGCTGGATCCTCTTCCTCTCCCCAACCTCTCAGTACTGGAGTGTGTAAGGCTAAGTCCTCAGATCTCTTTTCTTCAGTATCTATTCACTCCTTAGATGAGCTGGGGCTGGATATCGTCTGTATTCTGATGACACTCAGCTTTATTTCTTCATCCTCCCCCTCCCCCGAACTCCCGACTTGCCTATCTGACAACTCCACATCACTGTATAGATCAGGAATGAGCAAGCTATTTGACCCCATACCTGTTTTTGTATGGATTGCAAGTGAAGAATAATTTTTATATTTTCAAGTAGTTGGAAAAAAATAAAATGAAGAACAGCATTTCATGACATATGAAAATTATAAGAAATTAAAATGTCAGTGTCCACAAGTAAAGTTTTTTTTTTTTGAAATGCAAACATGCTAATTCATCTACCTGTTGTCTATGGCTGTTTTCATGCTAAAGGGGCAGAGTTGAGCAGTTACGACAGAGACCATATGACCCACAAGTCTAAAATATTTATCGTGTAGCTCTTTACAGAAAAAGTTTGCCTCCCCTGACTCAGATGATTTATAGCCATCTCCAACTTAATATGCCCAAAACCAAACTCTTTAAGCTTTGCCCTGCCCCCAATATGCTCCACTCCCAGTGTTCCCCAATCTCAGTAAATGGTGTTGTGATGCACACAGTTGCTCATATCCAAACTCTTGCTCATGCATTATGAACTCAGATGCCTCACATCAAGTCCATCATAAAATCATGTTGGTCCTACCTTCAAAATACCTCGCAAATCTAAGCACTTCTCACCCCCTTCCCCAGAACCATCGTAAACCAAGGTTTCTTAACCTTGGTGCTACTGACATTTTGGGGTAGATAATTCTTTGTTGTGGAGGCTGTTCTGTGCATTGTACAATGCTTAGAACATTGTAGAATGGCAAGGGAAAAGGCCAAGTGTGGAAGCTGCTCAGCATTTTCTAGGAAAAGCCAAGGGGCCAGTGTGGCTGGAAGAAAGATGAGAAATGTCTTCTATACACTAGATGCTAGTAGCACCACGGACCCAGTCATGACAATCGAAAAGATCTCCAGACATTGCAAAATGTTTCCCGGGAGACAAATTCACCTTGTGTTGAGAAGCACTAGTCAAGGGCAAATTGACCATCACCTAATCTCTCACCCGTACTGATTTAACAGCACTTAACTGGTGTCCTTGCTTCCAATCTTAGCCCCTGACTACGTGTTCTATATCAACTGAGTGATCCGTTAAAAACAGAAGTCATATCGTATTAGTTCCCTAGTTAGAATCTTCTAATGGCTTCCCAATATACTTTGAAGAAACTTCATTTGTGTCACAGTCAAACCCTTAGGACACCTCAAGTCCCTCCAAGGAGCAGGCCTTGGCTCTAGCTTCAGTCTCATTTCTCATCTTTCTTCCAGCCACACTGGCCCCTTGGCTTTTCCTGGAAAATGCTGAGCAGCTTCCATGCTTGGCCTTTTCCCTTGCCATGCCTCTGCTCAGCATGTTCTTCCCCCACACATTTACATGGCCCATTGTCTCATATCACTTTTGTCTCTGCCTAGCTGTCATATTCTTCATACTTCCCTGACAATCCTGTTCAAAACAGCATGATCACTCTCTTTTTCCTGCCCTGCCTGATTTCTCTTCACATCATGTCTGCCTGACACTCGTTATATGCCCGTTTATTTTTTTGTCTATCTTCCTCATTGGAATGCAAGTCTCATAACACATAACCACAGATTTTGTATATATTGTTTATTTCTGAATTCCTGGTGCCAAGAACAGTTCGTATCAAACAGCAGGCACCTAATACATATTTATTAAATCAATCAATCAATGAGACTTTCAAACCACTATACATCTCTGTAGTAAGGAGATTGGCTAGTCCAATCTGGGATAAACAAAATATAATCTGCAAGGAGCTGGTCTCTGGTTAGCGGCTGGTGAGAGGCGAGATAGAATGGTGAAACCTTGGGAGTATGTCACCAGACAGCCTGTTTGCATAAGGTCCATTAAGCCTTCTAGAGGGAAAAGGAGATAGGATTCACAGGCTTCTAAGCTGCTTGGACTTGGATACTTGGTCCCATGAGAGGAGCACTGAAATTGCTATTTCAATATGGGGAGAGAGGGTTAAACAGACGGCACAAAACTTACTTGAGGGGAAACAGAAGCCAAAGACACGCACCTCAGCTTGAGCTCCGGCCAACTATTGGCAAATGATTTTTTTTTTTTGAAATGAAGTCTCGCTCTGTCACCCAGGCTGGAGTGCAGTGGCATGATTTCCACTCACTGCAACTTCTGCCTTCTGGGTTCAAGCAATTCTCCTGCCTCAGCCTCCCGAGAAGCTGGGATTATAGGCGCCCACCACCAAGCCCGGCTAATTTTTGTATTCTTAGTAGAGATGGAGTTTCATCATGTTGGCCAGGCTGGTCTCAAACTCTTTGCCTCAGGTGATCCACCCGCCTCACCTCCCAAAGTGCTGGGATTACAGGCATGAGCCACTGCACCCAGAGGCAAAGGATGTTTTTTTAATACTATGGTGGCCTGGTTTCTGATGCAACTCTTTGAGGGATTTTAATGGAGGAGATAGTTAAGTTTAGGCTCTAGTGGAGCTTAAGTAATTTTTAGTCACTGGTTTAAAGGAAAGACATTATGAATGTCCCTTGTGGGGAAAGGCAGCAGCAGGCATGAGTACTGCAGATGAGATGAGACGCATGCAGAGAACCCAGCACCTCCAGGAGGTGGCTTCACCACAAGCAGCCAGAGGTACAGACACCAGCACAGAAACCGCCAGCAAAGGCAATGAACTCATGGAAAACAGTAGCAACTGGGGGTTGATACCAACCAGAAAGAAATTTCTGAGGGCCTAGGCATCTGGGAATCCCTGCTGGGTGAGCAAGCATTCATCACCCCCTTCTGTTTGGCCAAGACAGGGGAGTCCTGGGAAGTTTGCAATGGAGGAAGCAGAAACCCAAATTATCCTTGGAGAAGCCACAAGCCTTTGAGGGGATGACACTTGCTGACCTTCAACTCTGTAATTTGAGCTTTAGTTTGTGGTCTTCTGTTCATTCAGAGTATATATAGATCCCTGAGGCTACTGTGATCAAAGAAGGGAAGATCCATTTATGGATATGCTGTGGCCTCCATGACTCTGTGCCTCCTCAAATCACATATGCCATCCAGGGTGGGCCAAGGAACCCTTCCCCTGAGGGACTGCCATAACACCTCCCCATGTAAGTCTTATTTTTCCCCACAGTTGTAAGGCCATCAGGACTAACTTGGTTGAATTGCCCTCCTGGGTCTAAAGACAGAGATCTTGTAACTGTGGGACAGAGTAACAAGTGGCAAGAGGATCCACCAGGAGCTCTGATTGTGGTGCCCCATGAATAACAGTTAATGCTTATTGAGCACTTACTGTATGCCAGGCATTTCTTTTACAACATTATGTCATTTAGTCTTCAAATCACTCCTGTAGGGTAGGTATAACTATTATTATGTTTTTTACTTTAGAGATGAGGAAGTCAAGACTCAGGTTAGATAACTTTCCAGGGTTCACACAGTAGGGATGAGGTGAAGTCTCAATCTCGATCCTACACTATCTTCTCTTTCCTTGGAGCACATAGTCTCTGTCTTTGAAAGGAGCAGCCTGCTGCCCTATTTCATGGTTGAAGGTGAGGAAATGGCTCAGGCATTACCTGAGCAGATAGAGGATCGCTGGTTGAGGTCAGAGCAAGGCTACAGCTGCCTGCATCTTGTGGATAACAAGCAAGCAATACTCAGAAAATATCCGCTGGGTGCAGTGGCTCACACCTGTAATCTCAGCACTTTGGGAGGCTGAGGCAGGAGGATGGCTTGAGCCCAGAAGTTCAAGACCAGCCTGGGCAACATAGTGAGACCC
Source organism: Homo sapiens (assembly GCF_000001405.40). Classification (NCBI taxonomy): domain Eukaryota; kingdom Metazoa; phylum Chordata; class Mammalia; order Primates; family Hominidae; genus Homo; species Homo sapiens. The sequence continues at coordinate 40,403,838 of NC_000003.12, read as the reverse complement.
CATCTCTACAAAAAATAAAATTAGCCAGATGTGGTGGCAATGTCTGTAGTCCCAGCTACTCAGGAGGCTGAGATAGGAAGACTGCTTGAACCCAGGAAGTCTAGGCTGCAGCGAGCCATGATTGTGCCACTGCACTCCAGCCTGGGAGACAGAATGAGACCCTATCTCAAAAAAAAAAAAAAAAATTAAAGGAAAATATCCAAGTCCCTTATGTGGTGAATCCAAAACCGTGCCGTGCAATATACCCCTTCAAATAGACTTATTGTCCCAGCTGTCAGCTTCTTCAGGGTCTGCCTGAGCTGCAGAGAGCTGCCTTGCTCAAGATCTTGCTCTTTCCAGGGTGGCAAACATCCAAGAGTGGCAGCAACAGGGGGTATTACAGCCAAGCCACTTTACACCATTTCAACCCAGTGCAGCATAACGGATCAGCTGAAGCTTCATCAGGCCTGAGTTGAAGTTTGACTTCTCTTTTTTTGTCCAGTACTTCTCTCTGCCCACTTTCTGCTATAATAGTGCATCTCTAATAACCACCTTGCACTCCATAATCTGTCTCTACATCTGCTTCTGGAGAGCCTAACCTGGAACACCTGTGCATCAGGGTAGGCAAGCTCCTGGCTGCCCTCCTCGGAGGGCAGATGATCAGAATTCACTCTGATTAGCCAAAGAAGACTCTTGGTCTCCCGGTGAGAAAGACTAACTCTGCTTTCCAAGTTTTTCAATGCCATGATCCCCATGAACTTACAATGTTTTGGCAGCTCACGGAGGGAAACAAAGGAGGCTGCTCGGGCTGGGAGGACAGGTCTGGAGTCTCTAACCTGTTGTCCTGTGGGCTCAAGGATACACTGGGCACATTCAGAACACCCTGGTTGGGAGGCTACAGGCCAACTGAAGATCCTAATGCTCGAACGAGGAAGATAAGTGGCTTTGAAAAAGGCTTACACATATACACACTCCCTAACTAGGCTCAATTACTTGGACTAATTACTTAATTGTAAAAGGCAAAATTATAACACTTTTCATAGAAAAAGGTCTGTATGACCTCAAGATAGAAAAGGATTTCTTAAATAAAACATACAAAAGAGCAAGCCACAAAAAGGAATATTGATGGTTGTATTTACATAAGAATCAAGAACTTCTTTTCATCAAGACACATCGCAAAGAAACTAAAAAGACAAACTACAAACTGTGAGACGGTATTAGCAATAATATGATAATAATAATGGCAAAGAATTCATATTTAGAATATTTATAAAGAATTTCAATGAATTAGTAAGAAAAATTCAACAATTCAATAGAAAAATGAACAAAAGACATGAACATGCATTTCACAGAAAACAGAAATGCCTATAAATATATGGAAAGATATTAAGTTTTATTAATAACCAAGAAAATACAAATGCCCATCAACAAGGAAAAATGAGGCCGAGCACGGTGGCTCACACCTGTAATCCCAGCACTTTGGGAGGCCGAGGCAGGTGGATCACTTGAGGTCAGGAGTTCGAAGCCAGCCTGGCCAACATGGTGAAACCCCATCTATACTAAAAATACAAAAATTAGCCAGGCGTGGTGGCAGGCACCTGTAATCCCGGCTACTTGGGAGGTGGAGGCAGGAGAATCGCTTGAACCCAGGAGGCAGAGATTGCAGTGAGCCAAGATTATGCCACTGCACTCCAGCCTGGGCAACAGAGTGAGACTCTGTCTCAAAAAAAAAAAAAGAAAAAAAAAAAGGAAAGGAAATGAACAAGATAGTTACTCATATCAGTGCAGATGAATCTTAAAAACCCAATGTTGTTAGTGAACAAAGCAAATACGGCATAAAATATGTTGATTCCATTTATATAAATACATGTTTAATTTTGTTTTAAAAAACAGAAACACTACATACATAAGACAAAACTATAAAGAACAAGGAAACAGTTAATATAAAACTCAGAATATGTTGTGGAAAAGACAGGGAGCTGCATGGCGGATCATTAATTATCATTGCTGATAATACTCCATTTCAGGGGTTGGCACCCCATGGGCCAAATCCAGTATACCACCTTTTTTTTGTACAGCCTGTGAGCTAAGAGAGTTTTTACATTTTTTAATGGTGGGAAAAAATTTACAGGAAGAATTACATTTCATGATATGAGAATTATATGAAATTCAAAATTTCAGTGTCCATAAATAAAGCTTTACTGGAACAGAGCCATGTCCATTTGTTTACATATTGTCATTCTCTGTCTGCCTCGCCATCAATACACAGGACTACTCCTTATCACTGCTGGAAGACAGCTATCCATGTGTCCCTTGTGTTTCCCTCCACAGCAAAAGGCAGGCATGCTCACTGCCCATTATAAATGCTTCCCTAAAATCCCAGATTTCCTTTCCTATGACAGAACCTATTGCATGAGTGCATACTATCTGTCCGTCTTTCCATCATCCTGGGCAAATTGGGAATCAGAACCAGTATAAGAAAATGCTGATACTCTGGGCTACTCCTGTGAGTAACAAATTGTCCTTTATTTCTGACCCAGGAGTCTTGTGTCTTCCAGCACCCATGAAAATATGGCAGGGTAAAATCTCAGACCATTCACAGTTCTTGACGCCACCCCTTTCCATGTATACAGATAAAACACTGAGGCCCAGAGAAGGGAAGTGACTAGAGCAAGTTTATTCCACTGATGAGTAGCAGCACTAGCACACGATCTCCTATTTCCTGACTCCCAGTCCAATGCTCATTCCCTGCCTCCAAGCAACATCTCAGGACCTCTCCAGGCCTCCAAAACACTTAGAACTCTACCTTGCTGCCCATTGTGACTCCCAGACACACTTCAGTCCTTACCTTTCACACTACATTTGAAGGTTTGACTGACCACTCCGGTATTATTCTCTTTTTCTGCTGGCCATTGATACACGTAGACTGTGGTTCTTGAAGACCCGGCATCCAGCACAATACCATACTGAATAAAAAGGGAAAGGGAGAGTCAGAATGGGCGGGACTCCTCTGAGGACTGCTTTCTCAGTGGGCCACTGAGAACCCTGAGTACCTTAATCCACACTGCTTCGCTTAGGGAAGGGCTAATCAATAAGAAAAATTATTTTCTCCAAACCAATTTTGTCTCCTTGGATTGTGAGGGAAGGGAATGAGGAAAGGTAGGGCAGGTTCTAGGAAATAATTATCACTTTGCAATGCATTAGAATCACCTGGAGAGCTTAAAAAATCCCCCAATGCCAAGTCTACACCCCATACCAATTAAATCAGAATCTCTGAGAGTGGACTCAGGCATCAACAGGTTTTAAAAGTCCCAGGTGAGTCCAACACTCAGCCAAGGTTGAGAATTGTACTTCATGATGGATCTTGCATACAATTGAGTTGCCTGATTCTTCCTCATTCAGACCTCTGGGGAGAGGTACAAAAGCCATCTTCGTCTCAGACGGAAAATGAATAGTCACCTGGATGCCCTCTATTTCCAAACTTCTAGGCTTATCAGTCTAAAAATAAACAACCAAAATAAAAGCATAGGAAGAAGTTATAAGAAGTTTTTCACAGGGTAGAGGCATTTCCTTTTTTCTTTTTTTTTTTTTTTTTGAGATGCAGTTCACTCTTATCACCCAGGCTGGATTGCAGTGGCACGATCTCAGCTCACTGCAAACTCTGCCTCCCGGGTTCAAGTGATTCTCCTGCCTCAGCCTCCCAAGTAGCTGGGATTACAGGTGCCCACCACCATCCCTGGCTAATTTTTGTGTTTTTAGTAGAGATAAGGTTTCACCATGTTGGGCAGGCTGGTCTCAAACTCCCGACCTCAAGTGATCCACCCGCCTCGGCCTCCCAAAGTGCTGGGATTACAGGCGTGAGCCACCGTGCCCGGCTGAGGCATGTTAATACCTGTATCAGTGCTCAGAATTAAAGTATTCATAATTAAGGAGAAAAAAAGCAAAATAAAAAAATAATATTGACATATTGATCACACTTTGGCAATGTGTATGTCAACAAATGAACAGGCAGGTGTTGCTGGGCAGTGCTGGGGCTGGCTGTGTGCAGGAGAGTAGGCTGAGAGTCCTGGACCAATTTGTCCAACTTGAGCAGGCACTAGAAAGTTTCACCTGCAGGTTTGGCCCAGCCCAGGCTCTGGACCAAACCTGACCAGGAAAGAGCATGTATTAGTAGCCTATAGAATTTGGAATTAGCAATGCATACCTAAGCCCCGTATCTGTTTGTGCTCAGAGTCATCCTAGGGCATCCAGAGGCCTTCAGGGTGGCCTGAAGTCTCCCACCGCACCACCTTTGGGTTAACCTAGCCTGTCCCACAGAAGATGATGAAGTTGGGTCTGGAGGCAAGCTGACTCAGATGGATTCTCGATTTTATGATGCTGGACTGGGTAAGTTGCCTAACCTTTCTGGGTTCCCTCATCTTTAGAGGACTTACTTGCAGAAGTAAATAGAAGGCTATATGCCTAATGCTTAATGGCTACTCATAAATACAGGCTATTAGCATATATAGAAAAGCCAGTCAAGCAAAAGAAACAAATAAAATCACAAAACAAGAAAAACAGAAAAGAAAACAAAGCATCCCTCAAATCCAACTATTGCGTTAGCCCTTGTTGTATCTTTTCTAACAATATATGTATATATGTATCTGGATATATACATATATCATTGTATATATGCAGTGGTGCCACCAACGACTCACTGCAGCCTCAACTTCTCAGGCTCAATCGATTCTCAGCCCCAGCTTTTCGAGTAGCTGGGATTACAGGTGTGCACCATCACACCTGGCTAATTTTTATATTTTTTGTAAAGACAGGGTTTCGCCATGTTTCCCAGCCTGGTCTCGAACTCCTGGGCTCAAGTGATTCACCCACCTCCGCCTCCCAAAATGCTGCTGGTATTACAGGGATGAGCTACCGCATCTGGCCATGCAATGCTCTTTTCTTAAAAGTATATCATGAACATGTCTTCCTGACAGTAGAAACAGATTGATATCACCATTTTCATACATTCATTGTATTCACTTTTAGGTACAGAGTAATTTAACCAATTTCCTGATCCTATACATTTAGGAGGTTTCCAACTTTTTATTATCTATATTACAAATGCTTGTTTTGTTTGAAATGGGACCATATTTTTAAAAAGTTGCTCCAGCTCCTGAATCATAGCCTCTCCATTATTTTGAAATAGAACATCTGTGTTCACTGGTATGTGAACTTGGACAGCCTCTTAATCTCAGCCCTTCAGTATGATGAATGTTGATCAGGATCCTGACCTGACATCCCTCATGGGGAACAAGGGTGGCATTGTTCATAATCTGTCACAGGCAGCGACTCACAGGGAGATTAAAGTACAGGTTGAAACTGAAGGCAAGAAGGAAACCAGGCACTAAACTAAAGAGGTCCAGGCCTCTATATTCTTGGTCTGCTTTCTTTCCTCCCCCCTGCTCCTGACCTGATCACCACCACTCCAGCCCGCCCTGCCACGCCTGGTGCTGAACCATAAAACAAGAGGAGAGAGAGAATAGGAGAAAAACTGTCACCTTCCTTTCCTCAAATCTTTATTCCAACCCTTCAAAAAGGGTGCATGTTTTTCCTGTGTTTCTGAAGCTCAGGGCTGCTGGGCCAAGATCAGAGAGAAGAGTATCCATTCTCATTTGTAACTCCAACTGGGATCCAGCTTTCACCAGGGTCTGCAGCAGCCAGACTTTGCTCTGTGAGACTGGAGAAATGGCTGTCCCTCCGGCACCTGCTGATATAGGCCCACCTCTACCGACTCACACGGATCTAGCCCTACCATCATTCACTGACATTTTCAAAAGTGGGAAAAATGGTCTTTAACCAGTTTTCAGAGCTCTTTTGCCTAAACAGTGAAACTCAGTGTGATTCTTTTGGGGGAGAGGGGATGGGAATGAATTTCAGTTCAGCTGGCAAGGTGATGTTCGGATAAAAAGTAGTAAGTAATCCTCTGTCTAATGCAGTGTCAGAAAAAACCATGGCTCAAATGTGGATCTGAAGACACAGTGGATTAACTGAAAGGAAGCAGTCTTTCAGTTTAGAAATGTATAGAATAAGGAAACTGGTTAAATTACTCTGTATCTAACAGTGAATGCAATTAATGTTAACTGAAAGGGCCAGTCTCCTTGGTCCAACACTTAAGGATTGTGTGATCTGTCTAAAGCAATAGCGAAAGCAGAAGCATAAGGTCAACTTTCTTAGATTTGTTTATTATTATTATCATTATTACTATGATAATAAATAGTAGTAGTAATAAGCCTTGTCCTGCACTTATTCTAGGCACTGCAGAAAGTGCTTTGTGTTATTGCCTGTATAAGACATATGTTATCATATCATATCATATCATATCATACCATTCGACACATGGGCAAACCGAGGCTTACAGTAGTAAGTAAATGCCCAAGATCACAGACCTGGGATCAAGCCTGAGTCTAACGGACTCTAAAACCTGTACTCATAGCCATGATGTTTTCACTGAGCTCCAAGGAAACCAAGTGTAATGGCATGACTGTTCAGTAATCATAGCCATGATGTTTTCACTGAGCTCCAAGGAAACCAAGTGTAATGGCATGACTGTTCAGTAATCAGGTGCATTGCAGACTTTCTTATTTAAACAAAAAGTCCCTTGAAAGTAAAGTCTTAGTTAAGGGGTGTGCAGATCTGGCTGGAGGAGAGGACCCATTTGCATAAGGAGACCGAGGCTTTCTGAAAAAAAAAAAAAAAAAAAAGAAACTAATTATCCAACTCTTACTCTCCAAGAAGTAGACCAGGGTGGGCTACAAGGCACCAGAAATCCAGGCTGATGAGCAAGGCTCAATGAGGGTTAAAAGGGAATGATTTCAACACAGACTGGGCCAGTGGTTTTGCTTTGGAGAGTAATGGCTGAGCATGGGAGTGTAGACTAAAATGGCTTATGATCTTGGACCCAGTATGGGGAACTAATGTGGGCTGAGCAGGTCACAGTGGAAAAGCCCATCCTTAAAACCTTTAGACTGTGCAGAACCCATCTTCAACAGTGACATCACATGGCTGCAAGAGGCAGTACAATAGTATTGATCATTGGACTGAGAAGCTCTAAAGTTCTTGGATGGTTATGATTAGGGGTAGGGAGGGTGAAGCCTCAAGAGGAAGGTATTGGACTTCATGATGATAAAGCGGGGGACTGGGGGCCGAGTGAAAATTACAAGTGATGGCATCATGTTTACTCTTCAAGCTTGTGGAGCAAGTCAGACCAGTAACACAAGAGACTCAGACATTTTCGCCCCTTGACTGCATTTTAATAGTTCTGACCATAACCTCACATAAACCAGGGTTAGGCAAGCCAAGGTTAGATTTAATAGCCAGATACGACCTTGCATGAGAGTCCTCTGTAACATTTCAGAGCCCTCCAGACAGGCTGTTGTAGAGCTGGCCCTTTAGAACCAACTGTCAGCTGCACACGAAAGCAAAACAGGGCTCATGGTATAAAAAAATAAACATAACAAATAATTTAAAATCCCTCATATTTGCTCAACTTCATCACCTGCAATCCTCTTCAAAACAAAAAAAGAGAGATCTCTCCATATCCTGAGAAAAACTGCATGTGGAACACTCTCTTCCAAAGCTGTCATTCCGTTTCTGGTTCAACTGGCCCAGAACATCTGTCTTTTCTCACATTTAATCCACCCAATTAAGCAGAATGGACCTTCCGAGCTCATCTTCCTGTGTTTTACAATTTCCTGTCCCTTGCAATGGTGGCTAGGGTCTGTTACCAAGATTCAGAAGAGATTTAAAATCCCCTCTTTGAACTGCCTGCTGATTGGTGGAGGGTGTGTCTCCTGGTTCCTCCAAACCCTTGTTTAAGGCCACTGTTGTCTGTTCTCTTTTCTTTCCTTTACACCAGTTCTGCTATTTTCAATCTGTGTAACTATGGGAAGCTATTTGCCCTTTCTTTTCCTGTTTTCTCATCTGCAATACAGGGATAATAACAATATTATTTACATGGAGTAGTCACTGACAATTCTCTGCCCACATCCCCTCAGGCCTTACTACTGTGATGTAGAACTATCCATCTTCCACCTGCCTGAAGGCTTAACTAGTGGCCCGAGTCTACCTGATCACAAAATATGCCAGAAGGACTAGAGAGTTAACATCCAGGGAGCAGCCTCTCAGCTAATGACTGATGGAAGCTGGTGAATAAATATGCCCTTGACTGGGATATCTGGGAGGCACATGCCTGTATGCCCCTTGATATGGGACAACTTTGAGTTCTCTGTACCAGCTCACAGGGTCTCAAGCAGGACTGAGTCCCAGTTGCCCACAGTGCCGACCTGCTGCATAGCAGGCCCTCTCTTGGCTGCCTGACCCATCTCAGTTCCCTAGTCCCTCACCAGTGTTTCCTGGGATCATCCCCAGATGATCTACTTGCACGTATGTCTTTGACTTGGAGAGCCCAACCTAAGACAGTAGCATTCAACATGTGTGGTTTTCTCCTTCAACAGTGCCCTCTAGACTGCCCAGGGATCTATTTTTATCTACTCATTTTACTAGTCTTCCATCTGATTCCTCCATGTCTCTCCATTTTGAACAGAGGACTTGCCTGTTACTGTCCAGAACAAGTAGAAGCCATCAGCTGGCAACTGCCTTAACCAGCCCATTTCTAACATTTGTAGGATTAGAGACAAAATTTTATGAATAGAGGCTTCTGCCCTGTCCCTTTCCCAAACCTGTTCTCACAGAATAAAGAGCCCATGCACCTGTGTGTGGACAGTTCAGACCACACAGCTATGCTCTGTTTACACTCCCTGTAAGCAGCTGCCTCTTGGCCACCCCTCAGACCATTGGTGATGTCCACCTTCTGGAGGTCCACGAAGACCCTAGATTCTGAAGTCTTGGGCACCACAGTGTGTTCTAGAAGGGGAAACATGGGCTCTGGGTAAACACATTCGTTTGGGTCATAGAGAGAGATAAGCCTGAAGTGCAACTAGAGCTGGTCCTTCTGAAATGTGGGGCCCAGGGCAGGCAGCCCAGCTATCAGGGTCTAAGGGTGGTACTAGGCTTAACTCCTCTCCTTCAATTCAACAAACCTTCCCACATCTGCATGCATCCTCCCTACCTTTCCATCCTGTGCAAAGCAGGAAGTGTTCTCTTATCTGAGGCCAATCCCTTCCCTCCATTTGGGATCTCCATTCAGAACTCAGGGTCAGGGAGAAGTGGGAGGCAGTGAAGAGAGCCCTGGCCTTGGGAACAGAAGGGACCAGGTTTCAGTTCTGGACCTGTCATTCACTGACCAAACCTGTATTTTCTCACTTTCAAAATGGCAGTCATGGTGCTCGCTTTGTCCACCTTCTATGGTTGGCATAAGAACTAAGTGATGTAATGAGGGAAAAGCGCTGACTTAACTGAATAGCACTATACAAAGTGTAAAGAGATATTACTCTTAGTTGCGGCTGGGCACGGTGGCTCATGCTTATAATCCCACCACTCTGGGAGGCTGAGGTGGGTGGATCACCTGAGGTCAGGAGTTCAAGACTAGCCTGGTCAACACGGTGAAACCCTATCTGTACTAAAAATACAGCAAGAAAAAATTAGCTGGGCATGGTGGTGGGCACCTGTGATCCTAGCTACTTGGGAGGCTGAGGCAGTAGAATCACTTGAACTGTGGAGGCAGAGGTTGGGGCGAGCCAAGATCATGCCACTGCATTCCAGCCTAGGTGACGGAGCACGACTCCGTCTCACAAAATAATAACAATAAAATAAAAAATAAAAAATATATTACTCTTAGTTGCAGTTCCTTTTTTTTTTTTTTTTTTTTTTTTTTGAGACAGAGTCTCGCTCTGTTGCCCAGGCTGGAATGCAGTTGGCACTATCTCAGCTCACTGCAACCTCCACCTCCCGGGTTCACGCCATTCTCCTGCCTCAGCCTCCTGAGTAGCTAGCTGGGACTACAGGCGCCCACCACCACGCCCAGCTAATTTTTTGTATTTTTAGTAGAGATGGGGTTTCACCACGTTAGCCAGGACGGTCTCAATCTCCTGACCTCGTGATCCGCCCGCCTCGGCCTCCCAAAGTCCCAATTTTATATACAGTAGTTTGTAGAAGGCAGTGCCTGGAGCTTGGGAAAACACCTTCTTTTAGGCCTCAGCTAATATCTTTGGACAACTGGGTAATTTGCTTTCTTCTCATTATTGGGTGATTGCATAAGGTTTTTTTTTAATTTTTAATTCACATTATTCATGAGGGCTGAGATTCTTAAATAAAATATCCTATCAAGGAACCAAATGCTATTATATTATCTAATGGAGATTTTACTCTAATCTTTTAGAAAAGCTGCCTTAGAATGTTAGCTCAAACCCATCCTTAGAGTCCAAAACAATATTAGTTTCTTTTCTTTTAAAAATGTCTATGTATTTCAAATATTACCTTTGAATAGTCACTAACAGCAGGAAGATATGGAAAAGACTTGTGAGGTCAAGTGTAAATGTTAAATGAGATTCAAAGAACATGGCTGAATTACCTGGTCCCTATGGCACAGCTAAGAAGGGTTTGTACATTCTTAATGAGTCAAAAAACAAAGAAGAGTTATAAAACAGAGACTATAAATGGACCTCAAAGCCTAAAATATATACTATTTGACCCTTTATGAGAAATGTTTGCTGACCCCTACCCAAAATGATTGAAGGACTCATCAACTTGCTTCATCTTTCCCTTGTCAGCCTCTCATGGAATCACCTCCTGTCTCCAAGGGCACCCTCAGAGCCAAGCCTGGGGATATATTATGATTCTGAGCCTAAAGATCATTTGGGGATGGACTTGTTGAGAACTAAGAGGGGCCTCTGGGACTAAGCACAAGGTCCTGAGTAATTTTTTTTTTTTTTTTGCCGGGGGGGTGTTGTTGAGGGAAGTGTTGGAAGGAACACAGCACATGTTCTAGACTCAAGAGTAGCAGCACAAATAGAGCTCAAGGAGACCTTCTCAAGTTCTTGATTTTTTGTTCACTCAGCCTAGGCTAGAAGAGGTGCCTGGGTCTCCTGGTCTTGACTTCTTTTTTCCTTTTTTTGGAAAAATTTCTTTTTGGTAGAGATGGAGTCTCTCTATATTGCCCAGGTTGGTCTTGAACTCCTGGGCTCAAGCAATCCTTCTTCCTCGGCCTCTCGAAGTGCTGGAATTACAGACATGAGCCACTGTGCTCAGCCTCGGTCTTTACTCATTATCAGGGTTGTGTGGTTGGGAGAACAGATAAACTGGTCAAAATGGAAAGTGCACTAACCGGTAAATTTTTTTTTTTTTTTTTTGATAGAGATGGGTTTCACCATGTTGCCCAAGCTAGTCTCGAACTCGTGGACTCAAGCAATCCACCTGCCTCAGCCTCCCAAAGTGCCTTACAGGCGTGAGCCACCGCACCTGGCTGAACTGGTAAATCTTTGATAGCTATCTGCAACTCTTGGTTACAAATTTTAGCTTTGAAGTCAGAAGTCAAAGCAAGACTACACAGTCCTTGGAGAAGGTGTCAGTCACTACCCTCAATTTGTAGCCTCAAATATCACAAACCCAGCATGTCCAGACCTTCTCCCTTGCGTCTTACACTAACTTCTCCTGGCTTCAGCCAGAGATGGGGGGAAAGGATTTTCTGCTCTTCTAACTCATGGTTTTGGAATAATTGATTTCTTCCCCTTTATGCTCATTTCTTCCCTTTGTTGCCAGTCCCTTCACACTTACCTTCAGTCCTGGAGGGAGGACCTCTTGCTTGTGGATCTGGATGACAGTGATACTCACAAGTACCACAATACTCACAAGCAAGACCACCAAGGCAATGATGGTTGGAGTTCGGTAGAGGGCCTTGAGGCCTAAAATGAGAAGACCCAGAAGACACTTGAGGGGGAGGTAAAAACCAGGCACTGGTATTCTTTGTAGAATTGATGGACTGGCCCCATAATCAGGTGCATAAACCACCTTCTCTGGTGTTAGCGAGACCCACACTTCTAAGATGGAGTAGCAAATAAGCTCCCCTTCTCCCCAGTTTTGGGGAAGCACAAACAATACCTATTTGCCCTTCCTCACAAATTGTGTACTAAAACAGTGTTGCAGGGAGGGTATGCATGGTCTAGTTTTCTGATATTTTGGTTATCCCTGAGATGAATTACAATAACATTTGTTTTACTTTTTTCTTTTTCTTTTCTTTTTTTTTTTTTTTGAGATGGAGTCTCACTCTATCGCCCAGGTTAGAGTGCTGTGCCGTGATCTTGGCTCACTGCAGCTTCCAACTCCCAGGTTCAAGCGATTCTTCTGCCTCTGCCTCCTGAATAGCTGAGATTACAGGTGCCTGCTACCACGGCAGCCAATTTTTGTATTTTTAATAGAGACAGGGTTTCACCATGTTGGCCAGGCTGGTCTCGAACTCCTGGGCTCAAGTGATCTGCCTGTCTCGGTCTCCCAAAGTGCTGGGATTACAGGTGTGAGCCACCACGCCCAGCTAACATTAGTTTTAATGGAGATTCAAAAAATCTATTTTTAAAAAATTAAACCAGGTGATAGAATATTTCACTTAAAAATAATCTCATAGAATATTTCATTTAAAAATAATCTCAGTTAAAGAAAAAGAAATTAGGCTGGGCAGATGGCTGACCCCTGTAATCCCAGCACTTTGGGAGGCCGAAGTGGGTGGATCACTTGAGGTCAGGAGTTCAAGACCAGCCTGGCCAATATGGTGAAACCATGTCTCTACCAAGAAATACAAAAATTAGCCAGGTGTGATCATATGCGCCTGTAGTCCCAGCTACTCGGGAGACTGAGGTGGGAGAATTGCTTGAAGCCAGGAGGTGGAGGTTGCAATGAGTTGAGATCAAACTACTACACACCAGCCTGGGTGACAGAATAAGACCTTGTCTCAATAAAATAAAATAAAAATAAAAAAATTAGTACTATACTATACTGAAATGATTTCATTTATTTGAAGTTCAAAAGTAGGAAGGTAACAGGAATCAGAATAGTGATTGCCAGGGGGCAGAAGTTGGGGCAGGGATTCACTGAGAAGGAATATGTGGGCACTTTCTTGGGGTAATGGCAATGCGCTATACAGAGTGTGGAGTATATGGATGTGTGCATTTGTCAAAACTCATCAAACCTTTCAAAGTCCTTTGGAGAAAACTTGAAAATGAAAGCAAATCAGTGTCTTAGGTATAATTTCCTTTTAAAAAAACATTATAAACTTATAAATTGCCCTTACTATTCTAAAAACATACTTTTAGAAGGCAAGAACACCCAACTTAGGGGCACGACTTAAGATCTATCCATTTCACTGAATAGAAGTTATACCTAATTTTTTAAAAAGATAAAAAGACATTCAATGAAAATACTGACTAAATAATAATCTTGGGCTGGGTATAGTGGCTTATGCCTGTAATCCCAGCTTTGGGAGGCTGAGATGGGAAGATGCTTGAGGCCAGGCGTTAGATGCCAGCCTGAGCCACATAGTGAGACCCCGTCTCTACAAAAAATGAAAAAAATCAACTGTACATGTGGTGCACACCTGTAGCCCAAGCTACTCAGGAGGTTGAAGTTGGAGGATCCTTTGATCCCAGGAGCTCAAGGCTGCAGTGAGCTGTGCCGCTATACTCCAGCCTGGTGACAGAGTGAGACCTTGTCTCTAAAAAAATAATAATAATAGTCTTGGTAAAACTATTGGGACATCAACATAAATGACAACCAAATGGTTGAAATATGATGAACACTAATAGAAAGATCACTAGATTCATCGAATTCCAATATATATCTAATCAATTGGCTATCTAAATGTAAATTAATTAAAATAAAAAAATGCAGTCTCTCAATCTTACTAGCCACATTTCCAGTGTTCAATAACCACATGTGGGCTAGTGGCTACTATATTGGACAGTGCAGCCATATAACATTTTCATCATTATAGGAAGATCAATTGAACAGCAATTGGATAGATCCTGTCTTATTCCAGAACATTATTCCTAGATCATTATAACCTATGCTTTACCCCTCCATTATTTCTGTAAGCCATTTTCCCAGAAGAATAACAGGGCATGTCTATGCGCCCACGATATAATTAGATTCAGCCCCCAAATTCAGTCACATCACAACATTTGCTACAGGAGGGCAGTCACGCAGTAGGTCTTCATGGCTCAGAACAGCTAACTCTTTCCATCTCAACTGATTCCCCTGCAGTGTAGCTGCAGTCACAGACACTTCTTGGTGTCAAAGTTGGTCACTTAACACCTTAATCCTCCTACCTTGTCATTGAAAGTGTAAACTGGTACAGCATCAATGGAGGGCAACTTGTCAATATTTATGAAAACTGCAAATAAGCATGCCATCTGACTCACAATCACTCTTTTGGGAAGTTATCCCACAGAACTAGCTCCACATGTGTAAAATGACTTAGACACAAGGTTACTCATTACAGAATTGTGGGTAATAGCAATGGAAAGGAGAGCCAACTGCCATGGAGTTGACCTGCAGAGCATGTAAAGAGGTCCTGTATCACTTTTCTGTGATTCCAAATAAAAGTACAGGAACCAGTTAATCCACAGAGGCAAACTTTTGCATTAGCTTTCAAAGAATGCATTTGTCAGTGTTAGTTATAGAAGTTTAAGGGATTTTTTCCCTCTAACAAAATGGGGTAGAAATTTAATCTGCCAAGTTAAACTTGTCCTTTGGAAGGAATGTAACAGGTTAGTCTGTATGAGTGACGTTACAATCTGTGTTAACATTTCAAAGTGTTTTGGGGGAAAACCTAAAGATCAAAGGAAAACAGCTCCTCAAGTGCAATGTCCCTTTACAAAAATAAAAGTTCATATAGATTGCCCTTACTATCCTAAAATCATATCCTTTTGGAAGACAAGAATACCCAATTTAGGGGCATGACTAAAGAATGTCTATCCATGGGGGAGGAGTGTGTGATATGTATGCAGTTTCCTGACCACAGCTACGTGGCTGGCCTCCTAAGTCTTCTGTGTTTCAGCAGTTTTCAAGTAAAAAGCTATGATTACCTTAAGCAAACTCTTGTCCTTGCAGAAAAGCTTATTACAAAGCAAAATGGATGAGACCAGGTCTTACTCATTTAGGAAATGCAGCCTAGAGCTGTGCTGTCATTAGGGCTGGACAAACATGGTAATTGCAAGGTACCTACCTGAGCTTGGAGAAGCCAGAGCCTTCTGGGCTTCCACATGAGCAACTCCAAAAAGTGCTCTAGAGGCAGGCGGGGCAAGCTTAGAAGTGTGTGTGTGTGTGTGTGTGTGTGTGTGTGTGTGTGTGTCTGTGTGTGTGTGCCTTCCAGTGTGAGAAAATCCTGCACTTGTGCCTGCAGTATCAACCATAACAACACTGACTCACAGTGAGGGGTGGGGGTGTTGTAGGCACTGTGCCAGCAACATTTGGATGGGAATACAGGAAAGATCCAAGTACTGTACAATTGATCACAAAATCAACAATACAGTATTCTAAAGCAAACGTTACACACAGCTAGCTAAGGGAAACCACAAGGGCCAAATTAATGGATTATACAAACCGGAAAAACCATTTAAGTGAAACATGCATGTTAGTCCTTGTTTTGTGTGGCTTTGATGAAAAGCATTACTTTTATTTGAGGAATGCCGGTGTTGAAACCCAGCTGAGTACTGAGTCTCAAACCAATAAAGTTAAACAATCATTTGCAGGGGATATGGATGAAAAACTGTAGGCCGAAGCTGGGGTTCTCTTGCGATTTGGCAAAACCACGCTTGCTACCTGCTGAGAGATACTAACCTGCTTGCTCACATGGTTGGCGGGTCAGCACAGTGAACATCTTTTCTCCTAGCTGCAGGTGAGAGAATACAGGATGTCAGTAAGTCCACCGCCCCGGCCTCACAAGTTTAAAGAACGAGCCCAGGTTAAGACAAAACCCATTTTACTTCCTCCAAATCAAAACCTCATCCCGGGAAAGGTAAGCCGAACCCCAGAACTTCAGAGACAGCCCCAAAGCTGGAGCTTAAATTTCATGTCATCTCCCCAAATGAAAGGAAATGAAAAATGGATTTGCTGAAACTTCAAACTGAAAAGGTTTTCCGAAAAAAGGTCTTTTTCTGCAGATTGTTCCACCTGTACACACACCCAAGAGAGAACAAATCTTCCCCCTATTATTAACATTCACAAAGCTGAGGCGGGGCTTTTTTTCAGAACATGAGCAAGGAAGGTTTTTGTGTGTTCATGGATCGCGAGCCTGGAGCCTCTCTAAAGCCCCGGGAAGGGAGTCTTTAGCTGCTGGCTGGAAATTGCAAAGGGATGTCGGGGCCCTGGGATCCAGCCCCCACCAGGATCTGGGGTCACCTCTCTGGACTGCGTCTCTGCATAGCCGCAGGCATCTAAGCGCCCAGCACATCTGCGGATCCATGCAGGCTGTCGGTAAAGACGCGCCCACCCGTCGTGGGCATGACAGGGACCACCTCCCAGCCGCCCAAGGATTTGGGGCTACCGTGTTTCAGTCTCTTCCTCTGGCCCTCTGAGGAAATCCGATTTTGTTTCTTTGCCTCCCAACTCTCAGTCTCACGCAGCACCCCCGACTCCTTCCTCGGCAGCTCAGGCGCCGGGTCCCCTGATCTTACCTGTGCGGAGCCGATTCGGAGAAGGCGACTAGCGCTGCCGCAGAGGCGGCCCGCGGCCAGCGCTAAGGAGGTGTCAGCTCAGACGCCGGGAGGCGGCGCCGGGTATAGCGGGGCGGGGGCGGGGCGGCCTCGGCCTGGGACCGCCCCCCCCGTCCGTGTCAAGGCCAAGTACCTCTTCACCTTCTTTTCTGATTGCTCTCACCTTCACACCCAGCCCTCGATGGAAGGGGAAGGGAGAGAGAGCGCGCCTCTTGCCAAAAGACCGGCCCTGCCTGCCCAGAGAGCCTTCTGTCCCCCTCCAGGTCGAAGCCAAACAGCACTTCACCTTTCCTCTTTCAGTTCCCTCCACACTCACCTGTACCTGAAGTCGGAGAGGAGGGAGCCAGGCCTTGCCCTGAGAACCCACCGGAGCCTATGTGGGCGAGGGGGAAGGGAGGTGTCTATTATCTGCCTCCTTCTTGCATCTGTGTCAAGACCAAGAACCTTTTGATCTGTCTTCTAGTTACCTCCATTGTCACCCCAACCCTAGGTGGAGGGAAAATGGGGACAAGGCCAGGCAGGGACTGGGCACTCTGTGGGTGTGCATGACCTTATGTGGTCCCCCGGTGGGTGGCTCCTGTGCTCCGTCTCTCCACGGGGTGGAGTAGAGTCAAACACCTGTAATGTTGGGAGTGAGGCCAGTAGGCAGGCTGGCCCCTAGGTCACTTGGGCCTAAAGCACAAAGTATGGCAGGCACATTCCCTTTCACACTTAGCAGAACTGCCTTGGCCATGCCCAGGGCCATTCTTGCTGTTTACTGAGCAATGCTCTGCCCTACCCCATTTAATATGGATGTCATAAGGCCAAAAACTCAAGACAAGTACAGCCCGGAAGAGGCAAAACAGAAAAGATAACAAAAAGGCAGCATGTGGGCTGCCGTGATCCAAACACCCCAGGAGTCTGTCTCAGTGTACAGCAGCAGGCAGCCTCCCGGCTCCTCTGAGTGACCCCAGAGACCCTTGGAGTGATCCCAGCAAGAGGCCTAAGCAGGCCCTGTTTGACCATCCCTCCTTATGGTTCCTGCATGTCTGGAAGGAAGAGCTGAGTCCCTGGCTATACCCTGCCATAGCCTGCTTTCTCCTAGAAATCCACTAATTTTCTGTCCTGTGCAGGTGGGGCCAAAGCCCCTAAGACAAGAAGTCCTTAAGATAGGAATGCCCCTGCTTTGATACCTCTGAGCCCAGAGAGGTGGGCCCCAAGCCTGAGTTATGTGTGTGTGCCTGTGTGTGTGTGTGTGTGTGTGTGTGTGTGTGTGTGTGTGTGCCCGCGCGCAAGAGCACCATGGTCATTCACCCAGAGTTGGATAGAGGTGGACCCCATTGGGGGATTGGGACAGGGTCTGCACTGGGGGTGTCAGACATTCAGTGAATACTTGCTGAATTAAAAGACTTGTTTTCTTTGAAAGCTGTGGGACAATGAAACATAAGGCATATGGCTGGCAGCTGGGGGTCCGTCTGCACCCAGGGGGCTGTAAGTACACAAACAGCTGCTGGCAGTGCACCCGGACCTGAGCTCAGTTAGATAGCCCCAGTGGGTGAATGACTAACCTTAGCATCCCCAGTGACTTCCCAGGGGCTGGGAAAAGGTTTCCAGGCCTAATGGGCCTTGAAAGGCAGTTAGTGCTAGTGTATAAAAATAACAGAGATCAGTCCATGCCAGCTTTCCTCTCTGCTTGCATCAACCTACAGACCTTGTAAGTGTGAGCATCAGCCTCCTTTGAGAGCCCTGTAGTCTCCAATTCTCCTTTTATTTTTCCAAGCTTTTCTGGAAACTCTGCTCCAGGCACTGTGTCAAACTCCTTTGCAGCTTCCAAAGTAGACCTAGTCATTCAAAGGCATTTCCTCATCCACCTTCCACATGCAAGAACACACACACACACAGACACACACACACACTCCTTTGTGAGTTTTCCTGATTATAAAATAATACAGATTTGCCCACCAGCTATCAAAACATATTGTAAAGCCACAGTAATAAAAACAGCCTGGCTTGGGCACAGGAATATACTGAGAGATCTAAAGAACAAAAAAGATAGGCCACAACAGACTATTGGATATAGGATTATAAGATAAAGAACAGGTTGAAATAACATATTATTCAATAACTGGTATTGAAACAACTGGCTCATTTGGAAAAGGATTCTAATTACTCATCACCCACAAAAATAGATTTTAGGTGGTTTAAAAATTTAAATGTATAAAATAATTTGACATACTAAAAAATGTAGAAGAACATTTTTATCATCCTTGGGAAAGAACAGTCTCTTCTACTATGCAGTCAAAGCAGGAAGAGAAATAAAGTCAACAAATTTGAATCCATGAAAATGAAAAATGACTGAATAGAAAGACACCACCCACTGCAACCCCCCCCCACCAAAAAAAAGATAAATTCTCAGGAAATACCTAAGAATGTGACAGTAAAGAGTTTAAAACCGTAAGATATACTAAAGTCTATAGAAAAATATGAATATCTGAAATAGAAAATGGGCAAGTCACATGCATTGGCCAATTTACAAAAGAAATATGAATGGCTGACTAACATGGCAGAGATGCTTAATCTCATTATTTACCAAAAATTGTCAACTAAAACTTTGGTATATTTAAACAAGATTAAAAAAAAACTGATTAGACTTGATTAGCTTAGCAAAGTTTAAAAAGATCTAGGCCAGGCACAGGGGCTCACGCATGTAATCCTAGCACTCTGGGAGGCCGAGGTCAGCTGATCACCTGAGGTCATGAGTTCAAGGCCAGCCTGGCCAAAATGGTGAAACCCCGTCTCTACCAAAAAATACAAAAATTAGCCAGGTGTGGTGGTGCATGCCTGTCCCAGCTACTCAGGAGGCTGAGGCACGAGAATTACTTGAATCTGGGAGGTGGAGGCTGCAGTGAGCTGAGATGCTGAGATCATGCCACTGCACTCTAGCCTGGACTATAGAGCAAGACCCTGTCTCAAAAAAAAATAGCAATAATAATCAGTGGTGCTTGTGTTGGAGAAGGTGCCAGGAAACAGGCCCTCTTGAAGCATCTGATGCGTGCCATGTCCTCCCACTTCTCTAGACAATTTTGCTGGTTCCTGCTCCTTTCCTGGGAGTTTCTCAAGACTCAGTCTCCAGGATTATTTTCTTCTCATTCTGTATTCTTTTCCTAGGTAATCTCATCCATGCCTACGTCTTCTGTTTTATTCACAGAAGCTCTCAAATACAGGGTTCAGGCTTCCCCTCTTGATCTGTAGACCTAGAGAATTGTGTTTTTCATCTTTCAAGTGTCATATAGGCACCTCACATTTACAGGGTTTCAAGCAGAGCTCCTTATCTTCCCCTACCAAACCATCAACTCCTCAAGCATTTCTCATCTCGGCACTCCCCACTCATCCAGGTGAGCAAGCCAGAAACCTGAGGGTTGCCTTTGATAGTCTTTCCCCCATTATACACGATCAATCAGTCACTAATTACTGCTGATTTTAGCCTCTTAATCGTCTCTGCAATATGTACTTCCTTCTCTCTCAGCCACCATCTTGGTCTGAGCCAGGATTTCTCAGTTGGAGCACTATTGATATTTCAGGTCAGATGATTGTTGAGGGAACTGCCCTGTATATTGTAGGATGTTTAGTAGCATCCTTGACCTTTCCCTACTAGTTGCCAGTAACATCCTCCCACACATGGTGTGACAACCAAGAATGTCTCAAGACATTGCCAAGTGTCCTCAGAGGAGTAAAATTTCCCTGGTGAGAACCACTGGTCTAAGCTACCATGCACACTTTTCTGGATCTTGGCAACGGTCTCACACATCTCTCTGTGTCCATTTTCTTCCTCTCTGATCCATTTTCCCAAGCCAACAGGCCCCATCTCTTCAAAACCCAGATCTCTCTGTGTCAAAACTCTCTGTAAAACACTCTTCTATGCTGTCCATTTCTTAGTGGATTCACAATCAGATTCTCAATGTGACCTGGAAGGCCCTGCAAGGTATATTCTCTATCTCTCTTTCCAGTCTCTATTAACCCATACTACTTCTTACTTCATGCTCTGAAGACAAACCAGCCTTCTTTCAGTTTTTCAAATATATCATGTTTACTCCTGCCATAGGACCTTTGTACATTATTTTACTAATTAGCACTTGTTTATACTTTTTTTCTCACTTCAGTCATTTCACTGATACTTCCCCGGCATCCCCTAATCTGGATCATACATCCAAACTGGGTCAAGTCCCTAAATTATGTGCTTTTAAAGCAGGCATTCCTTTCTTTCAGCTAGAGTTTCATTACAGTCGTTGTTGAGCAAATGACCCCTGTTGCTTATCACCAAAGCAGCAGTCCCAGGATGTTAACTTACTGTATGGTTTGGAGATGTCCATGTCACCAAGAAAGATGATTCACACAGGCACTGGATGGAAAACACTTTACTCATATAGAGAAGAGATGGAACAGGATTAGCTTCAGTGATGACTGTGTGCCCCCATGGCAGTGGGTCTTGACCTCTAGCTGATGCAGGGAGATGGAATGCATACACTGCTCTGTTGCTGCAGGTGAAGATCCTCAACCCATCCCCCTGGGGCCAGAACTATAGAAAGCTGGAGGTGCACTTGATGGCCATTGACCCATGCGCTTAAGAACAAAGAAGTACACGTGAAACCCGGAACGGGGAAAGTTATTACAAAGCAGAGATGTGCCTAGCACAGGCTATGATGACTCTTTATCTCTGTGCAAGAAAATGTTCCAGGCCCAAGGCTGCTCTTATGTAACGATGCAGGGGGTGAGAAGCTGTGCACAACTGCCTTTCATAACAGGAATTCTCTCGTTAGTCTTTCTCTGTCCACTAGACAGTAAACCACGTGCAAGCAGAAATCATGCTTTTCTTACATCACTTTTTGCATTCTCAGTGCTTAGCACTGTTAACTGTCTAGTGAGCACTCAGTAAATATGTGTTGAGTGAATAGGATGCTCTTTTATAGATTAAGAATATTAACCATTTTACTACCTTATATGATAAATACTTTTCTCCAGTTATCTATTTAAGACTCAACATTTTACAAGTGACTGCTATCTCTCTGATTGTATGTTGAGGCTTGTAGTATTGGAGATAATTCATAGCTAACTATAGACTAGAGGGACAACCACGTTATCAGAGAATGTTATACTGGTAGTTAGGAAACCTGGCTTGAGTCTCAACTCTTCTAATTACCAGCAGATGTGCGATCTTAGGCATATCTGTAGACCTCTAGGATCCTCAATTTTTTCATCTGTGAAATGAAGGCATTAGATGAATCAGACAGGCTGTGATTCCATTATTTTTGAAAGCACAAGGCTAGAGGTATATATATCATTAACACAAAGGGAATAGTTGGAGTTTGGGGAGAAAGTAGAGATGAACAGGAGTAAAGGGCTAAGAGTGGAGCCTTGGGATGGAAGTTAGACTGCCAGAAGTCATGAAGAGCAGATGAGGAGGAAATGGAGCAGGTGTGTGTGTGTGTGTGCCTGTTTGTGTGCCCATGTGTGCATGTGTCCCACAGAACCCTCTTTTCTGCCCCCTTCAAAGCAGACCTCACCCTCCCCATTTTAGCCAAACTTAAGTTCTTCTGAAATTTATTCTTCATTTTTCTTGATGCACCTTGTTGGCTCAGCAAATTTAACAAGCACAAGGAACAAATGATTTTGCTCTAAATTTATGGTCTTGTAATGTTTTTGTGGATGGAGAGTTGTAGACAAAGAAGATTGTGTCCAACTAAAATTTCCAAAAAAATTGTATAAGTCTGAGTTCTCCAGAGAAAGTGAATCGTATATCTGTATATATGTAAATAGATTTATTATAACAAATTGGCTTGTGTGGTTACAGAGACCGAAAAGCCCAAGGATCTGCAGTAAGCAAACTGGAAACCCAGGAGAGCCCAGGATATAGTTGTAATTTGAGGTTGAAGCCCTGAAAACCAGGAGAGCTGATGGCGTAAGTTTCAGTCTTAGCCCAAGCCAAAAGGCAGGAGATGACCAGCGTCTCAGCTAGAAGACAGCAGGCAGACAGTGAATTCTCCCTTATTCCACCTTTTAAAAAGTATTTATTTATTTTTTAGAGACAGGATCTCACTCTCTTGCCCAGGCTGGAGTGCAGTGGCACAACCATAGCTCACTGCAACCTTGAACTCGTGAGCTCAAACTCCTGGCCTCCTCCCTCAGCCTCCTGAGTAGCTGGGACCACAAGTGTGTACCACCATGCCCAGTTAATTTAAAAAAATTTTTTTTTGGTAGGGATGCTATCTTGCTATGTTGCCCAGGCTGGCCTTGAACCCCTGGCCTCAAGCAACCCTCCTGCCTCAGCCTCCCAAAGCACTGGGATTACAGACATGAGCCACTGTACCTGGCTTATTCTGACTTTTTGTTCTATTCAAACCGTCATAGGATTGGATGATGTGTACCCACACTGGGGAGGGCAAACTCCTTTACTCAAGCTACTGATTCAAATGTTAATCTTACAGAAACAACATCACAGACACACTCAGAATAATGTTTAACCAAATATCTTACCCCCTGCCTCAGTCTAGTCAACTTGATATGTAAAATTAACCATCATAAAATCCAATTGCTTTTGAAAAAAATTTGTGATTCTGGCCCTAGATTCAGGTCTTGTCTGGGTGGTATTATATAGTAGGGCAAACTCTTCCTTGCAATAGAAGTTCTGAGCTAGGAAAAGCCTCATCCAAACTTGACTTTGTGGACAACATCCAGGAGGACTGACAAATATGCTCAAGAGGCCCGTGTATAAAGGAGAAAAAGCAAATCTGGAACAAGATCCAGTGAAATTAAAAACTAACAGCAATGTGTGATTATGGGCTATCCAAAGGCTCAGAAGACAAATGAGCCCTTTACTTTTGGTAGGCACATTGCAAGTCTGCCATCCACTTGCACCTGCTCTAGCTTCAGACTTCACTGGAACGTATCTAAGTTTGATGCAACAGCCTCTATGCCTTTGGTCCGTCCTTCTTCCTAGCCTCATAATCCTACTCGCTGGACTAACCCAGTATATTCCACTTCACACTTGCCTCTCATGCCAGTTCCATTTTCTATTCATTTAACAGATTTGACTTGGTGGCCTCTATGTGCCAGGCACTGTGCTAGATACTGGGCCTGGGCAGGAAATGAGTCAGACACTCGTGTATCAGAACTTCAGTCCTTTCCTCTTACTATACCCTTGTCTGGGCCCTTTTATCACAGAATCAGACTGCAGACTCCTGCAACAGCCTTCCAGGAATCTGCCCCAACCTTCCCCCCCATTCTGTTTTCCTGTTTGTTTTTAATTAACACATAATAATTGTACATATTTATGGGATACAGTGTGTTGTTTTGATACATGTATACATTGTGTAATAATTAAACCAGCATATTTAGCAAACCCATCACCTCAAACATTTATCATTTACTTGTAGTAAGAACACTAAAAGTCCTCTTTTCTAGCTATTTTGAAATATACCATAATAATATTGTTAACCATAGTCACCCTACTGTGCAATAGAACATCATAACTTATTCCTTCTATCTAACTGTAACTTTGTACCTGTTCACCAAACTTTTCCTATGCCCTACTCCTCTGTATTTTCCCCAGCCTCTGGTAACCACTATTCTACCTACTTCTATGAGATCAATTTTTTTAGGTTGCACATATGAGTGAAATTATGCAGTATTTGTCTTTCTGTGCCTGGCTTATTTCGTTTTACAAAATAGTCTCCAGGTTGAACCATGTTGTCACAAATGACGGGATTTAATTTCTTTTTAAGGCTAAGTAGTATTCTCTAGTGTATATATACCACATTTTCTTTATCCACTCATCCATTGATAGTGATAGACACTTACGTGACAGACACTTAGGTTGATTCCATATCTTGGCTATTGTGAATAGTGCTACAATAAACATGAGAGTATGGATATTTTTTGACATACTAATTTCATTTCCTTTAGATATATATCTAGCAATGGAATGCTGAATCATATACTAGTTTCATTTTTAACTTTTTTGGGAGCCTCCAAACTGCTTTCCATAATGGCTGTACTAATTTATGTTCCCATCAACAGTATATAAAGAGTTCCTCCTTCTTTACATCCATGCCAGCATTTGTTATTTTTTTGTCTTTTTTATAATAGCCATTCTAATTCGGGTGAAGTGATATCTCATTGTCGTTTTGATTTGCATTTCCCTGATGATTAATGATGTTGAGCATTTCTTCATAAATGTGTTGGCTATTTGTATGTCTTCTTTGGAGAAATACCTACTCAGGTTTTTTGCCCACTTAAAAATTGTATTGGCCAGGCATGGTGGCTCACGCCTGTAATCCCAGCACTTTGGGAGGCCGAGGAGGGCAGAACACAAGGTCAGGAGATCGAGACCATCCTGGCTAACACGGTGAAACCCCATCTCTACTAAAAATACAAAAATTAGCTGGGCATGGTGGCGGGTGCCTGTAGTCCCAGCTACTCGGGCGGCTGAGGCAGGAGAATGGTGTGAACCCAGGAGGCGGAGCTTGCAGTGAGCAGAGATTGCGCCACTGCACTCCAGCCTGGGCGACAGAGTGAGACTCTATCTCAAAAATAAATATAAATAAATAAATAAATTGTATTATTTGTGTTTTTTTTTTCTGAGTCATTTGAGTTCCTTACATGTTCTAAATAGTATCTCCTTGTCAAATGAATAGTTTGCAAATATTTTCTCCCATTCTGTGGATTATTCTTTCACTTTGTTGACTATTTCCTTTGCTGTGCACAAGTTTTTTAATTTGATGTGATCCCATTTGTCTATTTTTGCTTTTGTTGCCTGTGCTTTTGAGGTCTGATCCAAAAAAATTCTTGCTCAGACTGATGTCATGAAACATTTCCCCTATGTTTTCTTTAGTAGTTTTATTGTTTCAGATCTTACATTTAAGTCTTTAATCCACTTGATTTGATATTTGTATATGGTGAGAGAAGGGTTTAGTTTCATTCTTCTGCATGTGGATATCCAGTTTCCCAGGACCATTTATTTAAAAATGCTGTTTTTTTTTCCCCTCTGATATCTCTGTGTGTCTTCTTGGCATCTTTGTCAAAAATCAGTTGGCTCTTTGTCAAAAATCAGTTGGCTATAAATGTGTATGTAAGTGCGTGAATTTATTTCTGTGTTCCCTATTTTGTTTCATTGGCCTATGTGTCTATTTTTAATGCCAGTACCAGGCTGTTTTGATTATTATAGCTTTGCAGTATATTTTGAAATCAGGTCATGTGATGCCACCAGCTTTGTTCTTTTTGCTTAAAATTGCTTTGGGTGTTCAAAGTCTTTTGTGGTGCCATACAAATATTTTTATTATTGTTTTTTTCTATTTCTGTGAAGAGTATCATTGATATTTTGATAGGGATTGCATTGAATCTATAGATTGCTTTGTATAGTATGGACATTTTAACAATGTTAGCTTTTCAAATCCATGAACATGTGATATCTTTCCATTTATTTGTGTCTTCTTCAGTTTCTTTTACTAATGTTTTTCAGTTTTCATTGTATAAAACTTTCACTTCCTTAATTAAGATTATTCCTAGGCTTGCTTTCTCTTTCTTTCTTTCTTTCTTTCTTTCTTTCTTTCTTTCTTTCTTTCTTTCCTTCCTTCCTTCCTTCCTTCCTTCCTCTCTTTCTTCTTTCTTTCTTTCTTTCTCTCTCTCTCTCTCCCTCCCTCCCTCCCTCCCTCTCTCTCTCTCTCTCTCTCTCTCTCCCTCCCTCCCTCCCTCTCTCTCTCTCTCTCTCCCTCTCTCTCTCTCTCTCTCCCTCCCTCCCTTCCTTCCTTACTTCCTTCTCTTGCTTTCTTCTCTGACAGAGTCTCACTCTATCACCCAGGCTGGAGTACAGTGGCACAATCTCAGGTCACTGCAACCTCCACCTTTTGATTTCAAGTGATTCTCCTTCTCAGCCTCCCGAGTAGTTGGGATTACAGGCACCCACCATGACACTCGGCTAATTTTTGTATTTTTAGTAGAGATGGGTTTTCGCCATGTTGACCAGGCTGGTCTTGAACTCCTGACCTCAGATGATCTGCCACCTTGGCCTCCCAAAGTGTTGGGATTACAGGCCTGAGCCCCTTTCTTCCTTCCTTCCTTCCTTCCTTCCTTCCTCCCTCCCTCCCCTCCCCTCCCTTCCCTTCCCTTCCCTTTCCTTCCTTCCTTCCTTCCTTCCTTCCTTCCTTCCTTCCTTCCTTCCTTCCTCCCTTCCTTCCTTCCTTCCCTCCCGCCTGCCTTTCTCTTCTTCTCTTTGGTAGCTTTTGTAAGTGGGATTGCTTCTCGATTTCTTTTTCTGAAAGTTCACTATTGGTGTATTGAAATGCTACTAATTTTTGTATGTTTATTTTATATCATGCAACTTTACTGAATTTGTTTATTAGTTTCAACAGTTTTTTGTGAAGTTTTTAGGGTTTTCTATGTATAAAATTATGTTGTCCACAAACAGGAATAATTTGTCTTCCTCCTTTCCAATTTGGTTGCCCTTTATTTTTTTCTCTTGCCTAACTGATCTGTAGAACTTTCAGTGCTATGTTGAATGAAATTGTTGAAAGTGAGCATTCTTGTCTTTTTTTAGATCTCATAAGAAAAGCTTTCAACTTTTCCCTGTTAAGTATGATGTTAGCTGTGAGTTTGTCATATATGGCCTTTGCTGTGTTGAGGCACATTCCTTCTATACCTAGATTGTAGAGAGTTTTTATCATGAAATGATATCAAATTTTATCAAATGCTTTTTTGTGTGTTTATTGAAATGATCGTATGGTTTATGTCTTTGATTCTGTTAGTGTGGTGTGTCATGCTTATTGATTTACATATGTTGAACCATCTTTGCATCCCTGGGATGAGTCTTCCTCGATCATGGGGAATGATCTTTTTTTTTTTTTATTATACTTTAAGTTTTAGGGTACATGTGCACAACGTGCAGGTTTAGTTACGTATGTATACAGGTGAATGATCTTTTAAATGTGATGTTGAATTGGTTTGCCAGCGTTTTGTTGAAAATTTTAACATCTATGTTGATCAGAGGTATTGGCCTGTAGTTTTCTTTTTTGTTGTTGTTTCGCTCTGGTTTTCATACCAGGGTAATGCTGGCCTCATAGAATGAGTTTGGAAGAATTCGCTCTTTAATTTTTTGGAATAGTTTGGGAATAATTGGTATTAGTTCTTTAAATGTTTGGTAGAATTCAGCAGTAAAACCATCAGGTCCTGGACTTTTCTTTGATGAAAAACTTTTTATTATTCAATCTTGTTACTTGTTATTGGTCTGTTCAGGCTTCTTCCCATTCTTTGCCATTTTACTTAGTTTTTACCATTTTTTACAATGAACCCCTTTGGCAGTCTGGTTAAGCTGATAGATGTTCTCAAAACATGTTATTAAATATATAAAATGAAACAGAATTACACAGGAATTCTTTATATTAAATTCATTTCAAAATGTTTTAAAAATTGTATTAGTCTGTTCTCACTCTGTTAATAAAGACATACCCAAGACTGGGTAATTTATTTAAAAACAGAAGTTTAATGGACTCATAGTTCCACATGGTGGGGGAGGCCTCACAATCATGACTGAAGGTGAATGAGGAGCAAAATCATATCTGACATGGCAGCAGGCAAGAGAGCATGTGCAGGGGAATGCTCCTTTATAAAACCATTAGATCTCATGAGATTTGTTCACTATCATGAGAACAGCATGGGAAAAATCCGCCCCCATGATTCAGTTACTTCCCACTGGGTCCCTCCCATGACACATGGGGATTATGGGAGCTATAATTCAAGATGAGATTTGGGTGGAGACACAGCCAAACCATATCAAAAATCAAATTTGTGGTTTAACATATATATATACATATATATATGTGTGTGTGTATATATATATATATATATATATATATATATATATATATATATATGCTTCTTTATTAAATCATTACATAATGAGATCCAGAAGCAGGTCTAACTTCCACTCTCATTTTAAAGTGTGATGAACATAAAGAATATTTAAAGACATCCATCACAACTATAATGTGACATGAAAACATGTGTGATTTCTATTGGAGACAATGGCATAGGTCTTGCTAATATTGTGCTTCATTACCTGTGTTCATAATTGAAGGAAACATTACATTTTCTATAAACAAAGATGTATTTTTTCCACATGTAAGGACACAACCCCCTGAATTCTCTATATGGCCCCTAGACTAAGAACCCTGCAGGACTGATCTCCTTATAGAAAAGGTCAAGTTATGTGGTTCCCTGCTCAAACTCTTTTTATGACTCGTTCATTCAACAGTGATCTCTTACTGCCTACTGGAATAAATTCAAAGGCAGCCTGGCATTCAGAGATCTGCTTCTACCAATTAATTTTTTCCTGCCTTAAAAAATTTACATACATGATATTGTATATTCCACTTTTTTGGCCACGTGTCTTTTTCACTCAAAATGTTTTTTCCTGAGATTTATCCATGATAATATTTATAGATTTAGTTTAAAATAGGCTGTATAGTATTCTATTATATAAATATACTACAGTTCACTAATGGTTTTCCCTATTTGTGGATATTTTGATTGTTCTCATTTTTGCATTGTTTGCAAATGATGTTGTATTGGTTTTATTATTTTTATTTTTAAATGAATAAAGTTTTTAACTCTAATGCATTAAATATTGAGAACTAAACTTCATGGAAATAAATGCTTTTGGGGTTCCTGAGAACTTCTGTATTAAGTCAATTTCTACCCAAGCACAGATGGGCGCACACTAAACCCTTTTTAAGAATTGGACTCTGTCTTTTCCTGGGACCAAGCAGGCATGGGCAGGTCCAGCCAAAGCCCTTCAGTGGGAATGAGTTTATAAACAAGTGCCTCACATGTTCCCTGGGCACCAATATTAATAGTAATCACTTTCCAGTTTTTATCTCCTGATTTGGGGAAATGAAATTCTATACTCCTAGCTGGAATACACCTAATTTCCTTCTCCACTTGACTGGCTTCAATTTATCTCTTTTCCACCTGTTTGGATTCTGTATTATTTTCATAGTTTTTTTGTCTGGCTCTCAGCCACAATTCTACTGTCATTTTATTAACAGTCCTCTCTATGTTGTGCCTTCGTTTGCAATTATGGCTAATGTTATTCTTATTTGTATTATTTTCTTCTTTCTATTTTAAAAAATATTTTTGTTGTCCTTTTTCTAGCTTCTTGAGCAAAACACTTGGCTTATTATTTTTTAAATTTCTGTATTTCATATACGCATCTAAGACTATGCTGTTTATTCCAAGTGCTGCTTTAGCTATGCTCAACAAATTTTTATATTTAATACTTTTGTTATTATTCCGTTCTAAATATTTGATGATTTCTATTGTGATTTCTTCTTGAATTATTTTTTTATTTTTAATTTTTTCTTAGACAGCATTTCGCTCTGTTGCCCAGGCTGAAGTGCAATGCTGCAATCGCTGCTCACTGCAACCTCTGCCTCCCAGGTTCAAGCGATTCTCCTGCCTCAGCCTGTTGAATAGCTGGGATTACAGGTGCCCACCACCACACCCAGCTAGTTTTTTGTATTTTTAGTAGAGATGGGATTTCACCATGTTGGCCAGGCTGATCTCAAGCTCCTGACCTCAGGTGATCTGCCTACCTTGGCCTCTCAAAGTGCTGAGATTACAGGTGTGAGCCACAGTGCCTGGCCTTCTTGAATTATTTCAAAGTATTTTTTTGGTTTCCAAAAGTAGAAGATTCAGGAACTAAATTTTTATAACTGATTGGGAGTTTTATTGTGCCATAGTTAGAAAATTTGGGGTTTGAGGTGTTGACATTTGATAGTTCTTAAGACATTCTTTGTGATCCTGTTCTCGGTCAATTTTGTAGTTATTTTATTGAGCTTGAAAAGACTTTTTAACATTTAATTTAAAAACGTGTTTGTATGCAGAAAACTTCCCTGTTTTTTGGTGTACAGTCCTGTGAGTTTTTGCAGATGCAGAGAGTCATGTAACCACCACCCCACCACCACAATCAAGATACAGAACCTTTTCTTTCTTTCTCTTCCCCTTCCCCTTCCCTTCCTTTCTTTCTTGGGGTCTCACACCTGTGACGCAGGCTGGAGTGTAGTGGTACAATCTTGGCTCACTGCAGCCTTGACTTCCAGGACTCAGGTGATTCTCCCACCTCAGCCTCCAGAGTGGCTGGGACTACTACAGGTGCATGCTACCACATCTGGCTAATTTTTTGTTTTGTTTTATATTTTTAGTAGAAACAGGGTTTTGCCATGTTGCCTGGGCTGGCAGAACATTTTCAATGCCCCCCCAAAACAGATTCCCTTGGACTGCTGTTTTGTAGTCAACCACTTCCCTACCTTCCTGGAAACCAATGATCTGTTTTCTGTTCCTTTAATTTTTGCCTCCTTCAGATATTATATAAATGGAATCATATAATATGTGACCCTTTGAGTCTGGCTTCTTTCACTCGGCATAATGCATTTGAGATTCATTCATGTTGCATGTATCAACAATTCATTTACTTTTTTTGTTTATCCATTCACCAGCTGAAGGACATTTAGATGGTTTTCAGTTACACTGTATGTTCTTAATTATTGGGAGTAGAATTCTAAATATGTTCACTATATGAAACTTACTGGGTTGTTTGTACTTTCTATAGACAGAAAATTCTTGTCATTTGAATCCATCACTTTCTGGGAGATTTTTGTTATAACCTTCTACTATGGTAGTATATTTGTGGGTGTTTCCTTATAACTCCTGTGATGTTTCCTTTAAATATCAAAGCTTATTTTGTTAGATTTGTATAGGTCCAGTATTGTTATATCTTCTTGGTGAACTACTCCTTTTATCATTAGCAATGCTCCTTTTCACTCCTAATAATGCTTTGATCTTAAAGTCCTTTCTGTCAGACATAAATACTGCTATGTCCTTTGTGCACATTCTCCACCCTTCTCTCCCTGCTCTGGCCCACAAGTTGCATCACCTAAGCTCTCTTGCCAACTGCCTCGTGGTTGGATTGCCAATGGGAGGCAACTTGGCTAGACTGAACTACAATCCCCAGAATCTCCTTTACAGAATGTTTCCAGTTATGGTGGGCTACAAGGAATATTCTCCTCCAAGAGCTGGAGGATGGAAGAGAGATACTAGCCATTTTCCAGTATATACACTTCTCAGCTATTCAAGTAAACTAATTTAGGTACTGCTGTGAAGACATCATTTGGAAGGCCTAGCCATTCCCTGTGTGGGAGACTCTGAACAGTTATGAGTCTGCAATGGCTCTCTCCCTTCTCCCTGAATCTTGATTTCCTGATTGCCATCTGTGGACAATAAGCTTCAGCACCTGTCCATGAAGTTCCAGCCTGTTTGTGATCTTCCCAGCCTTCACGGTTGTGTAAACCAATTATTTCTGACAAATTTCTCTCTCTCTCTCTCTCTCTCTCTCTCTCTCTCTCATCTCCTACTGGTTCTCCTTATCTGGTTCGACCCCAACTGGTACATTTTATTTTATTCTCACTCTTGACTAAGAATCTAGTTGGTATAGGTTTCAACACTGGCAGTTATTTCCCTTCAGCACTTTGAAGATATTAAATTGTCTTTTGGCATTTATTTGTTGCTGATAATAAGTGCTGTCAGCCGAATTTCAGTTCCATTTGAGATAATCTGTTTTCTTTTTGGATGTCTTTAAGGTTTTCTTATTGTTTTTGATCTCTCATTTCACTATAATGGATTAATAATTTGTTTTATTCCCACTTTGGATGCTGAATGATCTTTTTATCTGAAAATTTATACCTTAATTTTGAAAACTTCTCAGATTTTATCTCCAAAAATATTGCCTCTGTCACATAGGTGTGTCTTTTTGGTAAAATGATTTTTTGTTTTTGGATATATCCCCAGTAATGGGATTGCTGGGTCAAATGGCAGTTCTATTTTTAGTTCTTCGAGAAATCTGCAAACAACTTTCCACCGACAGTGTAAATGCATTCCTTTTTCTCCACAGTCTTTCCAGCATCTGTTGTTATTTGACTTTTGAATAATAGCTATCCTGACTGGTGTGAGATGGCATCTCGTTGTAGTTTACATTTGCATTTATCTAATGATTAGTGATGATCAGCGTTTTCTCATATGTTTTTTGGCCATTTGTGTGTCTTTTTTTGAGAAGTATCTGCTCATGTCTTTTGTCCAGTTTAAGATGGGGTTACTTGCTTTCTGTTTGTTCAATTGTTTAAGTTCCTTACAGATTCTGGATATTAGACCTTTGTTTGATGCATAGTTTGTGAATATTTTCTCCCATTCTATAAGTTGTCCATTTACTCTGTTGATAGTTTCTTTTGCTGTGCAGAAACTCTTTAGTTAATTAGATCCCACTTGTCAATTTTTGTTTTTGTTGCAATTGCTTTTGAGGACTTAGTCATAAATTATTTCCCAAGGCCCATTTCCAGAATGGTGTTTCCTAGGTTTCCTTTTAGGATTCTTGCAGTTTGAGGTCTTACATTTAAATCTTTAATCTATTTTGAGTTAATTTTTTATATAGTGAGAGGTAGGGGTCCAGTTTATTCTTTTGCATATGGCTAGAGAGCTATCCTAGCACCATTTGTTGAATAGGGAGCCCTTTCTCCATTGCTTATTTTTGTCAACTTTGTCAAAGATCAGATGGCTGTAGGTGTGTGGCTTTATTTCTGAATTCTCTATTCTGTTCCATTGGTCTATGTGTCTGTTTTTGTACCAGTGCCATGCTGTTTTGGTTACTGTAGTTTTATAGTATAGCTTGAAGTAGGGTAATGTGATGCCCCCAGCTTTGTTCTTTTTGCTTGGAATTGCTTTGGCTATTTGAGCTCTTTTTTGGTTCCGTATGAATTTTAGCACAGTTTTTTTTTCCAACTCTCCAAAATTCTCTTTGGTGAAAATTTTCATTTTTACCAAAAATGATGTTGGTAGCTTGATAGGAATAGCATTAGATTTGTAGATTGCTTTGAGCGGTACGGCCATTTTAATGATATTGATTCTTCCAATGCATAAGCATGGAATGTTTTTCCATTTGTTGGTGTCGTCCGTGATTTCTTTCAGCAGTGTTTTGTAGTTCTCCTTGTAGAGATCTTTCACCTCCTTGGTTAGGTGTATTCCTAGGTATTTTATGTTTTTCAGGCTATTGTAAATGGGATTGCATTCTTGATCTGGCTCTCAGCTTGAATATTATTGGTGTATAGAAATGCTACTGATTTTTGTACATTGGCTTTGTAGTCTGGAAGTTTGCTAAAATTATCAGTTCTAATAGCTTTCTGGTGGAGTAGTTAGAGTTTCTTAAGTATGGAATCATGTCATCAGTGAAGAGAAATAATTTGACTTCCTCTTTTCCTATTTGGATGCCTTTTATTTCTTTCTCTTGCCTGATTGCCCAGGCTAGACTTCCAGAATTATGTTGAATAGGATTAATGAATGTGGGCATCCTTGTCTTGCTCCAGTTCTCAAGAGAAATGCTCCCAGTTTTTGCCTGTTCAGTATGATGTTGGCTGTGTGTTTGCCGTAGATGGCTCTTATTATTTTGAGGTATGTTCATTCAATGCCTAGTTTTTATCATGAAGGGATACTTGATTTTATCAAAAGCTTTTTCTGTGTCTATTGAGATGATCATATGGTGATATGGTTTGGCTCTGTGTCCCCACTCAAATCATCTCGAATTTTAATCCCTACATGCACGAGGAGGGGCCTGGTGGGAGGTGATTGGATTATGGGGGCCGGTTTCCCTCATGCTGTTCTCATGATAGTGAGTGAGTTCTCACAAGATATGATGGTGTTAAAGTGTGGCACTTCTTCTCTTGCTTACTCTGTGTCTGCCGCTTCACCTTGGAAAGATGTGCCTTGCTTCCCCTTAGCCTTCTGCCATGATTGTAAGTTTCCTGAGGTCTCCCTAGCCATGCAGAACTGAGTCAATTAAACCTTTTTTCTTTATAAATTACCCAGTCTCAGGTAGTTCTGTACAGCAGTGTGAAACGGAACTAACATATATGCCTTTTGTTTTTAATTCTGTTTATGTCACATCTGTTGATTTGCATGTGTGGAGCCAAACTTGTATCCTAGGAGTGAAGCTTACTTGTTCATAGTGAATTAACTAACTTTTTGATATGCTGTTGAATTTGGTTTGCTAGTGTTTTGTTGTGGATTTTTGTGTCTATGTTCATCAGGGATATTGATCTGTAGTTTTTTTGTTTTTGTTTTTGTGTCTTTGCCCAGTTTTGATGTCAGGATGATGCTGGCTTCATAGTATGGGTTAGGGAGGAGTTCCTCCTTCTCAATTTTTTGAAATAATTTCAGTTGTATTGGTACCAGCTCTTCTTTGTATGTCTGTTAGAATTTGGCTGTGAATCCATTCGGTCTGGGGGTATTTTGTTTGATAGGTTTGTTTTAAATTACTGATTTGGTTTCAGAACTCAATATTGGTCTTTTCAGTGTTTCAGTTTCTTCCTGATTCAATCTTGGGAGATTGTATGTTTCCAGGAATTCATCCATGTCCTCTAGACTTCCTAGTTTCTTTGTGTAGAGATGTTCATAATAGTTTGTGAGGATCTTGTATGTTTCTGGGGAATCAATTGTAATGTTACCTTTGCTGTTTCTGATTGTGCTTATTTGAGCCTTTCCTTTTTTATGTAGCTAGTGTCTATCAATCTTGTTTATCCTTACAAAAAAACAACTCTTGGTTTTGTTGATTCTTAGTATAATTTTTTGGGTCTCAACTTTGTTCAGTTCAGCTCTGATTTTTGTTATTTCTTTTCTTCTCCTAGCTTTCGGGTTAATTTGTTCTTATTTTTCTAGTTCCTCTAGGTGTGATATTAGATTGTTAATTTGGGATCTTTCTAACTTTTTGAGGTAGGCATTTAGTGCTACAGGCTTTCCTCTTAACACTGCTTTTCCTGCGTCCCAGAGATTTTGATATGTTGTGTCTCTGTTTTCATTTATTTCAAGGATTTTTTAAAATTTCTGCCTTGATTTTGTTTACCCAAAAGTCATTTGGGAGCAGATTGTTTAATTTCCATGTAATTATGTGGTTTTGAGAAATCTTCTTGGTATTGATTTCTGTTTTTATTTCACTGTGGTCCAGTATGGTTGGTATGATTTTGATTTTTTTGAATTTATTAAAACTTGCTTTATGTCCAAGTGTGTGGTCAATCTTACGGTATGCTCCATGTGCAGATGAAAAGAATGTATATTCTGTGGTTGATGGGTGGGGTATTCTGTAGATATCCATTAGGTCCAATAAGTCAAGTGTTGAAATTAAGTCCAGAATTTCTTTGTTAGTTTTCTCCCTTGATGATCTGTCTAATGCTGTCAGTGAAGTGCTGAAGTCACTATTATTATGAAGTCACTATTATTATGTGCCTAAGTCTTTTCATAGATCTAGAAACACTTGTTTCATGAATCTAGCTACTCTAATGTGGGTGCATATATATTTAGTTAAGTCTTCTTGTTGAATTGAACCTTTTACCGTTATGTAATGCCCTTTTGTCCTTTTTTTTTTTTTTTTTACTGTTGTTGGTTTAAAGTCTGCTTTATCTGACATAAGAATAGCAACCCCCACTCTTTTTTGTTTTCTGTTTACATGGTAGATTTTTCTCCAACCTTTTACTTTGAGCCTATGGGTGTCATTATGTGTGAGATGAGTCTCTTGAAGATAGCAGATGGATAGGTCTTGTTTGTTTTTATCCAACTTGCCATTGTGTGCCTTTCAAGTAGGAGCAATTATGCCAGTTACATATTTCAAGGTTAATATCAATATATGGGTTTGATCCTATTGTGAAGTTGTTAGCTGGTTACTTTGTAGTTTTTATTGTGTGGTTGCTTTCTAGGGTCTGCAGGCTATATACTTATGTGTGTTCTCATGGTAGCAGGTGTTATTCTTTCGTTTCCACGTTTAGAACTCCCTTAAGGATCTCTTGGGCTGGTATAGTGGTAACAATCACTTGCCTTACCTTACCTTAGCATTTATTTGTCTGGAAAATTTTTTATTTCTCATCTGCTTATAAAGTTCAGTTTGGCAGGATATGAAATTCTTGGTTGGTGCCCGTTATTGAACACTGTATGAATGGGATTGCACAGTATGTGCTCTTGGTCTAGTGTAGATTCTTAGTCTAAGTTTACTGAGCATGTGCATGTTAGTGCAGGCTTGCATGCTGCTGAGTCTTGCTTGCACTTTTTGGTGACACATTGAATACAAAACCAGAAATAAACAGCCTGCACTGTGAATAGATGTGCTGAGTCATGAATGTTCTACAATCTCTAATTGCAAGGTTTCGGGTAAGGCAACATCTTGAGCCAGTTGGCTACATTTACATTTGTTTCACACACAAAAATTGGAAAGAAATGCCTTGGTAAACCTTGTTTGTTTAATAACTTCCATTCTTTAATCACATTAGATGCTCATTTGAAGGCAAAATAAATTCCATTAGGATAGCACTGGTTAGGTAGCTGCTTTATCCCATTTTTTCCAGCATGCAGGCTGTAGTGGGTATTGTAATCTCAAGCTTTTCAAGGAAGAAGGTTATCTCCTATTTCTCCTGTCTCTTTATGTACTCTTCTGCCTAGAAACACACCCAAAGGAAAATGAGAACTGCTCACTACTGGTCTCAAACTGGACAGAAGTTTTGCTTTTCCTCTTTCTTTTCTTTCCTCTTTCATTATTGTGACCATAAGTGTTG
Organism: Homo sapiens; assembly: GCF_000001405.40. Taxonomy (NCBI): domain Eukaryota; kingdom Metazoa; phylum Chordata; class Mammalia; order Primates; family Hominidae; genus Homo; species Homo sapiens. Next base: position 40,366,559 of record NC_000003.12, on the reverse strand, counting down.
GTACAGGCAGAAAATATAAATGCTGCATGTTCCACAGGCTGTTTATCCTTCACATCTGAAAGGCAGTGTGATGAGGTGGCACAAGTTCAGGCATAGTCATTCACTAGTTGTGTGACTTGGGCAGGTGACTTACCCTTTCTGTGCCTCTATTTCCTCAGCTGTGGAATGAGGGTAGGAACAGTACCTACGTCATAGCATTGTTGTGAGGAGTAAATGAGCAACACATTTACATACTCATATAAAGCACCTAAAACAATGCCTGCATGTAATAACCTTTCAGTAAATATAATGCAAACTATTATAATTGTAGGAACAATGCTTAGGGCCTATGAGTTCTTCCTGCAAACATCTGAGACTTGAAAACATTTATTGACTTTAAAGTGTCAAAGGAAAACTTCAGAATGAAATAAACAAGTATTAAAATAAGCTTTATTGTGGAGATATTTACTACCTATGAATATTCCTGGGCTTTCCCACATTTTCCCGTCTCTTTGCCGTTAGGCAGGGCCTGTGGCTGGTTCTGGCCATTGGGTGTGACTGGAAGTGGCCTTTGTCACTTTTAGCATGAAACATTTAAAAGTCAATGCATGACTCTCCATCTTACTCCTTCCCAGTTGTGGAGACTGAAGAGGTCGTATGTACTCATTGGTGCAGCTACAAGACAGTGATGCCTTCTGAAGTCTGGGTTCCCAGTGACTACGTCTATGGAGCAGAGCCCTTCTAAACTATAATGAACATGTCGTGAGCCAGAAATAAACTTGTGTTATGTTAAGCTACTGGGATTTGGGGGACTGTTTGTTCCCTCAGTACAGTCTAGACTAACCTGACGTATTAACATAAGTGTCTACCTAACACAACATGCCAACCATTTAATTATACTCAACTCAATTCAACCTGACTCTTCCTTAGCTGGATATCAATTATATAGAATAAAGGCTTTACAAGGGTAAGGGTCTTAGTATTGTTCACTAATGTATGCCAAGTTCTTAGAACAGTGCCTGGGACAATATTATTTGTGATATGAGTGCATTTTAAAAGTTTTAATAATCTCAGCACTTTGGGAGGCCGAGGCGGGTGGATCACAAGGTCAGGAGATCGAGACCATCCTGGCTAACGCAGTGAAACCCTGTCTCTACTAAAAATACAAAAAAATTAGCCAGGCATGGTGGCGGGCTCCTGTAGTCCCAGCTACTGGGGAGGCTGAGGCAGGAGAATGGCGTGAACCCAGGAGGCAGAGCTTGCAGTGAGCCGAGATTGTGCGACTGCACTCCAGCCTGGGTGACAGAGCGAGACTCTGTCTCAAAAAAAAAAAAAAAAAGTTTTAATAAGACTCTGAGTGGGGCTTTCAAAAACCAGAATGTTGAAGATCTACAAAGGTCTTAAAATAGCTCAGATGGGTTTAGATACAGTCAGGACTGCTAGCTATGTTTCATGTTGATAAGAGAGAACTCCAATTTTTTAGGTCCATCCTATAGCCCAGCTGATGAAAAGAAGATAAAATTCAGAGATGGATGAAACACATTTCATCCTCAAGGCCTTTCTTGTGTTCTTTCATTTTTAAATTCCTCTGCTATTACTCTTTACGGAGAAGAGAACAGAGCAAAATGTATTCCTTTGAATAGTGTAATTTAAAAATTACTCCAGAGCAAAGTCAAAAGATGTGATATGTAGGCCGCTAGCCTACACTTCTAACTTAAGTTTTTAGTTTTAATTGTGAAGTATAATGTTGTTTTTAAATATAGAAATTTCAAGCTCTAGAACCATCACACTAAGATGACAATGGTAATTACACTGACAGCTGCAGATATTAGCATGAACTCAATACCAAAAATAAATCAGACCATGAATAATGGAAATAAAAGAAAACTGGCAGTTTTAAGAAATTCCAGAAATAGAGCAGAGAAAATGGAGGGAAGAAATTATCAAAGAAGTAGAATGAAAATTTCCAGAAGTGGAGAAAAGAAATGTCCAGATTAAAAGTGCTAAATAAAAACATGCCATTGTGAATTTTTAAAACAGTGATGATGGAGAGAAGAGAGAGAGAGAAAATTAGAGACAGGGAGAGGGCAGTGAGGAAGAGAAAGAGAAAGAGAAAAGGTAACTTACAAGTAATGGAAATGAAATTAGCATCAGACTTCTTAATAATAACACTGGCTATTAGAAGATAGTGAAATGTTGCTTTAAGATTCCCTCCTATGTCCAAGTAAAATGATGATAATAACAAATAATTCCAATATGCAGACAATAGTTACTATCTATTGACTATTTTATCAAGTGTCAGGAACTGGGCTAAATTCATCACATTGATCTCATTTAATGCTCAAAACAAATTTAAAAGGTAACATTATTATCCCCATTTTACATATGAAGAAATGAGATGCAAAAAGATTAAGTAACTTGTGAAAGGTCAGCTTTGGAGGCAAAATGTGACAGTTTCCAAAAATTATAAAAATACAATGATTAGGCAGTGAGACATTAGTGTCATAGCTAGCATACAGGATAAGAGAGTAAAAAGACAGAAGAAAAGAACAAAAAATAGATAATTTTACAAAGATTAATACATTTAAGGTATGGAAGAACTATTAATCAGAGATAGAAAGGAACTGTTGATTGTTAGTTCTGTTTCACTCCTGTGTTACGTGAGCCAGATTGTAAAGTCTTTGACATTAGGGAACATGTCTGATACTTGGCATCCACTGTGATGCTGGCATATAAACAAACACGTGTCTACTGATATGCAAGCTTGCTACATTAAAATGTGTTCTGTGCACATGTACCCTAGAACTTAAAGTATAATTAAAATAAAATAAAATAAATAATATGTGTTCTGGTAGTGAATGAAGCTTATTTATACCTTGAGCCCTCACTGACTTTTTAAAGAAAGAGAGGGAGTTCAAAGGAAGAATAGTCACGGTGTTTTGGCAGCTCCTGGAGAGGAGGAAATGTCCCTTGGGGAAACAGAATTTAATTTACCTTTTTCCAAGTAGAACGATATTGGTAACAGAGTTTCAGTGAAAAGTTAGTGTGAACAAAGGAGGCTCTTAAGAAAGGAGTGAGTAACCTTGAGTGCTGTAGTTGATAACCAGAGTTGGTAATCTCAGGATAGCCAGAATTCTTAAAAAAATTCTGGGGGAAATGTGATGTATGCATTTGAGCATTTGAAAAAATTGGACATGTAACAGATCTATCGAATCACTTGAAAAAATATCACAGAAAATTAAGCAAATATAAACAGAGGGAAAGTAGAAAACCATAAGAGGAAGGAAGAAAATTGTAGACCAACTTGATTCACCAGTATATGATACTTACGTTGGCTGTTTGTTAAACTAAAAAACTATGATACAACCAGATTGCAAAGATGACAAAGGGGAAGCAAGTTGTCATGATGTATAAAAGGATTAAACTTTCCAATGTCATAATTGGAAATTAACAGACACTCTCTAAAGTTGATAAATTTAGAAGAAGCAATAAGAGCATCCTATTTAGAAATGTGAGGCTAAGTATGAGAAGCAGATGAAAGAGTTGAAAGTAGATGCCTCTAAAGAAGTAGAGGGAATAATGATAGGTGGGGCAGAGAAATGTCTTTTAATACTATTGATTTTTAAATTATGTGCCTGTATTATTTCATTATTAATTTTTTCCAATGAAAGTCTTTTCACATGTTTCAAAATTTAAGTGGTACAATAAAAATTTGGCCTTATTCCCTGTTTCCTGCCACCTAGTTTCCCTCTGCAAAAGCAACCAACAGTTTTTTTTTCTTGTGTGTTGTTCCAAAGATAAAACATGATAATAATAAAAAGTCATCTTTGGCACAAGTGAATAATAAGAAACAAAGATGATTTGTTTATATTGTTTTTACTAAAATAAAGAATTTCAAAAGGGTTGAAGCAAAAAGGAAATCTGCTGAGACATAGTTCTCACAGTCTAATAAAATAAATTTAATCTAAATGCAATGAAGTAATTCTTGTGGAAAGTTAATAGAATGTCATAATTCCTTGGAACCATTAATCCATACCACTGTTGAATAAAAGTTTTTCTGGAAAAAATAATTATATCATTAAATTAAAAATCAAGAAATTTGCAATCCTTATAACTCCTCTTTCTTTCTTAGAAGTGTGGGTCCTAGATTTTAATTTTTCTCGTATTTGCTGCCATTTTTAGAATGGAAGTATGCTGACTACAAGCCAAATCATGTGCCCTTAAACTTGATAAAAGACCCTTCTTCTGGAGCTAATGATGACGTTGGCTGCTGGTTTAGCTAAAAGTCAATTACAGGTATTGATAAAGACAAGATGAAATTTTGGGCAGCTTAACTTGTTATTAATCACCATGTGTTTTATCCAGTACTTGGTAAACACTTTTCCTCAAGACTCTCAGGATTCATTCTCAAGCATGATACTTAGTGGATAGAGGAGACCAAGGTAAGGAGTGAGGAGAAGAATAACAGCATCTCTAATGCCCAGTTTCATTGCAGAGGGAGGTGTGAGAAGCCCAGTCCTTATAACTCCATGATGGTCATGTCATTTGCCATGTTCGTGACAAAGCAGGTTCCATATAGTCTGTAAAAGTCTGCCATAGGTGACTACCATGTGTCAGTGCTGGGCTATGCTCAGGAAGTATAAAGAGGAGGAGTAAGGCAGACAGGGAAGATGCCCTTTATTTTTTGTGATACCAACTAACTGGAGAACTTGATGGAATCATACATTCTGGAGCTGGAAGCTTTCCTAGAAGTGATCTTTCCTACCGGGGCCCAGTGAAATTAAGCAACTGGCCCACAGACTTTCACCAGTATTTATAGAACTGAGATAAAAATCACCTTTCAACCTGCTTGTGGTCCATGCAATAGATTATTAAAGGTGTAAAAGAACTGTAGACAATGATGTTCAACAACTCTTTTTATAGTTAAAACAACAACAACAACAAAGACTCTTCACAGTAAGGCTCTGGAAATGTGATCCAATGGGCTCCTTGACTTTTTCCAACTGAACAACTGGAAGAGAGAAGGAAACCAAGAGGGTCGGGGGTGGGGCAGGGGTTTCTCTGGGGGCATTTTCCTTCTTTTCGGCAATTTCCTTCTCTTGTCTGCCAAAGAGAAGGAAATTGCCCCCATAGGAACCTCCCCCCGCCGACGCTCCTCGTCAACGGCACGGCCTATGTGAGTGGACATGCTGGGAGGTGACCACAGCAGTAAAACCCTCAGGACGTGATGGATGGATAATGGAAATTGTGAGGGGAGAAATCAGGATGTGCAATAACCAGAAATAAAGTCAAGTCCCCAGTGACATCTATAGACAGGTGGGATAAAGAAGGGAACATGTGTGGAATGAAGGGACAGGAGAACTGCAGCTTGCCATGCACTGAGGAGCGACTCCACAGGAACTGCTGTGCTCACAGGTTTCTGAGAGAACAAAAAGCAGAGTCCTCAGGTGAAAAGTATATAGTTTGATATGCTCAGGACAAAGACTGGCAGCCTTTTTCTATCCTGACAAGAGCTTCTGGTCCAGAGGGAATAAAGCAATCAGGCATCTTTAGAAAGTCAGTGGTAACTAAATTACACTTTTTGAAACAGAAAATAAAATACATCTCACACAATTTTTAGAAGAATTAGGAACCTGAGATACTAAAACATGCAATTAATAGAATATATTCATTAGCTCAGTACTCATGCTAATTCAGTTGCAAGGATCAAGGTAGGGGTGAGGAAATGATAGAGGAAGAAATCTGAAGGGGAGAGAATGGGAGCTCAGGCAGAAGTAAACAGAGAAGGAAAAAGGTGGTGGGCAGAGACAAAAAGAGAAAGAAAAGCAAAGACAGAAAAAAAAAGACATGCTGACATGCTTGAGAGAGACAAGTGAAATTTCAAAGGAATAACATGACGATTTTTAATTTTTATTTATTTATTTTGGAGACGGAATCTCTTCTGTCACCCAAGCTGGAGTGCAGTGGCACAATCTTGGCTCACTGCAACCCCAGCCTCCCGGATTCAAGCGATTCTCCTGCCTCAGCCTCCCGAGTAGCTGGGATTACAGCACGCGCCACCAAGCCTGACTAATTTTTGTATTTTTAGTAGACAGGGTTTTGTCATGTTGGCCACGCTGGTCTTGAACTCTTGACCTCAGATGGTCCGCCTGCCTTGGCCCTTCAAGGTGCTGGGATTACAGGCATGAGCCACCGCGCCCAGCCTGGAATAACATGATGATCTTTATGTCTGCCATTAACCCTCCCTCTTCCATCCCCAACATCTGCAGAGTCCAAGGTTCCTGGTTCTCTCATTCAGACGAAGTAAGCCCTCCAGTTCAGCATCCACCCCCACCCTACAAGAGATCATTACAATCTCTATTTCCTTTAGTTGGTTCCAACCTCCCGAGACTTCTACTGCAGTTCTTTTGAACCTCTTGTACCTACATATTATTGTAAAACTATGCATCTTTCACACATTTTTAAGTTGTTTACTTTTTCATCTTGAGATTAAATACTTGCAAAAGATATAATTTCAGTGTACACATACTATATATGAGCCTTAAATATGTTTTGTCAAAACATTATGGCTGCAGGTTTCGCTTATCTAATTTATGAAAATACCTGCCATACAACCTAATTGGCAATGCCAGTCCTCTTGGTCCAAACTATCCACCAAATCAGGCTTACTTATTCTCAGAAGAAGTCTGGCTGCATTTTAAAAATAAAATGAGTATGCTACATCTGCTCCTTGACAACGACATCACTGTACAGAAAAGGTAGAGCCACAGTCTCCCTCAGGAATGATGCATTTTCTACTTGTCAATTTTTTGGATGTCCCGGAGTTGTTGATGTCCCAAGACAATTCCCTCTGGAAACTTTCGGGTGTATGAAACATGAATCTTTTCTTGGTACAGGGGCAGAAGGAGAAATAGAAGATCACAAGCATCTTCTCAGACAGGTTTATTTAGGAAAGGGTACATAAGGACATTGAGGATCTGGAAATCCTGTCTCACAAAGCCCTCACAAAGCCCTTGGTATCACCCAGGAGCATGAGTGCTCCATGTTGAAGATGGCCACTCTACTTCCCCATTGAGCTGCACATTCTGTTCTTCTTTGTCCTCAATGCAGCTTCCATTCTTCTCAACTTCCCCAAACCCTGTGTATGTTTCCTGCCTCAATCACATCTGGGAATATTCTCCCTGCCTCCTTGCCTTTAAACTCTGCTTTCCCCTAATGTCTACAGCCCTCCCAAGAAGTGACTTTACCTTCTCACAATCCAGGGTGGGGAAGTGATTATTATGGTTTCACCCCACCCTTTTGTTAAAACCTCTGCTCTATTGCTAGTGGGAATACAATCTGGCATAATTTCAATGAAGGACATTTTGTTCATATTTACAAAACTTTCAAATGCATATACCTCTACCAAAAAATTCTACTCCCCTGGATTTATCCTTGTGAGGAGCTTAGGGCCAACTACAAGATTAGAGGGCATGTTCTCCACACAAGATGGTCCTCATTTCTGATACAAATTTGGAGGGTTCCTACCCTCAGGTTTGATAATTCACTAAAGGGCTCACAAAAGTCACTGAAAGTTGTTATACTAAATGGTGATGGCTTATTACAGGGGAAGGATAGAGTTTTTTCTTGGAAAAGATGGAATTTAAGATAAGACAAAGAAGAGAAGCATAGGACAGAAACCAGGAGGGCTCCAAATTCAAGCTTTTATTGTCCTCTCCTCATGGAGTCAGCATGTGTCACTGTCCCAGTGTCAATGTGTGACAATACACATGTGTGTTGCTAACCAGGGAAGCTTACCCAAGCCTCAGTGTTCAGAGTTTTTACTCAGGCTCCATGATATAGGTGTGACTTGTTAATTGATTGCCCACGTGATTGAACTCAGTCCCCAGATTGAATCATATGCATGACCCAAAGTCTCCACCCTAAGTCACATAGTCTTTCTGACATGGCCAACCTTGACACTAAGGCTGTTGGGTATGAATAATGCTACTTTAAGATCTGGTGTGGCTAGTCTCCACCTTAAACAAAGATCCTCCTACCTGGTATGACATAAATTACCTTTTAGAAGCCAAAGGCAGAGGTCAGAACTTCTTTCTGTGCAAGATTGAATTCTTTACTACACAATAATGCATATACATTCACATGTGCTCAAAACGATAAATATATAAAGCATATTAACTGCAGCATTATCATAGCAAAAGTTTTGAAACGACCTATCTCACAGCAGAGTAGTAGATGAACAAATTTACATTTATCCAAAGTGATGTTTTTTGGCCAGAAAAAAAGAATGAGGGATCTCATTATGTACTGATATAGAATAATATTTTGCCAATGAGAAGAACCAGTGTTTACTACCATTGTGTGAAAAAATATACAGATTTACAAATTTGCTTGCAAATGCATAAACTAGCTCCAGAAGGATAACTGAGAAACTAGTAATATTGCTTGTCTCTTGAGAGGGCAGCTGAATCACTGGACAATGGGCTAAAAAAGACTTTTCTTTGACACCCTTTTATGTCTTTTGGATTTTGAAGCATGCAACGTATTATCTGTTAGTAAACTATCTTTTAAAAAAAGCCCTGTTTCTTTGAGGTCCGTGCTATGACTAATTCCTCCTTCCCTGCTTGTTGGCTGCAGATTTTGGTAAGATACCCATCATCAAGATAATGCAGTTTCTTTTAATTGCTGTTTTGCTAGGAGATACTTTAAAAAATTAATACAGGAATGGGTGTTGAATTTTATCAAATGGTTTTTCAGCATTTAGCGAGATACTGTATGATTTCCACCCTTCAATCTCTTAATGCACTGAATTACAGTAATAGATATCTTATTGTTGAATCATCTTTCCCTTTTTGGAATAAATCCATTATATGTTTTTCTTTTAATCCACTGCTGAACTCAATTTGCTGGAGTTTTATTAGGATATTTTTTTCATCTATATTCCTCAGCGGAATTGACTAATCACTTTCTTCTAATTGGCTAATTTTGGTATCAGGTTTATGACAGGTTCACAAAGGAGTTGGGGAAATGTTAATCTTTTTCTATGCTGTAGAACAACTTATGTAACATGAAAATTCTTTGGTCTTATTTAATCATTTAACCCCAGGTGCCTCATTTAGGGGCACCTGGGGTTAAATCCCTGACTGCCTTTTCTTTTCTGCTTGTTTTCTTAAACCAATTTTGATCATTTATCTTGCCCTAAACAATTATCCATTCCCTGATTTTCAAATTTATTGATATAAAATTTCATATAATTGATTTATCCTTAAAAAAACCTCTTCCATATTTGCAATTGTTTCTCCTTTCCTTTTCCTAATGTTGTTGTAGTTGTGTGTGCACGTGCACACACGTGTGTGTGTGTGTGTGTGTTTTCTCTTGGTGAAACCTTCTAAAATGCTTTTAAAATTTAATTTCTATTTTATTTTTTAATTTTGGGGAGTTGCTGCAGTCAGGAAACATTAGGCATACCCACATAGAATAATTTGAGGAGAGTTTAATAAAGGACTCTTTACACAGATGTGGGCAGGGTATAGGGAAATGCAAGGGGCTAGTAATGAGGGGCATTATCACTCCTAGACATGAGTTGGTGGAGGGAGGCAGCAGGGACCAGAAGCTGAAAGGAGAGAGTCATGGAAGAGGCCTCCTTTAGAAGAGCTCAGATCTGGCAGTGACAGACACAGGAAGATGCCTGCAGAGATCAAGCTAAAGAAATAAATGTTCTAACCTGACTCTCCTCTCCCTCATAACTCCAGCTGGTGCTCCCCTCTGGCCAAACAACTGGGCACCTCTGGATATAGTACATAGAGATCAGTCTCCCAGGACCAGAGTCAGCTGGAGAAGGGCGAAGATGCTGGGGGAACTTCAGTGTCCTGAAGACTTCCAGCATCTTCACCCTTCTCCAGCTGACTCTGTGTTTTTTGGAGGAACAAATGGAAGATGCTCAGTCCAGGTTGTCCTTCTAAAGAACACAGGTTTGGCCAGGTGCAGTGGCTCAAACCTGTAATCCCAGCATTTTGGGAGGCTGAAGCAGGAGGATCACTTGAGCCCAGGAGTTCGAGACCAGCCTGGGCAATATAGGGAGACCACATTTCTACAAAAAAAAAAAAAAAAAAAAAATAAAAAAAAATTGGCTGGGCATGATGGTGCATACCTGTAATCCCAGCTACTCAGGAGGCTGAGGTGGGAGGATCGCTTGAGCCCGGGAGGTCAAGACTGCAGTGAGCCAAGATTGCACCACTGCACTCTACCTAGCCTGGGTAACAGAGCAAGACAGTCTCACAATTTAAAAAAAAAGGACACAGATTTGATTTTACTGATCTATGCTAATTTCTCTATTACAGTTTTTGGCCTTTATTAATTATTTTTACTAATTTCTTCAGTTCTACTTAATTGTTCTTTTCGTAGATTATTTCTTTCCAATTTTTTATTCCAATAAATTAAAGTAAGGCTAAAAATTTTCTTCTTAGTGTCACTAGATTGTAGATTGTATCACAGATTTTTTTATATATCATGATTTTATTTCTAAGACAATAATTTATAGTTTCCTTTTTTTGGTTCTTAGACTAGGAATTATTGAATTATTTAGAAAGATTTTTATTTTTCCTCTGTACAATTTTATTTATTAAAAATTCAAAAATAGTCAAAACTTGCTTTTGGTGTCCAAAGTTGGCTAACTTTGGGAGGAGGGGGGTTGGGGGTGAGAAATAATGAGGACTCTGGGATGCTGGTAATATTCTATATCTTGACCCAGATGGTAATTACTTGGTGTGCCCTCTATGTGAGAATTCATTGAGCTTATATTAGTCTTCTCAAGTAGCCAGAACAAAATATCATACACAGGGTGGCTCAAACAATGGAAGTTTATTTGCTCACTGTTTTATAGGCCGAGAAGTTAAAGATCAACGTGTCCACCAGTTTGGTTCCTAGGAGGGTTCTCTTTCTGGCTTGCAGATGACTGCCTTCTTGTGACCTCACATGGCAAAGAGAGGAGAGTTCTAGTATCTCTTCCTCTTCTTATAAGGGCACCAGTTCTATCAGATTAGGACCCAACCTTTATGACTTTGTTTAATCTTTGTCATCTCCTCACAGGCCCTGTCTCCAAACACAGTCATATTGGGTATTAGGGCTTCAACATATACATTTAGGGGGGAGCACAATTCAGTCCATAGAGAGCTATTCACTTATGATTTGATCATTTTTCTGAATGTACGCTACACTTCAATTTAAGAAGTGTATTCAGTAAAGTAAAATGAAAGCGAAGATGGTGAGCATCACATATCTGAGTCCCATGGTCACAGTTACTCTTGAAACAGACACATGGACCACATAACCAACTTGCACAGAGATGGACCAGTGCTCACAGCCAGTGGAAAACTCAGGTCCCTAGGCTTGGACTCTTGGCATGACTGCCTGCTTTGGGGCAGGCTGCATCTTCGATCAGTGACAAAGTACTCATTGTCCCTACACAAGATACTGTACCCCGTTTCCTCCCCAGTCTTCTCCTTCTTTGGACTATCATCTCATGGACAGGCTGTGGTCCGGACTTCGTGTGTAAGTGGTTGCTTATTGGCTAGTGGCAGCCCCACACTACATCCTCCAGGTGCTCCTCTTCCACTGCAGCCTTACAGCTCAGAAATGAGAGCATCCTGGAGGAGTGAACTGTGGAGCATCACCTGGGAATCCAGGTAGATGCTTCGTGGGAGGCGCCAGGGCCGGATGAGGTAAGGAGAGAGAAGGGAGGAAGAAAAAAAAGACACAGAAAACTGTTTCAAACTATAGAAGTGGAAAGCTTTTTGAAAAGTGTTACTTGGTTGTTAATTTCTAATTACATTGAACTCTGGTCATTAAATGTGTTCTAATACTTTGTGCTTTTTACAGTTTGTTAATGTTCCCTTCATGACCAAATACATGACCAAAATTTCCTATGTTCCATCTTAGTATAAAAAAAATCATTCAACAGTCATTTATTGAGTGCCTACTGTGTGCCAGGCACTGATCCAGATTCTTAGGATCCATCAATAAACAAAACAAAGATCCCTGCCCTTGTGAAGCTTTCATTACAGTGAGAGGAAATGATAAGCAATACTCATAATAAATAAGCAAACTATAAAGTAATGTTACATGTGCTATGGAAGATGGCAAATGCTTTCCAAAATAATAGAGGAAGGGAAGTGGGATGGGGAGTGCAGTGTGGGTGTACAGATTGCAATTTAACATACAATGATCACAGTAGTCTTCATTGAAAAGATAATATGGAATGTGAGGGAAGAGGAGGGATGTGTATCTGTTTGTGTGTGTCTGCATGTCTGTACAGTTCCTGCAGGACCTTGTATGGTTTTGAGGGACTTTAAGGACTTTGACTCTTAGTAAAATGAGTTTTTGGCATAGGAGTGTGATCTCACTTAATTTTTGAAGTGCTCACACAGATGGATTTGTGAAGAATTGACTGTAGGGGAACAAATGTGGGAGCAGGGAGATGGCTAGGATGTTATTGCCATTGTCCTGGTGGGAGATGAAGGTGGCTTGGACCAGGGTGGGAGGAGTAGAGGTGGGGAAAAGTGGTTGGCTTTGGAATATATTTTGGAGGTAGAGCCAATAGGGTTTCCTGACAGATTAGGTATGGGGAATAAAAGAGAGGAGTCCTGAATCATACCAAGGTTTTGGCTTGAGTGACTTTCTAGAGCTGTCATCCACTGAGATGGGGAAGACTGTGGATGGAGCAGGTTGGGGATAAAATTTAGCAATTCAATTTCAAAAACGTTGAATCTGAGATATGTTAAGTAGACAATTGGATCCATGAATGTGGGGTTCAGAAGAGAGGTCTGGGACGGAGATACACATTTAGAAGCTGTCAGCCAGTAGTTGATATTTAGAGCCAAGAGACTAGATGGGGCTGTCAAGGGAGTATTGCCATCCCTTGGAAGGATTGGTTCCAGGACCCCCAAGTGATACAAAAAATCCATGGATGCTCAAGTCCCTTATGTAAATGGTGTAGTATCTGCATAAAACCTACACACATCCTTCTACATAGTTTAAATCATCTCTATATTACTTATAATACCTATACAAGTAAATGCTATATAAATAGTTGGTATACTATATTGGTTTTTATTTGTATTATTTTTATTGTTTTTTTAAATTTTATTTTATTTTTGAGACAGAATCTTGCTCTGTCACCCAGGCTGGAGTGCAGTGGCATGATCTCAGCTCACTGCAACCTCCACCTTCCGGGTTCAAGCGATTCTCCTGCCTCAGCCTCCCGAGTAGCTAGGATTACAGGCGCCCACCATCATACCTGGCTAATTTTTGTATTTTTAGTAGAGAAGGGGTTTCACCATGTTGGCCAGGCTGGTCTCAAACTCTCGACCCCAGGTGATCCATCCGCTTTGGCCTCCCAAAGTGCTGGGATTACAGGTGTGAGCCACCATGCCTGGCCTATTGTTGTATTGCTATTTTAAATGGTTTTTCCACAAATATTTTCAATCTGCATTTGGTTGAATGATAGATGCCAAACCCATGGATACTAAGGGCTGACTGTAGAGACGGGATAGAATTGCCCAGGACTAAGCTTTGAGAAACATACATGATAAGTCTGGAAGAATGAGAGGAACTGGCAGAGGACAGAGAAAGGGGCACCAAGGAAGTGGAAGGAAAGCTGAGAGGATGGGGTCATGGAGGCTAAGTGTAGAAAAGAAATCAAGGAGAAGGAACATATTATTTGTTTTGAGGGTACAGCATTTGATTTTGTTATGTTGTTGTTTGTTTTGAGACAGGGTTTCACTCTATCACTCAGGCTGGAGTGCAATGGCACGATCTTGGCTCACTGCAACCTCTGTCTCCCAGGCTCAAGCAATTCTCCCACCTTAGCCTCCTGAGTGGCTGGGACTACAGGCATGCGCCACCATGCCTGGCTAATTTTTTGTAGTTGTTGTAGAGACAGGGTTTCACCGTGTTGCCCAGGCTGGTCTCAAACTCCTGAACTCAAGCAATCCACCTGCCTTGTCCTCCCAAAGTGCTGGGATTACAGGTGTGAGCTACTGCCCCCAGCCATATTTGATGTATTTATTGTTATTTGAATCTTGGATATTCTTATTTGTTTCTACTCTGTCAATTTCTTCTTTTTTTAGAGTAAAGTGAAAGTAAGTTTATTAAGAAAGTAAAAAAATAAAAGAATGGCTATTACATAGGTAGAGCAGCAGCAAGGGCTGCTCAACTGATTATACTTATAGTTACTTCTTGATTGTGTGCTAAACAAGGGGTGGATTATTCATGAGTTTTACAGGAAAGGGGTGGACAGTTCCTGGAACTGAGGGTACCTCCCCTTTTTAGGCCATATATGGTAACTTCCTGACATTGCCATGGCATTTGTAAACTGTCATGACACTGATGGGAGTGTCTTTTAGCATGCTAATGCATTATAATTAGCATATAATGAGCAGTGAGGATGACCAAAGGTCATTCTTGTTGCCGTCTTGGTTTTGGTGAGTTTTGGCTGGCTTCTTTACAACATGCTGTTTTATCAGCAAGGTCTTTATGACCTGAACCTTGTGCTGACCTCCTATCTCAACCTGTGACTAAGAATGCTTAACCTCCTGGGAGTGCAGCCAAGTAGGTGCCAGCCTCACTTTACCCAGACCCTATTCAACATGGAGTCCCTCTGGTACAAACATCTCTAATATATTTTCCCCCTCCTTTTTACAAGGGAACTCTTAATCCTAAGGGTTGTAGAGGAACAAAGATCCATTTTCTGTAACTTCTTCAGGCTGAATAGGGATGATGATACTCCTGTCTAAATGCTAGGGTCTCTTGTATTCAGGGTAGAGAGGAGCTCAGTCAGAAAGCATCAGTATGGTGAGGACCATTCATAAGTCTGACAAAAGGTGATATCTGGATGATTAGTAAGTGTTTAATTTTAGAAAACATTCAGTAAACATATCCTGCATTCCTACACAAAGAGTACAACAGCAATATATTCCACAACAGTAAAACAAAATAAGTAAAATTATCTCAAGTAAACTAAGTAAGAAGGTTTCCATGAACTGCACAACTGTTGGAACCAAGCTGATATGGGGTTGCTAGCCAATTCCAACATGTGACCAGAATTAGAATACTGATCCAGATTTTCACATTACCCATCCCCTTGTTTCTTCCGAGCTGCAGCCAGAGATCACTGATTTGTTCACAGGAATAAGCAGGATTAGTCTAAATTGAAGAAAAAACTCAAAAACAACCAATGAGACTAGAATTTAATAACAAGTATACCACAGTATTTGAAACATAATTTTTCTCTCCCCAGTCTCCCATTTTTACTAAAGACAAATCATGGTAAGACCAATTCGGTTTATTATACTTGGTCTGATTATTTGTATAAAGGGCAGCAAGAATAATTATTTTTCACATAGCCTTTCAAAACTGGCTTTGGCATAACTTTGTTCCATAAAAGGAATCTCAGATAAGACTTTGCTAAAAGCTGAGCCCAGCCATGGGTTTGTACTGTCAAATACCTGTGAATTGTAAATTTCTCTTCTCTTGAGATCTCAAGATATTTTGGGGCTTCTGGTCCTGTTAGAAAGTGACATCCTTTATTTATCACATCAGGAACCCTGCACAGGGACTATGTAGACAAGGTATGAGGCCAGTTTTCCCAAGGGACTTTTATTGGCTCTGTGAGTCAAGTTTGATCCCTTAAAGGAAAGAAAGCCATTTCAGTCAAAGCCTTGGTAAAATAACCAGTTTCTCCAATTTGTCCTGTTGCAAAACATTCTTATTGCACTTATGCAAACAACTATATTGCCATAAATTAAGAATACTCACTAACAGTTTCCAAATTGAGGAGAAATCAGGCAGAGAGAAACAAATATTGTCCAAATTTTGTTCACAGGAGTATACTTTACTCAATTGTTAAAAGCTGTAAATAGCTCAAAATAAAAGTTTTTCTTGTTCTGAAAAACAAAACAAAGGATTAGCAACATCTTAAGCAAACAGTCAAGAAGATTATTTCAGTCTTCTATTAGTTCAGTTGATGTAGTTAACTACTGTTCTGTTTGACTTCATGAACTTTTTAAATTTATTTATTTATTTATTTACTTACTTACTTACTTACATACATACTTATTTTTTGAGACAGAGTCTCACTCAGTTGCCCGGGTTGGAGTGCAGCGGTGTGATCTTGGCTCACTGTAACTTCCACCTTCCAGGTTCAAGCGATTCTTGTGCCTCAGCCTCTGAGTAGCTGGAATTATAGGTGTGTTTCACCATGCCCAGCTAACTTTTGTAGTTTTACTAGAGACAATGTTTTGCCATGTTGGTCAGGCTGGTCTTGAACTCCTGACCTCAGGTGATCCTCCTGGCTCGGCCTCCCAAAGTGCTGGGATTACAGGCATGAGACACTGTACCCTGCCTGAACAGTGCCTCATGAACATTTTAGCTCTCCATGAGAGTCCTGAAAACTTTTTCCTCTATTCTATTTTCACAATCTCCAAAGTTATTAGAAACCTGCACTCAAGGGCACCTATCAAAGTTCTATAGGTGATTATAAACTACCTTTGAAGAGGATCAAAATAAGACAACAATTGTCTGTAGATGACAAAAAAGTCTTTGGACAGCCATTATTAACACCACAATTGATTAGGAATTTTTATTACTTCTGTGGCATACAGCCATTTTATATAACAATTATAATTATTAATAACATATACTAAGCCATATCAGAATTATAGAAGTTTCATGTAATTTTGGAACACTTATTAGTAACATATTTATACAGATACAACACAAAGGAAGCCAAGCACCATTTCATACTTGACAATGCTTCCTGTGTGATTTTTATACCAAATAAGCCAAATATATCTTTTTTGGACTTTAGGAGACCTAACATCTAAAGAATTAACTAGGTCAGAAAAGACATAATTTATAATTTCATTTTGGAAATTTTGTCAAATATCAAATGTTTAAAACGCTTGTTTAAAATCAAATCCCAGGTCGCCATAAGTCATTTATTTGGCCAAAATAATAACTCAAAAATTTTAAAAAGGCAAAAACCTTTACTCATTAATAGAGAGAAGAGTTAGTTTTCCAAACAATCTTTTATCTTTCCTTTCTTTTTCCTACAGTTTATTCAAGAGGCAAACAAAAATTCTTCATTGTTTTAATATTACATGGAAATCTTGTTTGAGAGAAAGCCTAAATTTCACCTTTGCATTAGTGCACTAATGATGTCAAATCCAGTTCTTAATAAAACCATATAGACAAATCTATCCAATCTTAATCAGTTTGACTACAAGGTAAGATTCTCATAAACCTTTTATGACCCTTTACAATTTTCTGTTAAAGAGCAGATCAGTGCTCTAAGAATACCCTGTTGTGCTTTTATTCCAATGTTCAATTTATGGAAAAACAGAATAATACGACTTTAAATTTAGCCAGTATGTTCACATACAGAATTTCTTTTACAAGATTAATCTTTCACAAACCTTTCACAACTTGCTGAAACCTTCAGTTTTATCCTAACTTAAAACAATCCTTTAACCTTTTAATCTAGGCCAAAAAATCCACATTCCCATGCCTTCTTATCTTTTACCAAAAACACATTTTTATTTTCCTTACACACCTTGTGTGTAAAATTGTTTCTTCAATAGTCTCAATTACGTATAACAATGTTAACTCTTAGCAATTTTTATTTTTGGTGAAAAACCTGGTGAGTAAGTGATTCTAATTATGTACCAGGTGTGGAGCTTAAGACAACAGACAGGAGTGCAGATAGGGTCTGACTCTTTCCACCATAGCGAGGGGGCATGGCTAACTCCACATGTTCCCAGGCCTTACCTGGAATCTAATAGCTCCAAAGCAGGTAAGTTGGACAATTTTCAAAAGTCAAAGAAGCAGTTTATGACCTTAAATCATTTAGCAAACCTAATATCTGACTAATTCTTAGTAATAGCTGCATAATTTAGACCAAATGTCTTTATTTTTCTAATAATATCTGTAAAACTGTCTTTGGGAAAAGATAATCAAAGTCACATGAACTAAAAGGTATTGCAGTTTTTGTTTTTCTGACAAAATATTTGATGTAAGCACTTATTACTTTTAAGCCAATTAATCAGAGCTCTGTCATATATAAACATCACATGCACACATATAAATACACAGAAATTACATCAGCATAGTGTGGGAAGTAATTAAAATAAAAAAGAATAAATAAATATACAGAAAGACAGAAGATCCAGTAGTTGTAAGGCTTTTCATTTGCCAGTTTTAGTTTTTAAGTTTCTCTTTAAAACATGCAGTTTCTAGGGCCCAATTAGCAGGTACAGCTGGAAGGCAACACAGATTCTCCCAAAATTAAGGGTCCCATTTTTATATGAGATCCTGGATCCCCAAAAGAGGGAATCAGCCCATCTCCATGGGAGTCTTATCTCTCAGTGGAGGTGGGGACATTTCCATACCTTCTAGGTGGCCAAGAAGCATGCTTCTCTGATCCAAATGGGCAGAGCCGTGTATTCCCCTATAAATGCCATTAGCTATCCCCAAAAGTGTATTTCCTACCTAGTTATTACACACCAAAGCTCTCTCATAATGTGAAGTAATTTCTGATACGCCCAAAAGTCAAAGACGTCAGATAATGCAATGCAAAACATAACAGAGACTTAGATTTTGACAGGAATCTATCCACTTTCAATTCCTGGGGTCTCATGAGGAAAACAGAGGGGTTTTTTTCCCCAAAATGGGGTCTGTGGTGCCTCCTCTATTTTTCCCAAGAAGTCCCAGGCTGTTATAATTTTTCTTAAGTCCTCTCACGTGTGCACAGAGAGTGGCAAGAAGACAAAATGGAAAAAAATAATTCAATCAGCTGAGAAGAGAAAAACCTTTTTCTTCAGAAAAATAATATCTAAGTAGGGGAAAAAAACATAAAGGCCTTTTAAGTGTACGTATAGCTTGGATATCCACTTTTAATTAAGTTGACTTTTTTTTTGGACTGAAAGTGTTTTTCTTGTCGTTTTTGTGTCTTTTTAAAACATATATATATTATTATACTTTAAGTTCTAGGGTACATGTGCACAACGTGCAGGTTTGTTGCATATGTATACATGTGCCATGTTGGTGTGCTGCACCCATTAACATCATTTACATCAGGTATATCTCCTAATGCTATCCCTCCCCACTCCCCCCACCCCACAACGGGCCCCAGTGTGTGATGTTCCCCTTCCTGTGTCCATGTGTTCTCATTGTTCAATTCCCATCTATGAGTGAGAACATGTGGTGTTTGGTTTTTTGTCCTTGTGATAGTTTGCTGAGAATGATGGTTTCCAGCTTCATCCATGTCCCTACAAAGGACATGAACTCATCATTTTATATGGCTGCATAGTATTCCATGGTGTATACGTGCCACATTTTCTTAATCCAGTCTATCATTGTTGGACATTTGGATTGGTTCCAAGTCTTTGGCTATTGTGAATAGTGCCGCAATAAACATACGTGTGCATGTGTCTTTATAGCAGCATGTTTTATAATCCTTTGGGTATATACCCAGTAATGGGATGGCTGGGTCAAATGGTATTTCTAGTTCTAGATCCCTGAGGAATCGCCACACTGACTTCCACAATGGTTGAATTAGTTGACTGTCCCACCAACAGTGTAAAAGTGTTCCTATTTCTCCACATCCTCTCCAGCACCTGTTGTTTCCTGACTTTTTAATGATCACCATTCTAACTGGTGTGAGATGGTATCTCATTGTGGTTTTGATTTGCATTTGTCTGATGGCCAGTGATGATGAGCATTTTTTCATGTGTCTGTTGGCTGCATAAATGTCTTCTTTTGAGAAGTGTCTGTTATATCCTTCGCCCACTTGATGGGGTTGTTTTTTTCTTGTAAATTTGTTTGATTTCTTTGTAGATTCTGGATATTAGCCCTTTGTCAGATGAATAGATTGCAAAAATTTTCTCCCATTCTGTAGGTTGCCTGTTCACTCTGATGGTAGTTTCTTTTGCTGTGCAGAAGCTCTTTAGTTTAATTAGATCCCATCTGTCAACTTTGGCTTTTTTTGCCATTGCTTTTGGTGTTTTAGACATGAAGTCCTTGCCCATGCCTATGTCCTGAATGGTATTGCCTAGGTTTTCTTCTAGGGCTTTTATGGTTTTAGGTCTAACATTTAGGTCTTTAATCCATCTTGAATTAATTTTTGTATAAGGTGTAAGGAAGGGATCCAGTTTCAGCTTTCTACATATGGCTAGCCAGTTTTCCCAGCACCATTTATTAAATAGGGAATCCTTTCCCCATTTCTTGTTTTTGTCAGGTTTGTCAAAGATCAGATAGTTGTAGATGTGTGGCACAAGACAGGGATGCCCTCTCTCACCACTCCTATTCAACATAGTGTTGGAAGTTCTGGCCAGGACAATCAGGCAGGAGAAACAAATAAAGGGTATTCAATTAGGAAAAGAGGAAGTCAAATTGTCCCTGTTTACAGATGACATGATTGTATATCTAGAAAACCCCATCGTCTCAGCCCAAAATCTCCTTAAGCGGATAAGCAACTTCAGCAAAGTCTCAGGATACAAAATCAATGTGCAAAAATCACAAGCATTCTTATACACCAACAACAGACAAACAGAGAGCCAAATCATGAGTGAACTCCCATTCACAATTGCTTCAAACAGAATAAAATACCTAGGAATCCGACTTACGAAGGATGTGAAGGACCTCTTCAAGGAGAACTACAAACCACTGCTCAGTGAAATAGAAGAGGATACAAACAAATGGAAGAACATTCCATGCTCATGGACAGGAAGAATCAATATTGTGAAAATGGCCATACTGCCCAAGGTAATTTATAGATTCAATGCCATCCCCATCAAGCTACCAATGACTTTCTTCACAGAATTGGAAAAAACTACTTTAAAGTTCATATGGAACCAAAGAAGAGCCCACATTGCCAAGTCAATCCTAAGCCAAAAGAACAAAGCTGGAAGCATCACACTACCTGACTTCAAACTATACTACAAGGCTACAGTAACCAAAACAGCATGGTACTGGTACCAAAACAGAGATACAGACCAATGGAAAAGAACAGAGCCCTCAGAAATTAAGCTGACTTTTAATCAAATTTCTTATTACCTGACTTCAGGCAGGCCAAACTGCCAATATTTCCGGCTTTTGAACTTTACCCAAAGTAACCTTACAGGTGCTTGGAGAAAGGAAGACTCAAGAAAGGAAGTCAGAAGTTGTTCATGGAGGGGAAGAGAATAAACGAATGGCAAAAGTCACACGAATATCAAATCAGAAAGGACTCATTCCCTAAGCTGAAAATTGAACCCAGGTTGCCAATGTGAAAAAAGAAAGCCTTAGCTACTAAGCTACAGCTTTGGGCAGTTTCCATTGCTCTTTCCAGAAGGAGTCTAGAGCAGTTAATTTTGAGCTTTCAAAGACTTTTAACTGCTTGAGATAATTTTTAAGGTTATGACATGAACTCCAAAATTCCTGTCCTCTGGATGGTGGAGACGAAGAGAAAGTACCACCATGTAGGTTACAAGGTCAAAATCCCAAGGACATAAAACAAAATGAGAGAAATTTCAATCAGTTTTGTTTGTTTGTTTGTTTGTTTCAGGGACCTGCAGCAAAGTTTGTTACTGACCAGTTTGTTGGGCTGGCTTGAACAGTTGGCTTATGGGGTCCTAAGGGGTGTTCTATCCTAAGATATTACAGAACAATATGACAGAACGATACAGAAAGACACACAAAACACACCAGATTAGCTACAACTTAAGACTAGCCCCACAAATCCTTTTTTCCCATTAATTAAAACTTTGCAGGGGAGATAAACAGTTTTATCATTCCTACAATGTGTTTGCACAGAGAAAAAGAGGAAAGGGAAAGGAGAACAGCGTTGCCTGCAGTGGGGTGGGGAAAGCCAGGAGCTCAGGGAGGCCAGAGAAAGACCTGCCCATCCCACGACACTGAATCAAAAGTCCAGGTAGCTGCTTGTCTATCACAAAGGGATCTTTTTCCAGCAGTCCCATCAGCTCTCAAGTTTCCCCTTTTTGGGAGGAAAAAGCTCCCTGTGTCCTGTGATCCTCTACATGTCTAACCCTGTCACCCATAGCCATCAGCAAAGAGTCCAAGGCAGATTAATCGAAAGAGAATAGCGGTTAACACCCCATAGTGCCAAATCCATTTTTTACCAAGAGGGACTTTATTGAGAGGGGCCTCTAACCCCCTTAATTTTAGATAGGACTCCTAACCTTCCTAAGTTGGGCCTTCAACCCAAGTTCGGTCAAGCATCCTTGCTTTTTATTAAGAGGGTGTTTGCCTGGGCCTGCTGGCTCATGCCTGTAAACTCAGCACTTTGAGAGGTCAAGACGGGTGGATCACTTGAGGTCAGGAGTTCAAGACCAGCCTGGCCAACATAGCAAAATCCTCTCTCTTTTAAAAATACAAAAAATTAGCTGGGAGTGGTGGCACACCTGTCATCCCAGCTACTCAGGAGGCTGAAGTGGGGAATCACTTAAGCCCGGGAGGCAGAGGTTGCAGTGAACAGAGATTGTGCCACTGCACTCCAGCCTGGGTGACAGAGCAAAACTCTGCCAAAAAAAAAAGAGGGGCTTTTAACCCACTCTGTCTTAGGAGAGACTCTAACTCCTCTAAATTGGGCCTTTAACACAATCCCATCCTTTAGCCAGGTAAAATATATCCCACCACTTATACAAAGTCAGCCAAATGGTGCTACAGTCTCTTACCTTTCGGTCGGGGATCTCCTCAGTATAATCCCTTTGTGGATTGCCAGGAAGAAGTTACTGGAAAGGGGTCCCAATCCAGACCCCAAGAGAGGGTTCTTGGACTTTGTGCAGGAAGGAATTTGGGGTGAGTCCATAGAGTAAAGTGAAAGCAAGTTTATTAAGAAAGGAAAGGAGCTGGGCGCGCGGTGGCTCACGCCTGTAATCCCAGCACTTTGGGAGGCCGAGGCGGGTGGATCACAAGGTCAGGAGATTGAGACCATCCTGGCTAACACGGTGAAACCCCGTCTCTACTAAAACTACAAAAAATTAGCCGGGCATGGTATGGTGGCGGGCGCCTGTGGTCCCAGCTACTCGGGAGGCTAAGGAAGGAGAATGGCGTGAACCTGGGAGGCAGAGCTTGCAGTGAGCCAAGATCGTGCCACTGCACTCCAGCCTGGGTGACAGAGCAAGACTCCATCTCAAAAAAAAATAAAAATAAAAAGGAAAAAAGAAAAGGAATAAAAGAATGGCTACTCCATAGGCAAAGCAGCCTACTCTGTCAATTTCTGATATTTTAAATTTTCTCACAGAGATTGTAGATTTGTCTATTTGTTCTTTGTATATGTATCATTTTTGTTTTTTATATTTTAAAACTTTAATGTTAGGTACATAAAGTTTCACATATAATTTTTCTACCTATTAAAATGTATTTATGTCCCTTTTGGGTATTCCTTGAGTGAATTTAGCGTAATGGAAAACAAAAGAAGCAGGGACTCAAGAAATGGCCCTGAAGTAAGAGACTGAGGATGCTGGAGAAGCAAGCACTAAGATTTATGCCTGAGAAGAGCTATAGCATTAAATACCGTTGAATGAAAGCCCCCCAGTGTCACCAGTGCAACCTATTGATAAGGCAATTTTGAGTAGATTGTTTTCTGTGGTAAGGAAGAACACCACTGCAACAGAGCTTTGGCTGTCTTCAAGAAGCAAAGACAAAGCTGGATTTTATTGAGAATTGGGTTTCATTTAAATCATGGCCAAGTGCGGTGGCTCACGCCTGTAATCCCAACAATTTGAGAGGCTGAGGTGAGTGGATCAACTGAGGTCAGGAGTGCGAGACCAGTCTGGCCAACATGGCGAAACTCCATCTCTACTAAAAATACAAAAATTAGCCAGGCATGCTGGAGGGTGCCTGTAATCCCTGCAACTCCGGAGGCTGGGACACAAGAATCACTTGAGCCCAGGAGGCAGAGGTTACAGTGAGCCAAGGTTGCGCCACTGCACTCCAGCCTGGGCGACAGAGTGAGACCCTGTCTCAAAACAAACAAACAAAATTAGGTCTTTCAATGAGATACTTGATTAAGATTGAATAAGGATCATGACTAATGGTTTACAATTGGTGGAAACAGGATGGTAAGGATTTTGAGGTGATGGGATTGGAGAATCTTAGGAAGTAAGCTATCTGTTGATGCTTCTTATGAGGTATTTTTCAGGATGATGAACTTTCAAGTTATTTTCCTGCACTGGAATCTCCTAGCATGGCAAAGTAGTGCAAATGAATATGATAGAAAAGCAAGGTCATGTTAGTGTAGACAGTAAGCTGTATGTGTATGTGTGTTCACACACACGTGTGTGGGTATTCATTTCAGTTCCTCAACACAAAATCTAGCTGGGCCATTTCTCACAGTGGATGCAGACCTCCAACCTGACTTCAGGGCATCTGCTGACTCTGGGTCCCAAGGCTTCCAGTTCTTCCCTCCCTACATGAGTCGGTTGATGTTCCACATCTTCATAATTCCCGTAAAGTTATTGAGGTCAACAAAACTGCAATTCCTAATAAACAAGTCCATCTTAAAATAGAAGCATAAGACTTTGAGCAATACTGCTCATTTTTTATCTGAAATGGATGTCCTAATAGACATAATCTTTTGTCCATTACAGACAAATTAGATTTGGAGTTTTCAACTCCTATTTTATTCAGTTACAGGCTTTCAGTTACAAATGATTAGTGGCTGTAATTGTCCTGATTTCACCAGATAATGCTTCCATTTTTAGGAAGCAAAGGTTTCCTGGTAGATGTGGCACTCTCCAGTTGCTAAGCACAATTTACAGCATTCAGCTCATTCTCTTAATGTTTCTGACAAACCCCAGGCATTGTTGAGAAAGATTCAGCTTACAATGTGGCTTTAATTTATTATAATAATAATATTATTATTATTTGTTTTTTGGCCTAAAATGGTCACCAAGGTACTAGAGCAGTCTTTTTTTTTTTTTTTTTTTTGAGATGGAGTTTCACTCCATCTCCCAGGCTGGAGTGCAGTATACAGTGGTGCGATCTCGGCTCACTGCAACCTCCACCTCCCAGGTTCAAGCGATTCTCCTGCCTCATCCTCCCTAGTAGCTGGAATTACAGACATGTGCCACCACGCCCGGCTAATTTTTGTATTTTTAATAGAGATGGGTGGGGTCTCACCATGTTGGCCAAGCTGGTCTTGAACTCCCGACCTCAAATGACCCACCCACCTTGGCCTCGCAGAGTGCTGGGATTACAGGCATGAGCCATGATGGCCTAGGGAAGTCTTAAAGAGAGTTTATATTTATCTCCCTATATTACTATAATTGCTATTATTTTGCTTTCTGGTCATATCACTTAAGTAATTGAATAACTGGAAAACAAATTGAGTAAAAGCTGCTATCCAATACATAGACAGAAATTATACATTACCTAATGAAAAATGTGACCAACATCATCTTCTCTGTAGTGAGATTGTGGTGTCCCACCAAAATGCCTTTCCCAAGGCCAGTGGACCCACCCAGTTGCTGAGAGTGTTGGTGACTGATGGCTTACAGCTGCCCCCATCACAGAATTGCCCTGGCAGAACAGGAGCCATCTGGCCTGGAATATTTCACCCTCAGCCCATCCAGGGCAGCCCACAGCCATTGAGTGACTGACATTGGGGCACACAAGGTCCACCCTCTTGCCTCAAGCTGGGACTAACCCTGTAGTACAATTCATGCTCAGAGCTTCCCATGAGATAGGCAGAGGCTGACACCAGCTGAGCCCAATTTCGTGCTTAGCTCTTCTCCCTCCATCCTATTTCTTTTTCTCACCTTTCTTCTAAGAACACTCCCTCCATAAATCATATGTATCTAATCCTTGTCATCTCAGTCTCTGCCTGGAGGCAATCTGGCCTATGACATTCCCTGCACCAATTGTTGTGTGGGAATTCATGAAGAAGACAGGGACTAGTCTGGCTAGAATCATAAAAAAGTATATTGCCCTTAAAATGCAAACTCTATGAGGGCAGAGAGAGTGTCTATTTTGCTCATCAGTGTTCCTAGCACTCAGCACTTAGCACAATGCATGGCACATAACAGATGCTCAAGAGGTGTCTTAGTTCAGGCTGCTATAATGAATCACCATAGACTGACTTATAAAGAACAGAAATTCATTTCTCACAGTTCTGGAAGCTAGAAGTCCAAGGTCAAGGAGCTAGCAGATTCAGGATTATCTGGTGAGGGCTGGTGTCTTGATTCATAGATGATATCTTCTCACTGTGTCCCCACATGGCAGAAGCGATATGGGAGCCCTTTGGAATCTCTTTTGTAAGGGTGCCAATCCCATTCGTGAGGGTTCCACCCTCATGACCTAATCACCCCTCAAATGCCCCCACCTCCTAATACTATCAAATTGGGAATTGGGATTTCAACACATGAATTTTGGGGTGGGGAGACACAAGCATTCAGTCTATAGCAAGAGACATCATGAGATCAAGCTATGTGGTATCTCAGGTCAAGATTTATGGAGTCACTTTGATAAAGATGCACAGTATAGGACCCTCTGTGATAGAATATCTTGTTTTTGTCTATCCTGAAATTTTAGCTTTTATTCTGGGCAACCACCCCTCTCTGTCTTTTGGTTCAGCTGGGGCTGACCTTACCCCAGTCACTGCCTAACAGTGAAGACAATACTGAGGAAGGCAGAGCTGAGGGCATCATTTGAGCTCCTAGATTCAGGTGTGACTGAAGACAGCTATAACTGTGAATCTTTAGTTTAATGAACATATAAACTGTCTTGTTATGCTTAAGTTAATTTGTGTTGTGTTTCTGGCACATGTGATCAAAACAGTCTGGACTAATAATACATGCTTCTATCTACATTGCAAAATATTTTCTCATTCAACCTACCCCCATCCCTGTAACTAACAGCCTACATCCCAAACAGCTGGGGAGGAGAGAAGACAGCTTACCTATGAAACCTGATTTTTCCTGCTGAATGAGAGATACTTACGCAGGGGAGGGTGCATGTCTTCAGGTATTTTATCTGATGATATCTGCATCTTTGAGCAGTATCTGAAAACCCCTTGTCCAGTTCAAAATATTCTACTTGACCTCTGGGACCAGAAAATACTGCACAGAATCCTAAAGCAAACTTTCTTATGTTTACCTCAGAGAAAAAGAAGTAGGAGTTATATGGAATGTGCTTAGGTAGATTTGGTTTAAATTGCTAAATAGATCAAGAAAAGGAAAATCACCCCCAAAACATAAAAACCTAGAACTGGTCATCGAGATTTGGCCATAAAAAAGCTTTAATGAACTTTTCTTCCTAAGTAAGATAAACTAGTGGAGCCAACTCCATTTAGCTTCCCACTAGAGTAAGGCTTAGGAGACAATACAGTGAAAGAGCCACAACCCCACAATTCTAATATGTCAGCCACAGCCCACTGAGTTCCCACATGGATCCAACAACTGAACATGAAGAACAGGGTGGCAGCAGTTTCATTACAGGAAAAGAGGGGTATCAAGGTACCGTCCTCTTCACACTACGTACATTGTTCGTTATAACAAGAGTCCTGTGGTGGAAAAACAGACTGGGTAGAGAAAGTTGGTGCCACTGATTCTTTCTTTGGCTTCTTTGCACTAACACTCAAATGCCTGGCTTCTTCTCCCTTTTTAGTTGAGTGCTTAATGTATTAAACTATGTGGAAGTACAAAGGAGCGTGTTAGTGACCATTTCTTTGGCCCAGATTTCGCTAAAGAAATCAGAAATGCCTTCTAGAACAATCTGGTTTGTCTCAACTCCATTTGAATATCTTCTTTTAAGGCCTGTGCTATCAAAAAATGCTTTGATTTCCTGTAAAGTTGCCTGATAGACTCAGTGGAAAGGTTTTTGTTTTGCTTTTAAAGTAAACGAGAGAAATTGATTCCAGGTCGAGTTAAAGAAGGGCTTCATTAAGGAATCAAGTGATTTTCAGGGGTGAGTTATAGAGTGATGAATATTCCTTAATAATTGAGTCTCAGAGGCCAGGCGCGGTGGCTTATGCCTGTAATCCCAGCACTTTGGGAGGCTGAGGTGGACGGATCACCTGAGGTCAGGAGTTCGAGACCAGCCTGGCCAACATGGTGAAATCCTGTCTCTACTAAAAATATAAAAATTAGCTGGCCATGGTGGCACACACCTGTAGTCCCAGCTACTCAGGAGGCTGAGGCAGAAGTGCTTGAACCCAGGAGGCAGAGGTTGCAGTGAGCCGAGATTGCGCCACTGCACTCTAGCCTGTGTGACAGAGCAAGATGCCATCTCAAATAATAATAATAATTGAGTCTAAGAACTTATTGTGAAGATTTGACCAGAAAAGTGACAAAAATGGCTATCTGTGGGAAAGTTCTAATACACATGTTTTGGTTAAAAAATATTAGAAACAACCTAAATGTTCATAAATGATGATGAATGGACAAACAAATTGTGGTATATCCATATAATGGAATATTATTCAGAAATAATAGGAGAAAGGAAGGATGTATACGTGCACAAAGTGGATAAACCTCAAAAGCCAGGCACAAAAGGTCACATATTGCATGATTCTATTTATATGAAATACCCAGAATAGATCAATTCATAGAGACAGAAAACAGATTGCTGGTTGCTAGGCACTGGAAGGAAGGGTATGGGGAGTAACTGCCTAATGGGTATGGGGTTTCCCTTTGGGGCAATGAAATGTTTTGAAACTAGATAGATGCAGTGGTTGTACAATATTGTGACTATTAAATGCCGCTGAACTGTTTCCTTTAAACGGCTCATGTTATGATATGTGAATTTTATCTCAACAAAAACAACAAATGACAAGAAAGGGTATCCCTACGTCTATTATCAACCCTCTTAAGGAGCACGGCAGGGACAGGTGTATTTCCTGGGCTTAGTGCTGCAGTTGGAGCTTCTATCCCAGGCGTCATCCAGTCTGGGTAGGAGGAGCCTCTGGTTTGTGGTGTGATCAACCTTGATAGCCCTCCTTGGATCCCTGTTCTGAGCAAAGCTGCCTGGCCCCATGGCCCACTACCAGCAGTTTCCATCTATTCCTTGCCCTGAACAACTCCCAACATGGTATCCACTAATTTGTTGCCAATCTCCAGAATCACAAGCCTCAAAAATTAACAAAGATGGGGTGGGGATGACAGTTCGAGGAAAAGAAATGTAAAGTCGTCAGAGGCCAGTGACTAAGAATAACTCACTGAATGCTTTCACACACTTTCATACACTAATTGTGAGAATGTAAATTGACTCAACAATTCTAGAAAGCAATTGAGCAATGTGTTTCCAAAGCCTTTAAAATGATCATATCCTTTGACCTAATTATTGCTCATCTATACATTTATTCTTAGGAAAGAGATGTTAATTAGACAAAGAATCAGCTACGTGGAGGTTCATTCAGTGTTATTTATAATAGCAGAAAATTAGAGACAATCTAAAGCCCCCCAAAAGGGCAATATTGTGATATATCCATGAAATGCAATACTGCTTTGGTTCTCTAGCAATGATCACTTACTATCTCTCACGGAATTTGTGATCAGGAACTTAGGCAGCAGGGAGTAAGGCCTATTTCTACTCTGTAATGCCTGGGGCTTTAAGTGGAAGACCTAAAGTCTGCTATCTTGGAAGACTTGTTTGCTCACGTGTTGGCAGATGCTGATATGAGCTAGAGGCCCAAGTGGGTCAGTCAGCTGGAACATTCACATATGGCCTTTCCATATAGACCTGACTTCCTCACAAATGTGGTTTGGTTCCAAAGGCAAAAAACAAAAAGTAAAAAACAGAGCCATGTTGTCTTTATGAACTAGCCTTGGAAGGCACACAGCATCACTTATGCCACATTCTATTGACTGTGGCAGTTACAAAAGTCTGGCCAGGTTCAAAGGGAGGAAACAGAGACCTCACTTCTTGATGGAAGCACGTGAATGTCACACTGTAAGAAGAGCATGTGGATGGCAGATATGTGGATGTGGGTATATTTGGAAAATACGGTGTGACTGTAACTAGTCATATCTTAAAACAATATCTAATGGTGTGGAAAAATGTCCATTATATGTTACAAAATTAAAAAGTCAGTTTACAAAGCAGTATGTATAGTATAAGCCCACTTTGAATGAAAAACATATAGTCACAAATACTAACAGTGGTTCTGTTAGGGAAACAGGAGCCCAGGAGAGCCACAGTAACATAATTTTAATATCAGCTCCCTCTTGGGACTAACAAGACACATTCCTTGTGGGTCATGACACATAGTCATAAGATATTCACCATTGAGGAAACAGTTTAAAGATACCTGCAAGGACACACTCCTACAACAATGGAAAGTCCAGATGTCCCAATACCCATGACCATATATGCTTTCAAGATAATTATGCTTTGATGTAATTGCACACTAAAATGTCAAGGATCGTTTTATTTTTTATTTTTCTTTCTTTCTCTTTTTTTAGAGACAGGGTCTCACTATATTGCCCAGGCTGGTCTCAAACTCCTGGGCTCAACCGATCCTCCTGCCTTGGCCTATCAAAGTGCTGGGATTATAGAAGGATAGTTTTCTTTAACTAAACAGAGTAATAAATTTTGCTATGCTGTCAGCCCACCTGCATGTAGACATACCTTAGCTTAGCTTTTACATAGACTAGACCCTATATAAGTAAAACTTCAAAAAAAAGACAAGGCAGTCTTCTTCTTGCTTTCTGAGGATGCCCTACTCTGTAACTGAGTAGCTTTCAATAAACTATCTCTTCTCACTGCACTCTGCGATGTGCCTTGAATTCCTTCTTGTGTGAGATCTAAGAACCCTCTCTTGGGGCCTGGAATCAATATCCCTTTTCCAGCAACAGTTCTTTCTAGGATGTGGAATAACAGGAAATGTTTAATTTCATCTTTATTATTTTCTATATTTTCCAACATTTCCAAAATAAACACATATTAATTTTATAATTAGATAATAAAATAAAAATAAAAATACCTAGTCAATTTTTTTTTTTGAGACAGAGTTTCACTCTGTTGCCCAGGCTGGAGTGCAGTGGTGCAATCTCGGCTCACTGCAACCGCCGCCTCTGGGATTCAAGCCATTCTCCTGCCTCAGCCTCCCAAGTAGCTGGGATTACAGGCATGTGCCATCATGCCTAGATAATTTTTATATTTTTAGTAGAGATGGGGTCTCACCATGTTGGCCAAGCTGGTCTTGAACTCCTGACCTCAAATGATTCACCTGCCTTGGCCTCCCAAAGTGCTGGGATTACGGGAGTGAGCTACCATGCCCGAAAATTTTTTTTTTTTTTTTTAATGAGCTGCTCTGCCTTAGGATACTTTAGAGATTCTTTACCTTAGTGTGTCATGTATCTTCTGCCCCACATTTCAGAGAATGGTAGGCTTTCCTCATGTTGAAGGCCAATCCCACAGCTAGCCCGCCTGTTCTTGCCTTCGCTGAGGGACTTTACTCAATTGGTTACTCCCTGTCTCTCCACTGTCTTCATCCTGTTCTTTAATCCTTGATCTTGCCTCCTGGTTTAAAGGTATTTTTGAGTGCCCAAACTTTAAGAATTAAAATATTTATTTCACTTCAATATCTACTACTCTATCTCTGCTCTGGAAAGAATCATCTATACTGGCTTTCTCTATTTTCTCACTTCCAATTCTTTTCTCAGCTCTCCACAATATGCTTTCTGGCCTCACTACTCAATTTAAACTGCCCTGGGAAGGGTCAACAGTGGCTGCTGGATTATTAAATCCAGTGGAACCAGAGGTCACAAACTGGGGTCTGTGGGCATGCTCTTGTCCATGGATGGATTTCTCTTGGGCTTCATAGTGCTTTCAAATTTTTGAGTTGATTTCAACATTCAAAAATTGGGAAAGTCCATATAAAAATGCAGAATTCCAGCATCTCTTTAAAAATTGGAAGCTCTAACAATACTGGCCCCACCTTCTTGCATGGAAACAGCCTCTTGAGTAGACTAGTAGCTACCTCCCAAAGAGGATACCTGCTCTCCAGGGCCCCTTAGGCCCCACTTGGGTTTGGCCTTAGATATTTGATCACATTGGCTTTTGGCTTATGGATATTTGAGTTTTAGGCCTTCACGTTTATTAAAGTTAACTTGTGTCATTATCATCAAGGTTAAGACTAAAATTGTGTCTTCGTTAGTGTTCCTCCAAAAGCTGACACTGAGACTAGGATTGGGTGCAAGTAGTTTATCTGAAAAGTGATTCCTAAAAGCTTGGTGAGAGAGAAGGGAAGTGAGTCAGAGAAGAATGAAAGCCAATACAAGGTGAATTAATGAGCTGGAGGCTAGGGCAGTCACCTGGGGCTCCCTCCTGGGGGACCTTCTGAGAGACATTCTGAGAGAAGAAGTGGAACCAATAGTTGAGGAAGCTGGGGTGTTTGTCCACCAGCTCCTGTCCCTCATTGGAACCACTCCTGGAGCATTAACTCCCTGGCACTTCCGGGCAGTCCTGCTGACTTGCCGCACATGCCCACAGCCAGAGAATGGCCTGTCAGAGACATGCAGATGTGTAGGGTAGGAAGCTGTGGGCCTGTGGGAACTGTAGGTGACTGCCAGGTGCACAGTAGGCAGGGCCCTGACAATGTCTACAGAAAGCTGATTTCATCTCATTTCCCCATCATGCCTGGCACGGAGTTAGCACTTCATAAATGTGAGTGGTTGGAAGTTCTTGGTTTTCTTATGCTTCCCCTGATTACTTCTTATCGGAAATGAGATGAAGTTAAATGGGTAATTGTATAATCCTAGTTTGTTTGAGTCTCCCTGTGTAGTTGGGGCGGGGAGGGGAGGGGAGGAATTACTGAAATCATCCATTCTTTGCCTATAGGCAGATCACAGCTTTCCTTGAGAGCACTCTTGTTGGTTCCCTGAGTACAGTGTTGGATTTAATAGTCAGGAAAGTCTATTTTTACTTGGTGATGCCTCTGGGTGTTCTTCTGCAAGGTTCTGGCCTGGGTCCAAGTTGCTGTGGCACTGATTCCCAGCAGCATGTGGCCACAAGGATAAGGCATGAGTGAATTAAAGTTTAATTAAAGGTGAAACTCCAATATGGATGGAGCTGGCTGTCTCCTGCTGGGTAATTAGTGAGGCGAGGGTTTGAAAGGGCAGCACAAAGATCCCCGCTGATGTCAGACGCTCCTCCTAGGTATGTCCTCTTGGGCAGTTTTGTGGAACACCTTTTTTCCTCCCTGGCAGTAGAATAGAAAGATGTTGTAAACTAGTAGTAGAAACAAAGAACACCAATGTGGGTGGCCTGGGGTAGCAAATGCGAGTGGCTTCTCATAGGTTCATCATCAAATCGGTTACCATGACTTGCAGGCTCCTCCTCCTGAGCCCTTCAAGCAGCCATCTGGGAAAGACCAGGTGGAAAGGCGTTCTTGGGGACAGACCTAACTTTCATGGGTGTCAATGAGCGCTTTGTCCCGTGGTCTCCCTATTCTGGTGTACGTGTGAAGTGGAGGAGGGTCAATTTCTCAGCTTCTGTCCCCTTCAGGGGGTGTACTCAGAGCTGCGTGTTAGACTTCCCTGACCATTTTATCCAGAGCAGAACCAGGCTCCAAGGACCCCAGGAAATGGAGTGCGCGGACCTTCACAGTAATATCAGCAGTGCTAACAATAACTATACCGACGAAGTTCAGCAAGCACTCACTGTGCAGAGTGCAAGCTCAGGCAGTCATGCATCATCACACTCACTCATTCACTCCTCCCCGCAACACCGCAGCTCTGCCGGCACTTGCATCTTCCTTTTCACTCTCCAGGCCTAGTGCTCTCACAAGGCCAGCTGAAACAAATCTCTGGCGTGCTCATTGCTCTGCTCTCCTCAGGGTCCCTCATGATCCCTCCTTTCAGACAGCTGCAGCTCCTACCACCAACGGCTGGATTATTTTCTTATTTCCCATCTCAAATTTCTGAAAGCAAGAACATCCCAGTCTGCTGGGACCTGAGACTTATGCAGTTTTAGAGACCCCCTTTAAGAAAGGAATAAAAGCATATGAATGAATGCAATACTAGGCTCAGGGGCAAGGAGGAGGCCTGGACAGGCGAGGCACCAGAAAGTCCCAGTGTGTTTGTTTCAGGGTGAGTCGGCCTCTGCTAGAGTCTAATAATACGTTTTTATTCTGGTGGTTGGGGTGGAGTGGGGTGACAAGCCATGGTACCAAACCCAGTTATTAAAAGCTGGTGCATTTGAGCATGGTCCCTGTCTCTGATGTTCTCCTCTCAACCACGCAAGGAGGCCCGGTCTTCCAGAGTGGACTCAGCCACCTCACCATTTCATGTGTATTCATCCAGAAACTGGGCTTGGGAGAAACTTCCCTGGGGCCTTGGGCTAAGAAGCACGCACTCCATGGAGTTCTGCAGGCAAAGGTGCAGACATGAGGTAGGGAATCGTCAGTGGTCATTTGGTGTCCCATACATTCCTTGTTCCTTGTGTGTACAG
The DNA here is from genome assembly GCF_000001405.40 of Homo sapiens. NCBI lineage: Eukaryota > Metazoa > Chordata > Mammalia > Primates > Hominidae > Homo > Homo sapiens. Next base: position 40,332,134 of record NC_000003.12, on the reverse strand, counting down.
CTCCCTTAAAGATGTTATGGAGATAAGGGATGGCTGGACCCAGCCAAGTTGGGGGCATTTGTAGGGTTCATGGACCCAGGCCAAATTGTTATCTTAAAACTACTGAAATCTTTCCATGGTTCCTAACACCCATCTCTGATTATTTCCCTAGCATAGGTGCCTGAATGTGAAAAGATATGAACATTTTAAGGAGCTTGACATAAAATTTCATTTGCATGAAATTCATTCAAATTCATTCAAATGTCATTTCAGAAAGTCATACCAATTCACATTTTCTCCAAAGAGATGTGCGTTTCCACTGTACAGTGGCTTCACCAACAATGGATGCCACCATTTAAAATAATTTTATTTATTGTTTTTCTCTATCTACAAAAGTAATAATGATGTTCTTTATAAAAGTTTTAATGTTGACAGAAATATACAACTGAGAAAATGAAAGCCCTCCCATTCCTCCTATTCCCTTGGGTAACAAATGCAGAGTGGCTTCTCCTAGGTTCATCATCAAATCGGGCACCATAACTTCCAGGCTCCTCCTCCTGGGTCCCTTAAGCAGCCATTTGGGAAAGACCAGGTGCAAAAAGGTTCTTGGGCATAGACCTGACTTTCATGGGTGTCAATGAGCGTTTTGCTCCCAACTATCCAGAGATAACCCCCATAAACCGTTAGATGAATATTTATTTATGCAGATATCTTCTGCGTTTATGTTATGATGGAATTTTGGGGCTTTGTTTTTTAACCAAAATGATGTCACACCAGATATACTTCTTCAAAACTAGCGTTTTTAGTGTTCCATATGGATTTCTTCTGGGCCCTCTTTATACATTCCTAAAGAAACTCATTCATTCATGGCTTTAAAAATATTCTATGGGCTGATACCTCCTGAATTTATGTCTTCTCTGAGCTCCAGACTTACAAATCCAACTAGTTGCTTGACATCTCTGATTGGATGTCTCTTAGGCATTTAAAACTTAACATGTTCAGGGTAGGTGTGATGTCTCACACCTGTAATCCCAGCACTTTGGGAGGTTGAGGTGGGAGGAACATTTGAGCCCAGGATTTTAAGACCAGTTGGGCAACATAGTGAGACCCTGTCTCTATTAAAAAAAAAAAAATTCAACATGTTCAAAATGGAATTCTTGTTTCCACTCCTCAATCCTGTCTTTCTACCCCAGCCTCCCTCATTTTAATAATGTCACTCCCAGCCACCCAATTTCCAAAGATAAAATCCTGGAAGTCATCTTTTCCTTGCCACTTATGGCCAACACAACAGCAAGTCCTGTTAATTCTATCTCCAAGCGAGTCTCTTGTCCACCCACTTCTCTGCCTCTTTACCACCATCATTCCACGTGTAGTAGCCTCTCATTGGCCTTTTCGCCTCTGCTCTTGCTTTCTGTACGTTCCTCTCTCTGACTAACAGCCATAATCAGCTTCTTAGAATAAATCCAATTGTTCTGCTCCCATGCTTGGAACTCATCAATGCCCTCAGATAGCATTCATGCATCTTGCCATGGTCTGTGAGGCCCTGTCTAATTGGCTTGCTTCTCAGCTTCACTCCTCTCATGCCAACCTATGTCCCCATCCTGTGCTCCAATCACTCAGGTCCACTGCTTTCTCACGGGAAGACTTTGCGTTTGCCAAGCCCTCCTTCTGAAGCTTGCCACCTCCCACTCTTTGCCTGCCTAAATCCTTTTCAGTTCTCATTGATTTAACCATTCTCCTGTTGTTTCAAAATTTTCAGTGTTATAAACAATAGTGCATTGAACATCTGAATGCATTCAATTTTGTCCCACGGCTTGATTGTTTACTTGTCATAAATTCCCAGAAGTGAATTGCTAGAGGGAAGGGAATTCTTATGTTAAATTTTGGTGTGCACAACATTGTAATGTCTTCGTGATCCTGCTGATTTTCCTCCCTATATTCATCCTCCCAGGAGAAGCAGACCCCAGATGAGGGTTTCAGTGCATGTGGTTTCCCCTGTTGCCAAGCAGGAAGCCCCACTCCCTGCCTTCCAGGAGTGCAGATACCCCTTGGATGGAAGCCTGGAGGCCCCTCCAGGCCTGCCTGCAGCCCTCTGAGTCAAGGGCTTTGTAGGGGTCTGTTTGGTGACTGGTCTTCCCCACTTTCTCCTACTTCCATCTTTCACTAGAGTGTTGGAGCTGTCTTTCTAGGCTGCCTTTGGCCCCATCCTTATGATAGATAACAGAAAAATGCTGCTGTTTCAGACAGATACAGGGTACCTTTTTCTAGTTTCCAGAATGAAGGCAGGTTTTTCCATATTTTTATATTCTGTAGGCTAGTGTTTCAAACATGCCTGATCTCACGAATCCTTCTGAGCACTTGTTAGAAATGTAAGCCCCTCTCCTCCACAGAGATTCGAGTTCAGGATCTGGGAGATGACAGGTCTTAAGAGTTTGTGTTTTTCACAGTGTCCTGGTAATTTTAATGATCAAGGAAGTTTAGAAAATGATTCCATAGGTCATTTCCATGAGGCACTAGAAGTAGCTCCAGGTGTTCAACTCCAGTATTCACATTGCCATTTTATGCGTAAGTCTCACATTTCCTAAAAAGCATAACCAAGCACTTTCTATGGCAAGGCATTGAATTTGATGCCATACACATCATCTCATTTTGTGCCGAGAATAGTCATTCTGATCCGAGGCACAATTATCCTTAAGTTGCTGCTGAGAAAACTGAGGCTGTGAGAGACTGGCTGGCTTTGGCTTGATCAGGCCATAAAGCTGGAAAGTGGTAGAGCCCGAATCTGAATCCAGGGCTTCTGATTCTGAGTCCTGGCATGGCAGGCCAGGTCTCACTAACAGCTGAACAGGCAAGCCTCCATGACAACTGTTGCGGCACTGACTGAGTGGTTAGGTTAAATATTAAAAGCTAATAGAGCCAGTCTCCTTATGCAAAGGCTGGAATGTAACAAAGCCCACCAAGAGTTTTGCCTAGGCCTTTCCTGGGCCTTGAAGCCTGACACGATAACGAAGGAATTCTTAACAGGACCCATGTAGGATTAAACAAGTTTTATTGGGGGTCTGAAGAAACTCCCCAGACCTCCACAAACAAGTTTTACTGGGCAGGGGGGTGGGGAGGATGGTCTAAAGGAACTCCTCAAACCTCCATGATTTAGCAGGAGACGAGATAAGGGTAATCACTCCGGCACCTGGAGCCATCTAGATTAAGTAAATTTACTGAGGCTCCAGAGAAAGGTCTTCAAAACTCAGACCTTAGTTATATTAGGAGAAGTTAACCACTTATGTCTTTAGATGAATGCACTTACACATAGACATATAGCTTAGAAGGTATATAAACAATGGAAAGCTTTGTAATTTTAAGTTGGTCTGCCTACCCGGTTACAGAAATAAATTCTCTTCTCTCCCAGTTCATCTGCATCTCATTACTGGGCCTTGAGAATAAGCAGCCCGACCCTGGGTTTGATCCGGTAACACTGGGGCATCTCTGAATCAACCACATTGATGCCTGTCATTATGCCACTCTGCACTGCCACGAACCTCTACTCCTCAGAATGTGGCCTGCAAACCCAGATGGCCGGTATCCCCTGGGAGCTTGTTAAAAATGCAGAGCCTTGGGCCACTCCAGGCCTCCTGAGTTGGAATCTGCATTTTAATAAACTTGCCTGGTGACTCTCATTCATATTAAAGAATAAGAAGCCCTCAGGAGGCTGCAGAGGGATTGGAGATCAGGTCACTTGAGAGAGAGAAGGGGAATGAGTGTGTGTGTGGGGGGGGGGCGGGTGTGTGTGTGTGTGTGTGTATACTTGTGAACACAGGCCAGGCATATGTGTAGTTTGGAAAGGTCTAACAGCTCAGAGGCACCATGTCTTCCCTCAGATAACATCACTTCCACATCCTGTTTGTTGGAAAATTGTTCCCAACTAAAGGCTAAGATTTTTAACTCTTGAAATTGAGTTATGTGCGGACTGCTCATTTGTGATCCAAAACGTCAGCTGAGAGACTGCACCAAGAGAAACCTCTCCAGGGAATGGCTGAGTAGCTTTCGCAAACATAGGGACACAGGAAAGCAAGTGCTTCTTCCTTCTGGGAGGTTTCTAGACTTCTGGAATGAGAGGTCCCCTGAGGGTGCATTGCCAGACATTTCTCTGCATCTTTAAAACCAGAGTTTTTATTTGTTATGTTTTTTTCTTGAGTGCCTAGAGGATCTAAGAGTTTAGCCAGTATCATATAACCTCTCAACTCTTCTGATGTTGGACCTTTTCTCTGAAACAAACTCAAAGACAAGCAAGCAAATTAGATGACTACAGCATACAAAACATAAAGGCTGGACCTAAATGGGTCAATAGCACCATCTCTTGGCCATGTGTGAGTACTGCATCTACCAGTTTTCAACTAGTGAAAGTACAAAACACACCTGTGGATTTGCGGTTAACTAAAGCAGAGTAAAAATATCCCTGCCACACTGTGAGGCATAGAAACACCCAAGATAATGAGAAAGTGGAAAGTTAATGCTGTCTTCAAGGAAATCAGTTAACACCTAATTATATCCACATGTAATATTTGAATTAGTTTTGCCACAAGTAGTGAAAACGAACAAGGTTGAGGAGGATGCCAACAGCACTGCGTATTTCTGAAGGCTTTGAGCAGGGCGATAGACCACAGAGCTCCCCAAGGAGTGGAGGACACCTTATTAAACAGGCATTAGAAAATGGTTGTATGTAGGCCGGACGCGGTGGCTCACGCCTGTAATCCCAGCACTTTGGGAGGCCGAGGCGGGCGGATCATGAGGTCAGGAGATCGAGACCGTCCTGGCTAACACGGTGAAACCCTGTCTCTACTAAAAATACAAAAAATTAGCCGGGCGTGGTGGCGGGCGCCTGTAGTCCCAGCTACTCGGGAAGCAGAGGCAGGAAAATGGCGTGAACCCGGCAGGCGGAGCTTGCAGTGAGCTGAGATCGCTCCACTGCACTCCAGCCTGAGCGACAGAGCGGGACTCCGTCTAAAAAAAAAGAAAGAAAGAAAGAAAAGAAAATGTTTGCACGTGAATGTTAACAAAAATACTAAATATCAAAATCTGCAGGCTGCGCAAGGGAAATTTACATCCTTACGTGCTTACATTCGAAAAGAAGTTAAAAGTTAATGGGCTAAGCAACTAAATTGAGAAGTTACAAAAAGAATATGCAAAGAAAGTAGGAGGAAGAAAACTCATAAGGGAAGAAACTAATAAAACAGAAAATAAGCATGTAATAGGAAGAATCACTAAAGCTAGAGGTTGGTTTTTTGAAAAGATGAAAGAATAAAAACTGATAAGCCTCTGGCAACACTGATCAAGAAAAAAAAAAAGAGAAAAGTTGCCAAAAAAAAAAAAATGGAGCTATAACTACAAAGGGTTAGTCCCAGGGTTCCACAGCTCTGCTTGTAAAAAGACGATTGAAATTCCACATTAGATCTCACCCTTTCACATTTTCATATCCTTTCCTCTTTGATTTCCATAAAGATAGCATGACCAATGTTTTCTCCCTTGATATGTAATAATGAAAAGCTAACATTTGTTAAATGCATATTATGTGCAAAGCACTATGCAATAAAATCCCCACAATGAGTCCCTGAGGCTATCATCATCATCTCCACTTTATAGGTATGGAAACAGAGGCTTGGGAGATATATCTCCACTTTATATATATGGAAATGGAGGTATCTCTCAGTTTGTTAGAAATCAACAAACTGAGGCTTTTTGATTTCTAATATGGCACAGCTAGAAATCAACAGCACCAGGATTTTGACTGGGCAGTCAGGGCTTAGAGCGTCTCCTGGTCACAGGAGCTGACAGCAGAGCCAGGACAGAATCTAGGCCTTTTAGCAAAAAGTCCTCATGACACCAACACTGCCTGTGTCAAAAAGGCAATTCTGAATGATGTTTTATTTTTTTCTCTCCCTCTCTAAATTGAACAAGGATGTGTGTTGCAACTCTGGAATCCATGGAGGCAATTTCGGTCCTCGGACACAGGTACTAACATGGCCCTGACCACCTGGGGAAAATATCCAAGGACCTTAAGGCCAAGTGGCCTCTAACTCAGGTCTCTCTCTGGCATGCTTTGGAAATGTCTCTCTAAATAGGCTTTTATCCACTGTTACTGGGCTAACCTACTTTTAGGGGCTTCAGGTTAAAACCTGAGGCCAACTGTGGTGCTGCAAATACTATTTTAATTGGAATGAGCTGCTTAATCAAAAGTTCTTGGTTCAGTGTGTGGTTCCTTCAAGTGCCATGATTCCTGTGTCACATTAAATCCAGGGTCAGAAAACTGTGGATCTCAGACTAAATTCTGTCCTACCTATTGTTTTCATGTGGTCCAAAAAGTATAGTTAACTATAGTTAAGAAAGGAATTATCCCCCATTTAAAAATGGTTAGTGAAAAAAAATCAAAAGGTGAATAGTATTTTGTGACATCTGAAAATTATATAAAATTGCAATTTTAGTGTCTATAAATAAAGTTTTATTGGAACACAGCCACATTCATTCATTTATATACTCTATGGCAGTTTCTTGCTTCAATGGCAGAGTTGAGTATTTGCAGCAGAGATCATACAACCTGTGAGCCTAAAATATTTACTATTAATATTTACAGAAAAAGTTTGTGTTAAAGTATCATTACAGAACTTTATTTTATTTTATTTTTTCCTATTCAACTTTTATTTTGGATTCAGGGGGTACAAGTGCAGGTTTGTGACCTGGGTATACTGTGTGATGCTGAAGTTTGGGGTACAAATAATTCTGTCACTCAGGTGCTGAGCACAGTACCCAACAGTTAGTTTTTTGACCCTTGCCCTTCTCCCTTCCTCCCTACTCTAGTAGTCCCCAGTGTCTATTGCTGCCATCGTTATGCCATGAGTACCTGATGTTTAGCTCCCACTTATAAGTGAGAACATGTGGTATTTGGTTTTCTGTTCCTGCTTTAATTTTCTTAGGATAATGGCCTCCAGCTGCATCCATGTTGTTGCAAAGGACATGATTTCATTCTTTTATATGGCTCCATAGTATTCCATGGTGTATATATGCCACATTTTCTTTATCCAATCCACTGTTGATGGGCACCTAGGTTGATTCCATGACTTTGCTATTGTGAATAGTGCTGCAGTGAACATGTGAGTGTATGTGTCTTTTCGGTAGAATGATTTGCTTGCTTTTGAATGAACATACAGTAATGGGATTGCTGAGTCAAATGGTAGTTCTGTTTTAAATCTCCAAACTGCTTTCCACAGTAGTTAAACTAATTTACATTCCCACCAACAGTATTATAAGTGTTCCCGTTTCTCCACAGCCTCACCAACATCTGCTGTTTTTTGACTTTTTAATAATGGCCATTGTGACTGCGGTGGGATGGTATCTCATTGTGGTTTTGATTTGCATTTCTCTTATGATTAGTGACGTTGAGCATTTTGTCATGTTTGTTGGCCACTTGTATGTCTTCTTTTGAAAAGTGTCTTCTCATGTCTTTTGCCCATTTTTTAATGCAGTTCTTTGTTGTTGTTGTTTTTTGCGTGTTTAATTATTTAAGTTTCTTATAGATTCTGGATATTAGACCTTTGCTGGGTGCATAGTTTGCAAATATTTTCTTCCATTCTGTAGGTTGTCTTGTCTGTTTACTCTGCTAACAGTTTCCTCTGCTGTGCAGAAGCTCTTTACCTCTCATTTGTCAATTTTTTTTGTTGTTGCAATTGCTTTTGAGGACTTTGTCATAAATTCTTTCCTAAGGCCCATGTCCAGCGTGGTATTTCCTAGGCTTTCTTCTAGGATTCTTATACTAATTTAGATTTAATAGAAACCCATAGCAAGAAAAACAAGAAAAAGAAAACATTTTCAAAATAAATGTTGTTTACGTTTACATATTTTTAAATTCTCTCTCTTTTCCTAGCAGAGGAAAACCCAATCATTGTGAGACTGCAAACACCCGGGGAGCTTACTTGGGTTTTATCGTGGAGCTGCTCTGCCCTCAGGCATTTGGGGAGAAGGACTCTGGCTCAGGCTGGGATTTTAGGAGCCAGGTTGAGTGACATAGTTGGGCTAGGTAGTTTATAGCGTTGGTATAAAGATGAGATTGGGATACCATGAGCTGGGAAGATGGCTAGGGCATTCAGTCACTCCTGATTCAAGACCTCCCGACAAGGTTCCTGAGAAAAACCTATGTACAGGACACAGCCTCAGATGAGAGGCAAAATGATACTTTGTAACTAGCTGAACTGGAAGAGACATGGACAAGCCAAAACAATCTTGGAAAAGAACAGTTAGAGGACTCACATTCCCAATTTCAAACTCACTACAAAGTTGCAGTAATTAAGACAGTGTGGTTTTGGCATAAAGATACATAAACAGATCAATGAAATAGAATTGCAAGTCCAGAAATAAACTCTCATCTACGGCCAATTGATTTTCAATAAGGGTGCCAGGATGATCCAATGGGCGAAAGACTAGTGTTTTTAACAAATGGTGCTGGAATAACTGGTTATCTACATGTACAAGCATGAATTTGGATTCCTACCTTATACCAATACACAAAAGTTAATTGAGACTGGACCAAAGACTTAAATGTAAGACCTAAAACTACATTCCTAGAAGAAAACACGTGAATGAGGAATGACTGCTAATGGGTACAACGTTTCTTTGGGGGGTGATGAAAATATTCCACAACTGATTGTAATGATGTTGTACAACTTTAGGAATATACTAAAACCACACTGGACTGTACACTTTAAATAGCTGAATTTTTTGCTAGGTGAATTATATCTCAATAAAGCTGTTTAAAAAGACCTTGTGGCAGTGGCCTAGATGGATCTGGGTTGATCAGCCTGATACTTTTCTGTGAGGCGTGGTGGCTTGGACAGTGGAAGAAAAAGCCATCTGGACCATCTGCACAGTGCTGGATGCCATTGACCAGATGTGGATGCCTGTAATGAGGACTTGGAACGAGTGCCACTATGGGGTTCTAATTGGCCTTAATAAAGCAGAAGCTGCTGCCAAGCATGAGGAGGCCTTGGTAAAGATCTGGAAGTGCTCCTATGATGTCTCATCACCTCTGATGGAGCCCAACCATCCCGTCTAAGGCAACACCAGTGAGAATGATCAGCTACCCTCCTGTGAAAGTCTGAAGGACACTACTGCCATAGCTCTGCCCTTTTAGAAAGAAGAGATAGTCTCCTAGATCAAGGAGGGGAAATGGGTGCTGATTGCAGCTGATGGCAACAGTTTTCGGGGCATTGTTGAGCATCTGGAGGGTGTCTCTGAAGAGGCTTCATGCAGCTGGACCTGCCAGCTGGTATTCCCATTGTCTATAGATTGGACAAGAACTTGAAGCCCACCAAGCCCATGTAGTTCCCGGGGGGGGATGAAGAGACTGTGCATAAAGCCATGGAAGCTATGGCTATTGGGAGCAAGGTCAAGAAATAAAGGCCAGCAGATAGATTACTGTCCCAAGGAATGCCCTCTCTGCCCATCCCTTCCTCTGCACTTCTGCATATGTCACACTGACCATAGTCATTTTTTTTTTTTTTTTTTTGAGACGGGGTCTCGCTTTGTCAGCCAGGCTGGAGTGCAGTGTCACAATCTCAGCTGACTGCAACCTCCACCTCTGAGGTTCAAGTGATCCTCCCGCTTCAGTTTCCCGAGTAGCTGGGACAGTAGGAATATGCCACCATGCCTAGCTAATTTTTGTATTTTTAGTAGAGATGAAGTTTCACCATGTTGGCCAGACTGGTCTCAAACTCCTGACCTCATGTGATCCACCCATCTCAGCCTCCCAAAGTGCTGAGATTACAGCTGTGAGCCACCGTGCCCAGCCGTAGTCATCTTAAGTTGTAGCTGCAGATGGGGGACCAGTGGCTTCCATTTTCCTTTCAGCCATTGTATCTCCTACACCCACTCCCTTCATACAGCTGGATTGGAATAGCGTCTCTGGGGCATGGGTTCTCAGTCCACACTGAGGGAAGGCTTCTCTTAGCCAAGAGAGTTCAGTGGTAGTAACTCTAGGTTTTGCCAGGGCTATGTTTACTAGGGACCAGCTTGAGAAGGGGAGAGGGAGGAACCATGCTAAGGCATGACCAATGAAGAAGCAAGAAGCAATGAAGCAAGAGTGCCTATTTGACCCCAGGAGCCAGTCCTGTGCCCTTCTGTGGTTAGGTCACTGACTTGGGCGGTGGGGTTAGTCATTTCAGTGGAAGATAAATGTAACCTACATAGTAATGTTAAAAAAAATCAACTATTTCCTCCCTGACACCACAGAAGCTGGCTTTAGAAGGTTGGGATCAATCTTCAATTAAGTTTATGTGTTGCATTCACACATATTTATATATATAATATCTATATATAAAATATAGATATAATATATATAATTTTTATCTATATAAAATACAGATATTATATATAATTGCAACACATATGTGTACATATATGTTTGTAAAAGTAAATGCAACACAAACTTAACACATAATTCAACACAGAAACTTAAATTTTGTCTATATATGTATGTGTGTGCATATATTTGTGTGTATGTGTATGTATATACACACTATATATATACATATATATTATATACATACACACACACACACACACACACACATACACATACACACAACCACTTTGGGGTTTCTAGTGGCAGTTGAAATAGTTAGTCCCATGTATGGTCATCAGAAAGTAAGCCAATCCTCACACCAACATGGGATACGCCTTTTGACTTCTAAGGGTAGAAGTGCATTCTGCTGTATATTTTAGAATCCCTCCCCTGCCTTGTTTTGTGGCAGTGAAATGCCCCTTGAGCATGTCCAAATGTGTCTTTCACTGTGCCTGATTTCTTAATCGTGTTCTACTTGCTTTGCCCTGTCACATGGTCCCAGCATTCTTTTTCAGAATAACTGTACTACATTTTTTTCTAGTTTAGTATAACAAAGGAGTGATATGCAATAAAAAAGTCAAGATGATAAATTTTATGTTATGTATATTTTACCATATTATTTTTTCAGAGACAGGGTCTCACTCTGTCACCCAGGCTGGAGTGTAGTGGTGTGATAATAGCTTACTGCAGTTTCAAACCCCTGGGCTCAAGTAATCCTCCTGCCTCAGCTTCCCCATAGCTGGGACTACAGGTGTGTGTCACTATGCTTGGCTAATTTTTAAATTTTTTTATAGAGACGAGGTCTTGCTTTGTTGCCCAGGCTGGCCTAGAACTCCTGGCTATAAGCCATCTTCTTGCCTCTGCCTTACAAAGTACTGGGATTACAGGTGTGAGCCACTGCACCCAGCTTATTTGACCAATTAACCTTATTTTTTGTCCCAGTCACAACATATCTTTCTGGGTTTCTTTGATAACCTATATAGTTTTGCCTTTCACAATTAGGTCTTTAATCCATTGTAATCCATTAGTGTTTGTGGTATGGAGTAGGGACCCAGCTTTTTCTTTATTGAGCCAAATTTCCTAACACCTTCAACTAAATAATCCATCCTTTTCCCCATGGATACTTCTTGCATATGTAGAATGATGTGATAAGAAGATAACTAAGTCTCAGCCAGCATCTGGGCAAGCTAGGCCACTAGGAAAATATCAGCAAAGGGCAAAGGGGCCTAGAACCCAAGTCTTTCCAAGGCCCTGGTAGAATATGTCCCTTCCAGGCATTCATTTTTCCAGCTTCCTTTCTCCTGGAACTGAATTCCCTTCTTCTTCCCCTACTCCAGGGGAGAAGCATGAAATAAAGAGTAAGGAAAGGGCTTACCAGAAATAATTATGTTCAAGCAATCCTATTACAAATATCTATTCTCTTCCCACCTCAGATACACAGGCTCCAAATATCTTCAAAATGGAAAATGACCCACAGATACGTTACGTATAATAGATAAGTCTGGAATTTCCCAAAGGGTGAGTGGTGGTCACAGGGAGGGAGATTTACTCATTTGTTCAACAAATATTTATTGAGCACCTATTGTATTTCATACCCCGATCTAAACTGGATTGGGAGGTACAAAGGTATCTTAAGTTGGGTTCCTCCAGAAGGCTATGATAAGGATGTAAGTGCTGGTAGTTTATTTGGGAGGTGATCTCAGAAAGCATAGGTGGAGGTATGGGAAAATGAGACAGAGAAGGGAAGGGAAGGGAGCCAATAAATGATACTTTATTGACAGGTTACTGTTATTGGCAACTGAGGTCCAATCTTGCTGGGAAATCCTGGGAGTCAGTATAGACCATGCTTCCATGCTTTTCTTACCTGAGGGTAAGTGAGCTGGGATAATTATATAGCTATTTCCACCTGCCATTGATTGAAGGTTGCTAGTGTGAGGGGTGCAGGGGGCAGGTGTTAACTCCTTGGTATTTCCATCCTGCCCCAGTCTCAAGTATTTCCATCCCTTGCATGCTCCTGGGGCCAGGGAATGCCCTCAAACAATGCTTGCAGTTGGACACAGATGCTTGCAGTTGGAGCATCCAGGGCACATGTGTGGGAAAGGTGAGTGCCAAGGGATATGGGTGAGGCACAGACAGCATCGCCTACAAGTATCTCTTGTATACCTTACATGTTAGTGGTAGGGAGATGCAAGGTAAACTAGCAAAACAATGAGCAAGATGTTGTTAAATAAAGATAAGTATTATAAAGAAAACAAAATACAGGGTGCTGAGATGGGTGGTGCTGAGGGAGATGGGTGGTGAGGGGCTTATTTAGATTGGGTGATCAGAGATGGCTTTCTTCAGATGAGGTTTGAACTGAAATTGAGGGACAAGAAGGGAGATGGGGAGCAGGATAGAGTATTCTGGACCAACTGAACATGTAGTGTAAATGCTTTAAGGTTGAAGACCAGTGGGTCTGGTCGTGTAGTGGAGAGTCAGAGGCTAGATGGCAAGAACAAGGGATAGGCAGGGAACAGGTGATGTGGCATCCTGTAAGCCACTGTAATATGTTTGGAGTTAATGTTAAGTGCAATGAGAAGCCTTCGGAAGATTTCATGCAGAGAACTGACATAATCTCACGTGAATTTTGGAGAATCCTCAGGCTTCTGTGTTGTGAATGGATGCAAGACGACCAGCCGGAGAGCTACTGTAGTAATCCGGGTGCAAAACAATGGTGCTTGTCAGGTGTACTAGTCAGAAGTTGGGGGTAGGGGAAAGGATGGATATGATACATTTTGCAAGTAGAAACACTAAGACCCCATTAGATAGGACGGGGTAAAGGCAGTAAAGGAAGGGAAAATTCAAAGATAAAGTTTTAAGTTTGAGCAATTCTATGGATGGCAGTGCCATTTACTTAGATGAGGCCGACTGGGGAAAGAGTTTGGGGGTAAAGAAGCAGGCTCTTTCTTTGTTTGCTGAAGGGAATGTCAGATCAATGGTTTTCTTTTCTTCTACTTGAAAGACGGGCAGTACTAGATGTTTCCATCTGATGAAAATGATCCAGTAGAGAGGAAGAAATTGATGATTCAGAAGAAAGGAGATAATTACAGTGGTATTTTATGGAGAAGAGGAGATGGTACCCAGGACACAAATGGAGGGGTTTGTTTTGATGGGTGGAGCAAGTGTACTTCATGCCTTGTATGGGAAAGAAGACAGAGTATGCAACATTGCCTCCAAAGGGTAGATTTGGAGGTGGAAAAATGAAGACGGTCAAATATCTCAATGACGGATAAGACCAAGCCTTCACCTTGCTTAGTGGAGGATGGAGGGGGGACTGGTAAAGGGAAAGGAAGAAAGAAAAGCCATCTTCCCTACCCCACCCCCCCACCCCCCAGCTATCTCCAGGTGTTATGTGCTGTTGTGGAGCAGATAGTTAGGTTGAACAAGGATTGGATTGGGGTTTTGTCAAATGAATTAAAAAAAAAAAAAAGGAGAAAGGATCAAGGGGAGATGATATTTGCAAGGGGTGTGATTGTGATGGTAAGCCAGGGAATCTATGCCGGGTCATGATGTCTGTGAAAAGAATTATATGAGCTGATGCATGTAGAATTCTCAGAGCAGGACCTACAATATAAGTGTTGAAAAGGAATTAGCTATTTTTATTATTAATGTAAGAGAAGTGAGAAAATGAGGGGCAATGCTTGATAAAAATGTAAAAAGGCCCAAAGGATCTGTTGTTAAAGAGATAGTTTCCTAAGTTATACCTCTTAACACCTCTTGTGGGGATCTCTAACCAGAGGCCCATCTGGTGATGCTGCTGTTGATTCCTGTGGGACCAAATCCCTAGAGCACCATTTCCAGGTTACTACTGAGCTCTCATTAGCCCTCCCCTACCTGTGCAGGTGAGATCTGCCAGATGCTCTGCAAGTGAGTACGTTCCTAATGATTAGTTTTCCAAATGAGTCCTGTTCTGGGTTCTTCAGGTCTACTGGAATGGCATTAAGGAGTTTTAAGGAATCCTGTCGCTGCTTTTCCCAGACTAAAGCCTTTAGGCAACCTCATAAGTGAAAGGCACATTAACTTCTGTATTGGCCTAAGACAGTGGTTTAGATTGAGAGCACTGAATATTTAGGGTGTGTGTATGCAAATTCCAGACTGTGTTTCTCAACAAGCGACAATTTAGGAGTCTTGATTGTTTTCTAGCTTAATCATTCATTCCCTGGAGGCTGTAAACAGAAGTCTCTGTTTACATTTAAATTAAATTCCTTCTAACAGCACCGTGGTAGATAGTAGCTGAGGTGCTTTATATATCCCCAGGGCAAGACCATGAAAACATTGTTGTCTCTCCCAGGTAAAGAAAAATGGCAATTGATTTATATGAATTGTAATAATAAATGTTTGGCTAGATTAATTTCTGGATCACATTTGAGTGATGACAAAATCAAACCTGTCAGCTGGTGCTTTAATGATGACTGCAACTTAAACCTTTATAATGCATGTAAACTGCTAGGAGCCTTCCAGTTGTTTAAGTGGCCACAAGGGGGTGATAAAGGACTGCATACTTACAGAAATCCGTCCCCCTTCAATTTCTTCTGTAATAGCATCATTCACTGGGTACCCTATATTTCGTTTCGACATACTTCATCTACCAAGTGGGCTGTTACTGGTTCCCATTCAGTGTGTCTGGCCACTCATTTACTATTCTTCCTGATGCTAGTATTGGGCTAAGCTTTTCTGCGTTTTTTAACAAGTCAATGGCAGTGATGCACTAAGAGTGGATGTTTATGGGGGTGGGCCTTTTCTTTTTCTTTTTTCTTTTTTTTTTTAACTTTAATTTTGAGACACAGTCTTGCTCTGTCGCCCAGGCTGGGTACAGTGATGTGATCTCGGCTCACTACAACCTCCGCCTCCCTGGTTTAACTGATTCGCTTGCCCCAGCTTCCTGAGTGTGCCACCACACCTGGCTAATTTTTGTATTTTTAATAGAGATGGTGTTTCACCATGGTGGCCAGGCTGGTCTGGAACTCCTGACCTCAGATGATCCACCTGCTTCAGCTTCCCAAAATGCTGGGATTACAGGTGTGAGCCACCGCGCCCAGGTTGGCCTTTTCTTACTTCAAGGAATTATACCTTCTACCAAATCCTTGTCTGGTGATGTCTTCCCCACAAAATTTAGGCTGACATGGATAACCTAGAAAAGAGGATTTAAAATACTCACAATACAAGGAAATGATAAATGTCTGAAGTGATGGATATGCTAATCGCCCTGATTTGATTTTATATTGTGTACATGTATCGCAATATCACTTTGTATCCCACAAACATGTATATTACATGTCAACTAAAATTAAAAGGGAAAAATAAATTTAAAAATAAAAACGCCAGGTGCGGTGACTCACGCTTGTAATCCCAGTACTTTGGGAGGCAGAGGTGGGCGGATCACCTGAGGCTGGGATTCGAGACCAGCCTGACCAACATGGAGAAACCCCGTTTCTACTAAAAATACAAAATTAGCCGGGCGTGGTGGTGCATGCCTGTAATCCCAGCTACACGGGAGGCTGAGGCAGGAGAATCACTTGAACCCAGGAGGTGGAGGTTGTGGTGGGCTGAGATCATGCCATTGCACTCCAGCCTGGGCAACAAGAGTGAAACTCCATCTCAAAAATAAACAAATGAATAAATAAATAAACATTTTTAAAAAGTTCTCTCTCTACTTTCCAGACAGTATGTTGTTCCTTGCCAGTGGACTCGGGATGTGGGGTCTGGGGTCTGGCACCCTGGTAAGAATGGGTAAAGGACACATGGAGACAAACTCTGGGGTTAAAGCTAGCCTCCTTCTGGACCATTCTATAGACCTCAGGCCTTCAAAACCCTCTAGACTAGAACAGGGAGCTGCAGTTGAAGCCTGAGCATGAGGCCTGAGATCAATTAGATTCCCTGTGGGGGCTTTAAGCTTCTTTTGTGCCTTGAACGAATGGTGCCTATCTATATGTCATTGCTTTTTGCATGAAAAATGTCTGTAGGCTGTTCACTAGTTTGAGATGAAGGCACCTAGATCCAGCATCATGCAGCATCAGGGCCCTCACCCTCAGTTCACAGGTGCAGAGCTATCTATATACCAGAGCAGATCTACTGCTACCCGTGGTGGGTTCAAAATCAGACTGATGACTTACCAGGTAAGCCACCTGACCCATGATGGTATCCTCACAAGCCGATGCTGAGTTTAAATTGCCATTTCAGTTTTTTTTTTTTTTTTTTTTTTTTGAGACGGAGTTTCACTCTTGTTGCCCAGGCTGGAGTGCAATGGCACGATCTCGGCTCACCACAACCTCTGCCTCCTGGGTTCAAGTGATTCTCCTGCCTCAGCCTCCCGAGTAGTTGGGATTACAGGCATGCACCACAACACCTGGCTAATTTTGTATTTTTAGTAGAGATGGGGTTTCTCCATGTTGGTCAGGCTGGTCTCGAATCCTGACCTCAGGTGATTCGCTTGCCTTGGCCTCCCAAAGTGCTGGGATTACAGGCATGAGCCACCGCACCCAGCCTTAAATTGCCATTTTAAGTTCTCCCGTGTAGCTCAGAGAATCCCTAAAGTCATCTAACACAATAATGCTGGGTAAGGAACATTGGAGGAGTCTGGCATTCTCTCCTCTCATCAGTATTAATTCCACTCTGAATGGTTTTCCAGGAAGGAAGAAATATAGCCTAATCCTCTGATTTATGGGTTTTTTTTCCATGCTTCCATTATCCAGATAAAAAGGAGTTAAGTGCCTACATGACTATGTGAAGAGTGTTCAATGCTGAGGCCTCTTTATATAATTTTGCTCCTGCTTAATTCTAGCTGATTCCCTTGGCCCTTTGATCCCAGACAAGCACAATGTCACCTGGCTACCTCTTGCTTGTCAAGTGATCACAGTCCACAATTGAGGACTCTCTTGGATTTAGTACAGCAGGATCATGCCTTTGTTTCTCTCCCAAATGGACCTTTGGCTTGGTAAGGGGAGTCCTCAGAAACCCAGTGCAGCTGGTGTGTGGAGGTGGTCGAATGAGGTTGCCTTTTTCCAAGCTGTCATTACCCATTCCATTAGGTGGAGCCAGGCTGGTGGCATACACGTGACACACAGAAGCCTGCATTACAGCTCCATATTTCTCAAGTTATTTTGGCTAACTGCCATCATGACTGAAACTAGAACTGTCCCTTCCATATGATCAGAGCCACCCCGTTTCTGGAATGGTTAAGAGAACAGTTCCTGTTACTCGAGTTCCTAAGCAGGTTGATCAGACTGCTTCCATGGGGTTTCCTCGGCCTCAGGAGAGCCAGGACTGAAAGGTGGAGGACATTGCTGCTGGCAGCACTTTACTCCAGGCTATGATTCAACCAAAGGTCTTAACTTCCTAATGGCGTCTCCAAGTTTAAAAGTCTAGGGATAAACCTATTTGTCTTCTACTTGGTATTACGCATTGTGCACCCTGAAGTATAAACCACTAAAGAAACTGCAGATCAAGACCTTCCAACATGGAAGACACAGAGAGATATCCAGTTTGGCTACTGCCAGTTTGCTGCATCTCTAAGACATGTTATCTTTCCTCCACAGTTATACAATGCCTCCTCGTCTCTTTCTTGCTCTAAAGATTGGGACTGCCCCACAAGTTCAAAGTCCAATCAGGTGCTGGAACTCATAGGCTGAAGGGAAGAGAATCAGGAAAGGTGCTCTTCATGAAATCCAGAGGGAAGTTTTCCTTAAGCCTTTTAATCCCACCCACTTTGGACTCACACAGGAAGTGATTACTACAGAGCTTGTCTATGGGTCCCAGGATGAGGGGTGCTTTCTTTCCCATCTAATGTAAATTATTTTCTTGGCACTAGCTCAGCTCTCAGCAGATGTTATCTATTTAGGCAGCACTTGAATGTGGCTGTTAATATAAATTTCTGCTTTACCATTTCCACAGCACCCCTCAACAGGGTGCTACTATACAATATTACAGATGAAAAAGTAGGAGGTTCTTAGTAACTTGGAAAATTCTCCCAAACTTCTTGATCTTCTTCATCAAACTGTATTGATGTTTTCCAGAAATGTGCTTATCAAATTTGGGTCTATATTCTGCTGTATACTTCTTGTCTGTCTTACTGTATTGGAGGAAGGATGAGGTGAGAAAATAACAAACCTATTATTACTTAGTGTCTTTAAGAGGCAAACTTTGTGGGGGCTGATTTTGTTTTCCCAAAAACAGTATCACCAAAATATAGGCAAGGGCTCATTAGGGCTCACTGGCCCCAAAATAAGACTTTTTTTTTTTCCATACCATCCTCATGCAACTGTAGTAAGCTAAAAAGTTTGCCCATGCAGATGCATCTTTGCATCGGCTAAATGGTTTTAGTGGCGTGGCCCGTGCAACCAAGTAAATACTACTTAATAGAAAGGAGCCTGGAACTCAAGAAGATGAGCTGCAGAAATCTCTTAATTAAGAACTGCAAATTATATGTATTTTTAAGAGACAGAGTCTTGCTCTATTGCCCAGGCTGGAGAGCAGTGGTGCCACTTTGGCTCACTGCAACCCCCACCTTCCAGTTTCAAGAGATTCTGGTGCCTCAGCCTCAAGCAGCTGGGACTACAGGTGCACACCAGCTAATTTTTTGCATTTTTAGTAGACATGGAGTTTCACCATGTTGGCCTGGCTGGTCTCAAACTCCCAGCCTCAAGTGATCTGCCCGCCTTGGCCTCCCAAAGTGCTGGGATTATAGGCATGAGACACCGTGGCTG